>NC_000002.12:10010000-10316755 GCF_000001405.40 Homo sapiens
GCCAGGCCTGTCCGCAGGTCTGTGTAGCTGGCCCAGGTGGCTGGCGGCCAGGCCAGGGCTGGCCTATGGGTGTCTGGCCCGGCTGGCCACCGGCCACCTTTCTCCCACTGGCCTTGGCCACAGCCCCACAGCTGGCGCGACGCTGCGACCTTTCCCCTACTTCCAGCTCTGGCCTCCAGATCATTCCAGGCCCCTGAAGTTTACATGAGTCACATGTCGCTGGCAGACTCCCACCCCGTTCCCTCTTCTTGCTCTGGGTTTAACGGGCCACACTGGAGAGCAGGCATGGGGCCTTGTGCCCCTGAGCAGGGCCAGGTGTGGGACCAGAGCCTTCGTCGTGCCCAAGGCCTGCAGGCCTCAGAAACCCCAGCCCCACACCATGCCGGTGCTCCCAGCTTTCCCTGAATGTCATTCGTCATGAGGGCTGAGGTTCAAGGACCCACTTACTCTGGTGGCCACTTACTCTAGAGGCCTGAGTACGCCAGGCTGTGAAGCTCTGCCAAGTACCTGGGAATCTATATCCATGCGGGGCACCATCTCAAACTGCATGAGTCAGGTGGGCAGGCGTGCATATGGGCGAGTCAGGTGGGCAGGCGTGCGTATGGGCGGGTCAGGTGGACAGGCATGTGTATGGGCAGGTCAGGTGGCCAGGCGTGCGTATGGGCGAGTGAGGTGGGCAGGCAAGTGAGGTGGGCAGGCGTGCATGTGGGCGAGTCAGGTGGGCAGGCGTGGGTGTGGGCGAGTCTGGACAGGCGTGCATACGGGCGGGTCAGGTGGGCAGGCGTTTGTATGGGCGGGTCAGGTGGGCAGACGTGTGTATGGTCGGTTTAGGTGGACAGGCTTGAGTATGGGTGTGCGTATGGACGAGTCAGGTGGACAGGCGTGCGTATGGGAGAGTCAGGTGGACAGGCGTGCGTATGGGCGAGTCAGGTGGACAGGCGTGCGTATGGGCAAGTCAGGTGGACAGGATTGCGTATGGGAGAGTCAGGTGGACAGGCGTGCGTATGGGTGTGCGTATGGACGAGTCAGCTGGGCAGGCGTGCGTACAGGCGGGTCAGGTGGGCAGGCGTTTGTATGGGCGGGTCAGGTGGGCAGGCGTTCTTATGGTCGGGTCAGGTGGGCAGGCGTGCATATGGTCGGGTCAGGTGGACAGGCATGTGTATGGGTGTGCGTATGGACGAGTCAGGTGGACAGGCGTGCGTATGGGAGAGTCAGGTGGACAGGCGTGCGTATGGGAGAGTCAGGTGGACAGGCGTGCGTATGAGCGAGTCAGGTGGACAGGCATGCATATGGGAGAGTCAGGTGGACAGGCCTGCGTATGAGCAAGTCAGGTGGACAGGCGTGCCTATGGGTGTGCGTATGGGTGAGTCAGGTGGGCAGGCGTGCATATGGGTGGGTCAGGTGGGCAGGCGTGCGTACGGGCGGGCCAGGTGGGCAGGCATTTGTATGGGCCGGTCAGGTGGGCAGGCGTTCTTATGGTCGGGTCAGGTGGGCAGGTGTGTGTATGAGCGAGTCAGGTGGGCAGACATGCATACGGGCGGGTCAGGTGGACAGGCGTGTGTACGGGCGGGTCAGGTGGACAGTATTGGCGTGCGTACGGGCGGGTCAGATGGACAGGATCGCGTACGGGCGGGTCAGGTGGACAGTATTGGCGTGCATACGGGCAGGTCAGATGGACAGGATCGCGTACAGGCGGGTCAGGTGGACAGGCATGCGTACAGGCGGGTCAGGTGGACAGGCGTGCGTACAGGCGGGTCAGGTGGACAGGCGTGCGTACAGGCGGGTCAGGTGGGCAGGCATGTGTGTGGGAGAGTCAGGTGGACAGGATTGAGTACGGGCCGGTCAGGTGGACAGGATTGCGTACGGGCGGGTCAGGTGAGCAGGCGTGCGTACTGGCGGGTCAGGTGGACAGGATTGCGTACGGGCGGGTCAGGTGGACAGGATTGCGTACGGGCGGGTCAGGTGGGCAGGCGTGCCTATGGTCGGGTCAGGTGGGCAGGCATGCGTATGGGTGAGTCAGGTGGACAGGATTGCTTATGGGCGGGTCAGGTGGACAGGCGTGCGTATGGGCGAGTCAGGTGGGCAGGCGTGCGTACGAGCGGGTCAGGTGGACAGGCATGCGTATGGGCGGGTCAGGTGGGCAGGCGTGCGTACGAGCGAGTCAGGTGGACAGGCGTGCGTATGGGCGGGTCAGGTGGGCAGGCGTGCGTATGAGCGGGTCAGGTGGGCAGGCGTGCGTATGGGCGGGTCAGGTGGGCAGGCGTGCATATGGGTGGGTCAGGTGGACAGGTGTGCGTATGAGTGTGCGTATGGGCGAGTCAGGTGGGCAGACGTGCATATGAGTGTGCATATGGGTGATTCAGGTGGACACGCGTGGGTATGGGTGGCTCACGTGGACAGGCGTGCGTGTCAGCGTGTCACGTGGACAGGCGTGTGTGTGGGCGGGTCAGGTGGGCAGGCGTGTGTATGGGCGGGTCAGGTGGGCAGGCGTGCATATGGGCGGGTCAGGTGGGCAGGCATGCCTATGGGTGTGCGTATGGGCGAGTCAGGTGGGCAGGCGTGCCTATGGGTGAGTCAGGTGGGCAGGCGTGTGTATGGGTGTGCATATGGGCGAGTCAGGTGGACAGGCATGCGTATGGGCGGGTCAGGTGGACAGGCATGTGTATGGGCGGGTCAGGTGGACAGACGTGCGTATGGGTGAGTCAGGTGGGCAGACGTGCGTATGGGTGAGTCAGGTGGACAGGATTGCGTATGGGCGGATCAGGTGGACAGGCGTGCGTATGGGCGAGTCAGGTGGACAGGATTGCGTATGGTCGGGTCAGGTGGGCAGGCGTGTGTATGGGCAGGTCAGGTGGACAGGACTGAATATGGGGGGGTCAGGTGGGCAGGCGTGCGTATGGTCGGGTCATGTGGGCAGGCGTGCTTATGGGCAGGTCAGGTGGGCAGGTGTGCATGTGGGAGAGTCAGGTGGACAGGATTGAATATGGGCGGGTCAGGTGCGCAGACATGCGTATGGCCGGGTCACGTGGGCAGGCGTGCGTTTGGGCGGGTCAGGTGGGCAGGGGTGCATATGGGCGGGTCAGGTGGACAGGCGCACGTATGGGTGAGTAAGATGGACAGGCATGTGTGTGGGAGAGTCAGGTGAACAGGATTGCTTATGGGCTAGTCAGGTGGACAGGTGTGCGTATGGGTGTGCCTATGGGAGAGTCAGGTGGACAGGATTGCGTATAGCCGGATCAGGTGGGCAGGCATGCGTATGAGCGAGTCAGGTGGGCAGACATGCGTATGGGCGGGTCAGGTGGACAGGCGTGTGTATAGGCAGGTCAGGTGGACAGGCGTGCATATGGGTATGTGTATGGGCGGGTCAGGTGGGCAGGCGTGCATACGGGCGGGTCAGGTGGACAGGCGTGCATACGGGCGGGTCAGGTGGGCAGGCGTTTGTATGGGCGGGTCAGGTGGGCAGGAGTTCTTATGGTCGGGTCAGGTGGGCAGGCGTGCATATGGTCGGTTTAGGTGGACAGGCGTGTGTATGGGTGTGCGTATGGACGAGTCAGGTGGGCAGGCATCCTACAGGCGGGTCAGGTGGGCAGGCGTTTGTATGGGTGGGTCAGGTGGGCAGGTGTTCTTATGGTCGGGTCAGGTGGGCAGACGTGCATATGGTCGGGTCAGGTGGACAGGCATGTGTATGGGTGTGCGTATGGACGAGTCAGGTGGACAGGCGTGCGTATGGGAGAGTCAGGTGGACAGGCATGTGTATGGGCGAGTCAGGTGGACACGCGTGCGTATGGGCAAGTCAGGTGGGCAGGCATGCGTATGGGAGAGTCAGGTGGACAGCCCTGCGTATGAGCGAGTCAGGTGGACAGGATTGCGTATGGGCAAGTCAGGTGGACAGGCGTGCGTATGAGTGAGTCAGGTGGACAGGATTGCGTATGGGAGAGTCAGGTGGACAGCCCTGCGTATGAGCGAGTCAGGTGGACAGGATTGCTTATGGGCAAGTCAGGTGGACAGGCGTGCGTATGAGCGAGTCAGGTGGACAGGATTGCGTATGGGAGAGTCAGGTGGACAGGCGTGCATATGAGCGAGTCAGGTGGACAGGCATGCGTATGGGAGAGTCAGGTGGACAGGCATGCATATGAGCGAGTCAGGTGGACAGGCGTGCGTATGGGTGTGCATATGGGTGAGTCAGGTGGGCAGGCGTGCATACGGGCGGGTCAGGTGGGCAGGCGTTTGTGTGGGCCGGTCAGGTGGGCAGGTGTTCTTATGGTCGGGTCAGGTGGACAGGCATGTGTATGGGTGTGCGTATGGACGAGTCAGGTGGGCAGGCGTGCGTATGGGAGAGTTAGGTGGACAGGTGTGCGTATGGGTGAGTCAGGTGGACAGGCGTGCATATGGGTGTGCGTACGGGCGAGTCAGGTGGGCAGGCGTGCATATGGGTGTGTGTATGGGTGAGTCAGGTGGGCAGGCATGCGTATGAGCGAGTCAGGCGGGCAGGCGTGCGTATGGGTGAGTCAGGTGGGCAGGAGTGCATATGGGTGTGCGTATGGGTGAGTCAGGTGGGCAGGCATGCGTATGAGCGAGTCAGGTGGGCAGGCGTGCGTATGGGTGAGTCAGGTGGGCAGGAGTGCATATGGGTGTGCGTATGGGCGAGTCAGGTGGGCAGGCGTGCGTGTGGGCGAGTCAGGTGGGCAGGCATGCATACGGGCGGGTCAGGTGGGCAGGCTTTCTTATGGTCGGGTCAGGTGGGCAGGCATGCGTACGGGCAGGTCAGGTGGGCAGGCGTGCATACGGGCAGGTCAGGTGTGCAGGTGTTTGTATGGGCGGGTCAGGTGGGCAGGCGTTCGTATGGTCAGGTCAGGTGGGCAGGTGTTCCTATGGTCAGGTCAGGTGGACAGGCGTGCGTATGGGTGTGCATATGGGCGAGTCAGGTGGACAGGCGTGCGTATGGGTGTGTGTATGGGTGAGTCAGGTGGACAGGATTGCGTATGGATGAGTCAGGTGGACAGGCGTGTGTATGGGTGTGTGTATGGGTGAGTCAGGTGGGCAGGCGTGCGTATGGGCGAGTTAGGTGGACAGGCATGTGTATGGACGAGTCAGATGGGCAGGTGTGCGTATGGGTGTGCGTATGGGCGAGTCAGGTGGACAGGATTGCGTATGATCGGGTCAGGTGGGCAGGCATGTGTATGGGCAGGTCAGGTGGACAGGATTGAATATGGGGGGGTCAGGTGGGCAGGCGTGCGTATGGTCGGGTCATGTGGGCAGGCGTGCTTATGGGCGGGTCTGGTGGACAGGATTGCGTACGGGCGGGTCAGGTGGGCAGGCGTGCGTATGGGCGAGTCAGGTGGACAGGATTGCTTATGGGCGGGTCAGGTGGACAGGCGTGCGTATGGGCGGGTCAGGTGGGCAGGCGTGCGTACGAGTGAGTCAGGTGGACAGGCGTGCGTATGGGCGGGTCAGGTGGGCAGGCGTGCGTATGGGCGGGTCAGGTGGGCAGGCGTGCATATGGGTGGGTCAGGTGGACAGGATTGGGTATGGGTGAGTCAGGTGGACAGGCGTGCGTATGAGCGGGTCAGGTGAGCAGGCATGCGTATGGGCGGGTCAGGTGGGCAGGCGTGCATATGGGTGGGTCAGGTGGACAGGTGTGCGTATGAGTGTGCGTATGGGCGAGTCAGGTGGGCAGACGTGCATATGGGTGTGCATATGGGTGATTCAGGTGGACAGGCGTGCGTATGGGCGGCTCACGTGGACAGGCGTGCGTGTCAGCGTGTCACGTGGACAGGCGTGTGTGTGGGCGGGTCAGGTGGGCAGGCGTGTGTATGGGCGGGTCAGGTGGGCAGGCGTGCGTATGGGCGGGTCAGGTGGGCAGGCATGCCTATGGGTGTGCGTATGGGCGAGACAGGTGGGCAGGCGTGCCTATGGGTGAGTCAGGTGGGCAGGCGTGTGTATGGGTGTGCATATGGGCGAGTCAGGTGGACAGGCATGCGTATGGGTGGGTCAGGTGGACAGACGTGCGTATGGGTGAGTCAGGTGGGCAGACGTGCGTATGGGTGGGTCAGGTGGGCAGGCGTGCGTATGGGTGAGTCAGGTGGACAGGTGTGCGTATGGGTGAGTCAGGTGGACAGGCGTGCGTATGGCTGTGCGTTTGGGCGAGTCAGGTGGGCAGACGTGCGTATGGGCAGTCAGGTGGACAGGCGTGTGTATGGGTGAGTCAGGTGGACCACTGTGTGTACGGGCGAGTCAGGTGGACCGGCGTGCATATGGGCAGGTCAGGTGGGTAGGCGTGTGTATGGATGTGCATATGGGCGGGTCAGGTGGACAGGTGTGTATATGGGTGTACATGTGTGCACAGGTGCTACTTTACTCTGTGTTCAACACGTGTTCGTGGACGTGCTCCAGGCCCAAGGCGAAGGAATAGGATGTAGCAGGGGCAGGGTCTCCGCCCCATACTCAGAGTCCTTGGGCTCCGGGAAGACACAACCGATAAGTGGTTACGGGGATGCCTGGGAGCTACGGGCACACACAGACCCTCCTGGGCCCAGCATAAGGGCCAGGGAAGACTTCCTGGAGTCCAAGTGGAAGCTGCAGGGTGAGTAGGAGGAGGGAGGGTGGGTGTCAATGTTCTAGGAGTCAGGGGCGCACAGAGTCCAGAGCAGGCACTCCAAGCATGGGATGGCTACTCTGGGGATCGCTCGAGCCGCTTGAGCATAGAGCTTATGGAGATGAGGTGGGAGGAGTGAAACCAACTTTAAATTCCCACAGCTCTGCTGGGACTGCTGGGTCCGGCCATAAGACGGTGACAGATAGCAGACTTACCTTTCCCCCATAAACAACTAGAAAACTAGACAAATTATATGAAGCAACTGTTTTTAAGCATAGGTGCCATGGCAGGGCTGTGACCCTAGAGAAGGACACACATGAGGGAGTTCCAGCTTCACCCTGGCTCTCTGCCCGGAGGTGTTTGGGGCATTTTCTGAACACAGCACAGGGAAGTAGAGCTCAGAGAGTGGTGATGGCATGGGCCGGAGCAGGCAGAGACTGGAGTTCAGGACCACCGAGGGGACTGGAACTTGTGGGGTTCCAGAGAGGAGCGGGTTGAGCAGGGAAGGAGCTTCAGACGTTTGCAGAGGAGCTCTCTTGAGTCTTTGAGTGAATACTAAACTGCACGTGCACAGGATGAGACGGCAAAGTCTGGCAGAGGAGAGCTGCTGGGAGCTGGGAGCAGAAGGGGGTGCCAGAGGATGCACGGGCACAGAGACCTTGGAGTTCTGGGCAGCCAGAGTGAAGAGACCACACCGAATATGCCAGACATTCAGCCAAGACCTCAGAAAAACCACCCTTTTTTAAAAAAGTTAGATTTATTCAGGTATCATTTACATACAGTGAAATTCTCCATTTTTAGGTGTACAACTCTATGACACATGCATACAGTCATGTAATCACCACCACAATCAAGATAGAAAACATTTCTACTGCCCAATGTTCTCTGTGCCCTTTGGTCATCCTTTCCTCCCTCCACTCCAGCCCCTGGTAACCACTGCCCTGATCTCTGTCCTTTTGAAAAGCACATGCCTCAGGTGTACTACACTAACCCTGGGGTAACGGCTGCTCTAGACCTGTCCCAACGAGCCCACAAACAAGCCTTGAGGAGCAAAACATCTACCAATAATTTAACTCATTGCCAAAACAAAATTCACTAATCTTTGAAAGAAAACAACAAAATTCAGATTCCCAACAATGTTGTATCATAATGTCCAGCATCCAATCAAAAATTATTAGACATGTAATAAAGCAAGAAAATTTGAGTCGTAACTGGAGAAAAACTAGCCCATAAGAAACCCTGTTGAAGCCGGGCATGGTGGTTCACCCTTGTAATCCCAGCACTTTGGGAGACCGAGGTGGGTGGATCACCTGATGTTAGGAGTTCAAGAACAGCCTGGCCAACATGGTAATACCCCATCTCTACTAAAAATACAAAAATCACCCGGGCATGGTGGTGTGTGCCTATAATCCCAGCTACTCGGGAGGCTGAGGCACGAGAATCGTTTGAACCAGGGAGGCGGAGGTTGCAGTGAGCTGAGATTGCGCCACTGCACTCCAGCCTGGGTGACAGAGTGACTCTCCTTCTCAAAAAAAGAAGCCCTGTTGAATTCATGGGACAAAGACAAGGTGTCTTTTGTCATTGAGTATTTTCCACTGATAGATGGTATAGCTACCACGAAAAAATATTAACATTAAAAGGAGTCTTCAAAAGTAAAAGAGAACCACGGGTATAGGAGCCAGCCAGAACCCAAGTGCACATCTAGATGGCCAATAGGTGCACAGTGTGGGCAGGCCTGGAGTTAAACACTAGGACCCAAACATGTGCACAGCCATATCACTAAGGGGTTCAGCTGGGTGAAGACACAGACATATGAGCACAGCACAGAGGGTAGATGCCACAAGAGAGGCACAAATGTCCCAGGCATCAAAGAGTGACAGATCACTTCTGCCTAGAGGAACTGTAAAAGACTTCATGAAGGAAAAATTTTTTTGAGACAGTCTCACTCTGTCACTCAGGCTGGAGTGCAGTGGTGTGATCTTGGCTCACTGCAACCTCCACCTCCCGGGTTCAAGCAAGTCTCCTGCCTTAGCCTCCCAAGTAGTTGGGACTAAAGACACATGCCATCACACCTGACTAATTTTTGTATTTTTGGTAGAGACAGGGTTTTACCATGTTGGCCAGGCTGGTCTCAAACTCCTGACCTCAGATGATCTGCCCGCCTCAACCTCCCAAAGTGCTGGGATTACAGGCATGAGCCACTGTGCCTGGCCAGCAAATTTCTTTGCACTGGGCTTTTAAAGATGATTGAGAAACAAAATAATTTTAAAATCACCTCTAAAGTCATTTATTACCCAAATGTGATCGCTGTTGGTATTCTGGTAAATTCCTTCTCTCTGAATTATCTTATTTTTTCCCAAGTGGAGCTCCATCTCCTCAATTCTGTTTTGCATTTTTCAGTTAATGTTATTTCAAAAACCATTTTATGAAAATTCTTTGTAGCAGCTATTTTTAACAGCTGTGAAATATTAACTGTCTGTGACATAATCCAATTAACTGATTCTCTGTTGTTGGGCATTTAGGTTATTTTCAAGTTCTAACTAATCCTGCAATAAGCATCTTGTTCTCCCTTGTTCTGGTTACTCTCTTAAGTTAGATTCCCAGAAATGGGATAATTGTTTCCGAAGATATTTGGGAACATCTGGGAAGTTCCTGATCTGTATTGCCAAATGACTTTTCTAGAAGGTTGTACAAATTTACATTCCCGCTACACGTACTCTCTTATGTTGTAATACATGTTTACATGCCTTTTCCCCCACAAATTATGCCCTATCCACCTTCCTGTCCCCGGTGCCTGCACAGGCAGCTGCCCAGCAGCGTCCCTTGCATCACACATGCCCATACTTGCACCATACGTGACCGTACTTTCACAGAGGAGAAGGAATATCCAGGGTCAGGGGGAACATCCCTGACAGACACTCCTGGAACCAAGACGTGGACAAGTGTGGATGGACACTTGGGTCTCTGAACTCTTTCTAGAACACCTGGCATGGAGATGAGATGGCCATCAGAGACCTGTCAGTTCTGTTTTCTCGCTTGGCGGCAGGGAAGCTGAGATCTAGGTGGGGCAAGTGGGTTCCACACGGCACAGTTCGTCCATGTCAGTGCAGTGGCTGCTTCTCGGGGTACGGCCAAGCCGGGGTCTTGCAGCCTCAGCTCCCAGCAGGACCCGCCCAGCCAGGGTCCTCAACCCTAGGCTGACATCTTGGCCTCACTGGCGTCACAGCTCAGCCCTCACCCTGCGACTCTGTGCACGTGGGGAGTGGGGAGATAAGAGCTAGAGGCAGACCTCCTAAGAGGAAGGAAAACGATGTGGACTTGGGGGAGGAAGGATCTGCCTTCCCTTTCTTCAGCGAGAGCTTCCTCTTCTCATAATACAGGGAGGACCTCAAGATGGCTGTCTCCCCCTTTAGAGATGCTGTGTCCCAGCAAAGGGGCACCTAGAACAGGAATTCTCAACCTCCCAGGACAACGGGTGGCCGCTGAGAACCCGGGAGACCTGGGGCAAGCGTCTCAGGCTTTCCTCAGCTGCTCCACCTGGAAACCGGGACGGGCAGGACCGCCTCTCGAGGCTGCTGTGAGCGTCCAGTTAGACCACGTGGGTGGGCGAGGGGCTTGTGCCTTGCCCCAAGGGGAAGCTCAACACACACCTTTATATAGGACACATTCAAGGAGGCCAAGTTCACCAGGCCACACTGCGGGGCCTATTTTTTGGGGGGGCGGGGGTGTTGGGGGACAGGGTCTCACTCTGTCACTCAAGCTGGAGTGCAGCGGTGCAATCATAGCTCACTACAGCCCCAACCTCCTGGGCTCAAGCAATCCTCCCACCTCCTGAGTAGCTGGGACTGCAGGCATGCCCCACCATGCTTGGCTAATTTTTTAATTTTTTGTAGAGACAGGCTGTCATCGCTATGTTGCCAGGCTGGTCTCAAACTCCTGGCCTCGAGTGGTCCTCCAACCTTGGCCTCCTTAAATCCTGGGATTCCAGGGATGAGCCAGCCCACCCAGCTGGAAGACTGCTGCCTTGATGGGCCCCAGTGAATCCCCTGCTATTGATGATCTTCTGTAGTTCCCTCCCACACCAGATCTGGACAGGCCTTGAGACCCATTTGGCGGATAGAATGTGGGGGAGGCCTGGCAGCTTCCTGGTCTCTGGGAAGCTGCCACGCTGTGGAGAGCTCAGGCCATCCTACTGGAGGGAAAAGCCATGCACGCAGCTGCAAGAGTGACCTTCCTCAATACCACATGCAGCAGCAGAACCACCCCAGTGACACGCACACTCGTGAGGAGGAATCAATCACCGTCATCTTAAGCCACTAAGTTTTTTTTTTTTTGAGACAGAGTCTCGCTCTGTCACCCAGGCTGGAGTGCAGTGGCGCGATCTCGGCTCACTGCAACCTCCGCCTCCTGGGTTCAAACCATTCTTCTGCCTCAGCCTCCCAGGTAGCTGGGATTACAGGCACCCACCACCACAAGCCTGGCTAATTTTTGTATTTTTGGTAGAGATGGAGTTTCACCATGTTGGCCAGGCTAGTCTCGAACTCCTGACCTCAGGCCATCCACCCGCCTCAGCTTCCCAAAGTGCTGGGATTATAGGCGTGAGCCACTGCACCCGGCTAAGCCACTAAGTTTTGAGGTGGGCTGTTACTTAGTAATGGATACCTGAACCCGGCTGGGTGCGGTGGCTCACACCTGTAATCCCAGCACTTTGGGAGGCCAAGGCAGGTGGATCATGAGGTCAGAAGATCAAGACCATCCTGGCTAACCCCGTCTCTACTAAAAAGACAGAAAATTAGCTGGGCGTGGTGGCGGACGCCTGTAGTCCCAGCTACTTGTGAGGCTGAGGCAGGAAAATGGTGTGAACCCAGGAGGCAGAGCTTGTAGTGAGCCGAGATCGTGCCACTGCAGTCCAGCCTGGGGACAGAGCGAGACTCTGTCTCAAAAAAAAAAAAAAAAAATAGATACCTGAACCTCCCTCCTCCCCAACCTCCCTCCTCCCCATCCCAGCTTTATCCTCTGGGGCTTCTCCTGTGGTGTGCAGGTAAATGTTTAACAAGCAGCTCTCGCAGGGGATTGAGGGGAGCTCATGTGAAGTGTTCGTCAACATCTGTGGTGTAAATATTCTCATCATGGCTGATTTCAAGCTACCAACATGACATGGCTGAACACGAGATTGAGAAGAAATGTGCACCATCTGTCCAGGAGCGGGCGAGCTGGATCCAGCACACCTGGATTCTCCTCCCCTGACACGTGACAACCCTGCAGAGACTTGAGATCAGCCGCTCAGATTAGGTGATCAGAAGCATTTTGTCACGGAGACACGGAGTTCTGGGCCGGCTCTTATCTTCAGGGCATCTGGTAGGGTGGAAAGCACTTCAAGTCATGCGCCAAGCCCACGTCCTATTCCCTGGGCCCATTCCCTTCCGTTGAAGTGCTGGAGGCAGAGCTCGCAGCTGAAGACCTACAGGCGGCTCTCCCTCGTGTCTGGGCATGAGCGGTCTGTGGAGGCAGCAGCCAGGCTGTGTCCAGGTAGCCCTGACGGCCACTGCACAAGAGCAGTGTCGGGTAGAGTCCGAGCACCCATCAGCTCAGCCCCAGGCTCCATCAGAGGCGGTGGAACGGGCCCTGAGGATGCCTCAGTCCTGGGCCTTAGTGGGAGGCCTTCCAGGTGAAGCCCTGGGGACCAGGTAGCCCTGCTCAGCAAGCAGCCCTGGACCCTACCTCAGCAGCCCCGGACCCCACCTCGGCCGCCGCAGGAAGCCAAGGGGATGAGGGACCAACTCGGGAAATGGTGGGTGAGGCTGGTGGCTCCTGGAAACGCCGGTCACCAGGGCGGCAGCACCGGTCCTCACCCCTCCCTGCCAGGACTTCAGCAGCTCTCAGCCCCTAAGCATGATAGTTTCTTGGGTCAACCAAATAGTCATCTAGGGGTTACTGTGAAGGTGTTCTGTAAGTATGTCACATCTGCAGTCAGCTGACTGGAGTGAAAGGCCATTACTCTCAATCATGTGGCGGGGGTAGGGGTGGGAAGCCTTGTGCAACCAGTGAAATGCCTTGAGAGCAGAGCTGGGGTTTCCCTGAGGACAGAGAGATTTTACCTGTGGACTATAGCATCGCCTACTGCCCGAGAGGCCCAGGTGCCGCCTGCCCTATGGATTTCCACCTTGCTCAGCCAGCCCCCACCTTGTCTGAGCCAATTTTTCACAATAAATCTCTCCCTCCCTCCCTTCCTTTCTCTGTCTCATCCCCTCCATGTATATGTAATATCTCTTATGTGTCTCATAGAGAGATTTATTGCAAGGAATTGGCTATACAACACACGTACATGCATATCCACGTGTAAACATGTGCACACACACATACACACACACCACACACACCACACCCCTATCCTGCAGGTTCCTTTCTCTGCTGGGACCCTGCTTGCTTCACCAGGGGTGCTGAGCCCCTGTGTCACCAGTGGAGGTCTCAGCAGCACAAGTCCCCAGGCACAGCCCCTCAGCGCCCTGCCCTCAGCCGTGGCTCCAGGGGTGAAGTAGGACCTCAGGGTGTAAAGGCCAGTGCCACGGTTCTTATGGGGTGTGCTGCGGGAACCCTTATCTTCATGATCATGTGAACTGTGCCCCCAGTCCTTTCTGTTTCCTTGAGGGAGGCCTTGGCTTCTGGAGCCCAGAGTCAGAAAGTGCCCGGACCTCCTGTGCAGGCTGCCCCACCTGGCTCTCCCTGGCTGTGGGTCCAGGACCTCCATCCTGAGTTGGGGCAGGGAGGCTTGAGACTTGGGGAGGAGAGGGGAGATGCTGGGAGCTGGAAGAGCGTGTGCCCCCAAAACCAGCTCCTGGGGCCTGTGGGCTGTGGCCCGGGAGGAAGGGCAGAAGGCTCGGGAAGGCTGGAGTGGTCCTGCAGCAGAGTTATGGGGACACCAACTGGCTGGTTTTGGGGCAGATAGATGGGACATAGGGGTGAAGTGGCAGCAAGGGGTACCTCTTTCCATCCTAACATCTCGGCGGATGCTGAGAGGGTGTGGCTTTGAATTTCAAGAGCCCTGATGGTGAGACCCCAGCAAAGGTCTCATTGGGATCGGGGTTCTAAGGCTTAGACACTCGGGCTTCTACAGACTTTGTGACCTTGGTTGCCTGGTCCCAGGGTCCCCCACCGTGAAAGGGAGGACTCTTCCAGGCCCGGCTCTGTCCCTGGGTATCGAGACACAGGGTCTGGGTGAGGACCTCAGAGCCAGGCACTCAGTGTAGTCACAGTGTGGGGCTGCTGCTGCTGTTGCTCTATTCTTAAACGTATATTTTATTGTAGTTCTGTTCCCAGGCTGCTGTTGGGCAGTGAACAAACGGCACTGGATTCAGAGTCGGACAAACCTGGGTTCAAGTCCAATCTGCCTCTCAAGCTGTGTAGCCTTTAGCAAGTCACTTCTTCCCCTTGGGCCTCAGTTTCCTCATTTGCCATCTCACCCTTCACAGCACTGATGTTTGGATTAATGCGATGAGGCAGGTGAAAGCACTGTAAATGCCACCCAGGCACGGAGCTTTCATGGGACAGTTGAAACGCAGGTGAAATGAAAGTCAGTGTCCTGTTGTCCTCCGACTTTACATTATTAAAGAGAATTGGGCTGGATGCAGTGGCTCACAGCTATAATCCTAGCACTTTGGGAGGCCGAGGTGGGCAGATCACTTGAGGTCAGGAGTTCGAGACCAGTCTGGCCAATGTGGTGAAACCCTGTCTCTACTACAAATAAAAAATTAGTCGGACGTGATGGTGCATGGCTGTAATCTCAGCTATTCAGAGGCTGAGGCAGGAGAATCCCTTGAACCCGGGAGGCGGAGGTTGCAGTGAGCTGAGAATGAGCCACTGCACTCTAGACTGGGTGACAGAGCGAGACTCCGTCTCGAAAAAAACAAAAAAAAAAAAAGAGAATTGGTATGTGGGTGCACGCACGTGCGCTTGAGTGCACGCATAAACATGACAGGGGTGTCATGGGAACACATATGGGCTGGCTTTGACGTTTGCCATTAAAAACATGATCCCGATGAACAACCCAACAAAAACAAATTGGCAAAAGAATCCATCAGACACTTCACAGAGGAAGATACTGCATACAGAAGGCCAAAACAGCATGCGAAAATCATCGCACTTCATTAGTCATCAGGCAAATACAAATGAAACCCACAATCATAAGCCACTTCGGCCCCCCTAGGACAGTGAAAATGACACCCTGGTGCAGCAACGTCATGTGCTGGGGAGGAGTGGGGCAGCCGAGGCTCTTGCACGCCGCCATCGGGAGTGCAAGATGGTGGAGCTGCTGTGAAACAACACTGTGGTGGCTTCTTCTAAAATTAAGAATGGCCCAGCAATTCCGCGCCTACGTTTTACCCAAGAGAAATGAAAGCACATGTCCACACAAAAACTTGAATGTGAATCTTCATGGCAGCTTTATTCCTAAACATCAAAAACTGGAAGCAACCCAAGTGTGCACAAACAGATGAATGGATAAACAAACGCAGCATCAGGCAGGTAACAATGAGGGTGGCTCATGGGCCCATGGGAGTGTTAGAGGAGCCCCTGCTTACCAGGCCCCTGGTTTAACAAAACAGCCCTAGAGTGAATGCACTGGGCGCAGTGGGTGACGCCTGTAACCCCAGCACATTGGGAGGCCAAGGCAGGAGGATTGCTTGAGCCCAGGAGTTTGAGACCAGCCCTGACAACATAGTGAGACCCCATCTCTATGCACACACAAAAATTAGCCGGGCATGGTGGCATGCACCTGTAGTCCCAGCTACTTGAGAGGCTGAGGTGGGAGGATCGCTTGAGCCTGGACGTTGTATGCCACTGCAATCAAGCCTGGGTGACAGAGCAAGACCCTGATTAAAAGAAAACCCAAAAAACAAAAAAACAACTGTGGTACATCCCTACAGTACTATTCAGCAAAACCACATAAACATAAAACAAGAAAGACAGAATTACTGGTACATCCATCAACATGGATTCATCTCAAAAACATGATGCTGGGCAACGCCGCCCCCCCCCCCCCCAGAAAAAGAATAAACAGACACAGAAGAGTACAAATTGTATAATTCCATTTCTATGAGCTTCTATAATGACAAAAGAGCAGATTTGTGGTTGTCAGTAATTCCAGGGGAGAATTCACTGCAAAGGGGCACAAGAAACAGGATGAAAATGTTCTGGGCCACGTCGGGCGCAGTGGCTCACGCCTGTAATCCCAGCACTTTGGGAGGCCGAGCGGGTGGATCACAAGGTCAGGAGATCGAATCAATCCTGGCTAACACGGTGAAACCCCGTCTCTACTAAAAATACAAAAACAAAATTAGTCAGGCATGGTGGTGGGCGCCTGTAGTCCCAGCTACTCGGGAGGCTGAGGCAGGAGAATGGCGTGAACCCAGGAGGCGGAGCTTGCAGTGAGCCGAGATTGCACTACTGCACTCCAGCCTGGGCGACAGAGCAAGACCCCGTCTCAAAAAAAAAAAAAGAAAAAGGAAAGTGTTCTGGGCCATGAATATGGTGGCAGTGTCACAGGTGTGGACAGCTGTCAACACTCATTGAATTGTCCACTCTAATTGAATGTAGCCTCTTGAGCATAAGTTGTATCTTCGTAAAGCTGGTTTTCTAAGCATGATAGCTGAAAGGATGGTGCCAGCCTCCACTCCCTTTCCCAGTGGGAACCATAGCCTTTCCCAAGATGTGCTTATGGTTTCCCAGGGGGGTGCTCCTGTTGCCGGAAAAGAGATTCCCGATCCAGACCCCACGAGAGGATTCTTGGATCTTGCATAGGAAAGAATTCAAGGCAAATCACAGAGCACAGTGAAAGAAGCGAGTTTACTGGAAACGACTCTGTTACAGAGTGGGGCATCCTCGGGAAGAAGGAGGAGGAGTGCACTGTCCTGTGTTGGTGTCGCTGCTTATAAGAAACTCTAAGGAGGCCGGGCGCGGTGGTTCACGCCTGTAATCCCAACACTTTGGGAGGCTGAGGCGGGCGGATCACCTGAGGTCAGGAGTTGAAGACCAGCCTGACCAACACGGTGAAACCCCCTCTCTACTAAAAAAAAAAAAAAAAAAAAAAAAAAATTAGCCGGGCATTGTGGCGCGTGCCTGTAATCCCAGCTACTCGTGAGGCTGAGGCGGGAGAATCACCTGAACCCAGGAGGTGGAGGTTGTGGTGAGCCAAGATTGCACCACTGCACTCCAGCCTGGGCGACAAGAGTGAAAATCTGTCTCAAAAAGAAAAAGAAACTCTAAGGAGTGGTAATGAAACTTGGAATGTGCAGATGTGCTCACTAGAGGCGGGGCTATTGGTGTTATTGATGACCATTAATCCTTCAACCTAAGCTTGCTCATCGATGTTATCTTGAAGGAAAGAGGGCTGTATTCTCCAGACATGTGGGCATTCTGCAGGCGTGGTGGCAGATGATATTTTTGTTGTTTTAATTGGTGGTCGGCTTAGAATGTGGCTATTTTCAGACCTTGAATATTCTTGTGAGTGCCTAGCTACTCACTTCAAGATGGAGTCACTCTAGTCATGTTTTATTAAACCAGGGGCCTGGTAAGCAGGGGTTCCTCTAACACCCCCATGAGCCCATGAGCCACCCTCATTGTCACCTACCTGATGCTGCCTTTGGGGAAGGCCACAGAGAAGCCTCCAAGCCCAATGAGGGAGTCCGCTGCGGATTTCAGACCTGGCCGTATCCAGGGGCTCAGGCGAGCCATTAGGTCACTGTCTCTGCTTCTCCCGTGGTTTTGGCTTCAATCTCTCCTGCTGCTGAGAGACTCTGGCCATGTCTGCTAGACCTACAGCCCTGGCAGGCCCAGGGACATCTTGCAGCCAGGGAAGGAAGAGGCTGTGACTCCTGCCAGCCCTAGCAGCAGTCCTGGGAGAGTCCCTGTGGGTCTGGCTATATCCCATGCCCACCCTTCAGCCACACTGTGTCCTGAGGAATGCAGAATTAGGACTGACCCACTTGGGCCACTGGTGGGAGATAGGAGTGGTCAGAGCTCAGTCCCATTTTTCCCATGAGGCCTTTCAGCCCTCAGATGAATTCGTGGATAGAAACAGATACGTGAGCGGAAGAGCTCCATGCAACTTCCCTGCAGCCTCCAAACCCCGAGGACCCGTGGGGAAGGGAGGAGAGCTCCAGACGCTTCCCAGCCAAGAGAGCCAGCCTCGTGTGTGGGTCTGTGTATAACGTCTTCTCAGGTCTCTGTGGATATGAAGGGCTGTGTACACAAATACACGGGAGGAGGCCCCTGTCGTAGGCAGAATTCCAAGATAATCTCATGATCTTGGACCCTGTGTAAGCCCCTCCACTTGAGCATGGGTGGGACTTGTGCCTTGCTTCTAGCCAACAAGATATGCCACAGGGATGTCACTCGGTGGCCACACTGCTTAGCTGGAGCGCGTCTCCTGTGGCCTGGAAGAAGTGAGCTGAGGTTGCACTGCCCACGGAGAGGGCCATGTGGCAGACCTAGGGGTGGCCTCCAGCCCACAGCCACAGGGAAAGGACAGGTTCCTCCCAGGGGAGCTTCCAGATGAGAACACAGGCAGCGAATGGATCCACAGCCGGCTATGAGGCTTCCAGCAGCAGGCTCTAGGCCAGGCCCAGGCTCCTGCCCCGCAGAAGCTGTGAGATCAGAAATGGGTGTTGTTTTAAGCCACAGAGTTTATGACTATTTGTTACACAGCACAGAAAACCAGTGTACCTCCATTTTTCCTTGTGGAATAGCTGCCATAGGCCCAAACTGGCCCCCAACCCCAGTGTGGTGCCTGCTCAGCCCCTCGCCATGGTCCACTTCAGAAGTAGTGTCCTACAATGCAAAGGGATTGCCTCGGTTCTCTAGCTAAAGCCCACGAGTGCCTCCTCTTGGTTCTCTGAATAAAATGCAAACTCTTTAGCAAGGCCATAGGAATGGGCCTTTGCCCTACTCGCTGTCTGTGTAGGGCTGGGGTGGGAGAGGTCAACTCCCCCCAGGCCCCTCATGCTCCAGGCCCTCCTGATCCATGCATTTTTCCTCTGGATCTCTGTTCCCTCCTCCCCTCCAACACACATGCAAACACACGCCTTCTCCCCTCCCTTTCCCCTCCCTCTTTAATGCTCAGCTCAAGTGTGGCCGGGAGGCAGGGTTCCGGCCCTAGGGGCTGGATGAGGTGTCCGTCTGCCTCAGGCTCCCCTCGCCATGCAGTTCCTCTGGCCTGGCCCCATTGCCTGGTCACATGACTGCCCACCCTCGGATGGTATACTGGGGGTGGCAGCGAAACCTCAGCGTCTCCCAGGACCAGCTCGGCCCGGGGCCCTCAGTGAGGGTCTGTTGAAATCGTGAAAAGCGTAGGGGGTAGGGGTCATTTCACCCTTTCCTGTCCTCTGAATGAGGAGCGGGCGTGAAACATACGCAGGGCAGTCTGGGGAACAGATGCTCCCCAGCCCCCTGGTCTGGACCACCCGGGCACCTGGAACCCAGCTGCCATTTGCTGGAACCCAGGGAGGTGGGTTGACGCCCACGTGGGCTGTTTTATCTGTGCTTTCCACCCCCTTGCCAGCATACTGACAACACCCTGTCATTCGAGAGAGGGAACCAAGGCTGGGGCCTGCCCCCACACACACACTGGCTGCTGAGACAATCGGCCTGGGTGTGTCCCTCTGCAGGGGAAGTGGTGGCTCGGCCCACCCTGAGGGCCAGGGAGGGATTTTCCCCAGGGCGGGAGCTTCTTGCTCCCTGGATACTAGACAAAGCCCTCAGTGAGCCCCCGTGAAACAAGGGGCGTCCGGCAGTCCCTTTCCACCTGTCTCCACCCAGAGGAAAACGCAGGGACTGAGACACCCTCATCCCCTCCCTTCCTGCCCCGCCGCTGGAGCTTTGTAAGCTGGAGCCAGGAAGCCGGAGTGTGGGGAACTTGAAAGGTCTGTAGCCCCTGCTGTGACACCGCTGAGCAGGAAACCGCGTGCGTCCACAAGCAGCCCCAAGGCCTTGTTGTAGGACAGTGGACAGTTTGCTCTCCCGGCTGAGGCTGCCCACCCCAGGGTTCCTGCAGTGCCTCACCTGCCCCCGGAGACGCCGGCCCCTGTCCCTGCCAAGCTTTCCAGGGTCCCCCCATGCTGGGGTGACAGAGGCAGTCCCCCAAGAATGAGGTACCCCAGCTGTCCCGTCCTCCTATAGGCATAAAACAACCCCCACCCCCGCCACACACACACACACAAGCTGTTTCTGCTTTTGGCCCAGTCAAGCCAAAAACTCCCCTGCTCTGGGTGGGGATTGTTGACTGACTGTAAGTGCCACGTTTGTGGAGCATAATCTCTAATTCTTGAAACAACTCAGCCTGGAGCGTTTTATTATTATTATTCCCATTTTATCTTTTTTTTTCCATTTCTCCTAGCCTTGTAATTATTACTCCCATTTTATAGTTGAGGAAACTGAGGCTTCACAATGTTGCGTGGCTCCTGGAGAGCTCATAAAGCCAATGAGCTAGGGCTGCAAGTGTGGGCTGGGCAATGACTCCCAGGACGCAAAAAGCCAGGCACAGTGGAATAGGTTGCCACGGAATACACTCGTGAACAGAAAACATTCCAAACCCAAACCAGAGAGAGTGCGTGTGCATGTGTGTGTACTTTACACACCCAAGAAAGCCCAGCCCTGATTGCCTGCCTTAGGAGGTAGGAGGATGCGAGAGACTGAGTGTCCATGTCCCCCTAGACGCATATGTTGAAACCTTCATCCCAGCGTTATGGTATTAGGAGGTGGGGCCTTTGGGAGGTAAATAGGTTGTGCCGGGGGAGCCCTCATGATGGAATCAGTGCCCTTACCAGAGGCCAGAGGGCTGGTGCCTCCCTGCTGTCACGTGAGGACATGATGAGAAGGCAGCCATCTGCAAGCCGGAAGACGTCCCCTGCCTGAATCCGAACATGCTGGCTCCTGATCCTGGATTTCCAGCCTCCGGAACTGTGAGAAATCAATGTCAGTTGTTGAGAAGCACCCAGTTTATGGTGTTTTGAGACAGCTGACTGGACTAAGGCAGAACGAAAGAGGGGAAGACTCACTTGTTTCTTCACAGGATTAAACAGGTGAGCAGGTGGATGGAAAGAAGGGGGAGGAGGGAAAAGGGGGAAGGGGAGACGGACAGGTCAAAGGAGAGGAGAAAAATGGACTTTCTTTTTACATAATTTTCTGTATTTCTGCTTTCTGTAATAAGGTTGAGCTGCTTTTGCAATAATAGTATTACAATTTATGTAAAGCACTACATAAAAATATTAAACAAATCTTCCACTGTGCTCGTCACAAAAGCATTAGTTAAAGATCTAACTAGGGAGGCCAGGTGCAGCGGCTCACGCCTGTAATCCCAGCACTTTGGGAGGCCAAGGTGTGCGGATCACCAGAGGTCAGGAGTTTGAGACCAGCTGGCCAACATGGTGAAACCCCACCTCTACTAAAAATACAAAAACTACCCAGGCATGGTGGCGCGTACCTGTAATCCCAGCTGCTCAGGAGGCTGAGGCAGGAGAATCGCTTGAATATGAGAGGCAGAGGTTGCAGTGAGCTGAGATGGTGCCATTGTACTCCAGCCTGGGTGACAGTGAGACTCCGTCTCAAAAAAAAAGATCTAAATAGGGGATTCCCTCCTCCCCCCACCACAGTCCACCAACACACGACGATGCAGGCCACACACTCACTGGGAGGGCAAGGCTTGGGGCAGGGGCGGCAGGGACAGTGGGCAGAGAGGTCTTTACCTGGGCCAGCTGTGTGAGCAAGACTTGGGCAAGCCCTTTAGCCCCACCCCCCACACTCAACCCCCTCTGTAAAATAGGCTGAGAATACCTACAAGTCTGTGTGAAAATTAAATGAGAGACTGGGTACGTGTGTATGCAACAGCGTCTGGCACACCGTGTTTGATAAATAGCGGCTAACATGATTAACTGTGTGTTCACATTATGTGAATATTCTTAATATTGCTCCTGGTCCTAATACTAAGAATGAGAAATTAGGAGCATTTTGTTAATCAAGCCCCAAGCTTTGTTAGCCTTCACAAGCAAATTGATCCTTTACACAGTTTTTTAAGCCCCAAATTTCCAAGTATTGTTTATCGTCTTGCTGCCCCTCCCTGCCAGCTCTTGTTTTTGGTTTTTTTTTGAGACGGAGTCTCGCTCTATCGCCCAGGGTGGAGTGCAGTGGCACGATATTGGCTCACTGAAGCCTCCACCTCCCAGGTTCAAGCGATTCTCGTGCCTCGGCTAGGATTATAGGTGCCCGCCACCATGCCAAGCTAATTTTTGTATTTTTAGTAGAGACGGGGTTTCACCATGTTGGCCAGGCTGGTCTCAAACTCCTGACCTCAAGTGATCTGCCTGCCTCGGCCTCCCAAAGTGCTGGGATTACAGCCGTGAGCCACCAAGCCCAGCTCCCCCACTCTTGTATTTTAATGAGCAGTTAGCAGGTGTTCCACCCGAGGGGGCCTCACCCAGGTGCCAGAGGGAGCACAAGGCCTAGGTTTGTGCAGGCACCGGCTGCAGACTGGCCACAGGGCTCTCCCATCCTAGGCCCCTCTGGGACATGCTGGGCACCCCCCGAAGGTTAGCCTGCCATGAATGGCCCAGTGAGCTGGGTTTTGGAGTTCATTTTTAAGGAGCTGTTTATACTCGGTGAGACAGGAGCAGCCTGACATGCGCCCAGAACCTCCTGCCCTTGGCCCCACACCGCCCTCCCCACTCTCTCTGCCCTCTCCACACTGTGCTGGTCCCGCTGCCCACTCCTCAGAGACTCACCCCCGGCTGCCTTTTGGTGTCTGGCCAGGTGCATTAGAGGTCCACCCTTCAGGATGCACCCCTCTACCCACTACGCCATGTGCTGACCCCAAAATCCTGGGGTGCAGAGCCAGAGAGTGGTGAAGACACGCTGGCAGCCCAGATGTGTGCAGCCCCAGAGCTCTTCCCGTCCCCCCGCATGCGCGTGGATAGCATGGCTGGGACAGATGCTGGCCTCCAGCCCCACGGTGTGAGGCTCTCTCAGAATACCTGGGTCCTGGGGAGGCCTCAGCCACCATTGCCTGTGGGACTGGCCAAGCCGCTCAGCCTCTCTTAAGCCTGCACTCACCTACAGATAATGATCCCTGCCGGGTGATCATGAGGGGATGGCAAAAGAGAAAGTGCCTGGTAAATGTGTGTGTAAAAGACTGGTATAGCAGCCCAGTGTGTGCCAGGCTCCTAACCCAGGCAGCCTTAGACAGGGGAGGCCAGGCTCTGAGAGCAGATGAAACTAGGGTTCAGAGATTCCACCTGGGAGCAGGGTCAAGCTGCCCTCTGGTGCCCCATGTTCGCTGCCGGGTCAGAGACACGCCACCTTCCCCCTCGAAAGCGCTTCCTCCCGCAGGGCAAATGCTTCCGCAGCCCCAGTGGTCATGCTACCCTGCAGCCACTGTAGCCCCTCAGGCCTCCTCCTTTTTACTTTTTTAAAAAATTGTATGATTTTTAAATTTTTTGTAGAGACAGGGTCTTGTTATATTGTCCAGACTACTCTTGAACTCCTGGGCTCAATTGATCCTTCAGCCTTGGCCTCCCAAAGTGCTGGGATTACAAGCGTTAAGTCACCACGCCCAGCCCAGGACTCCTCCTGAGCCAAGAGGCTGGGGCCTCCAGGTACCAGTAGGGCCGGAGGCCTCAGGAAGCCCCTGGTAAAGGAGCTCCCAGAGCAAACAAGGTGACCAGCGTGCAGCACACAGGCGGGGAGTGGGGCTGTGGGGTAGCCCCTGGGGAGGCTGCACAGAGGAGCTGTTTCCCGCTGCCCCTTCCCAATGCCAGAGCCCATCAGGGCCGACACTGCTGCTGCCTGTGGGCAGGACAAGGTGAGGGGCACTTCCTGAGGAAGAGGGGCTTAGAGGCCCTCTCCCCGAACCCTGGGCCAGCCTCTGGGGCTGCCATCTCACAGACCCTTGATGTGGGGGCATGGGCTTCAGCGTGACTCCCTGGCAGGTGCCACGTGCTCAATGAGCTGATCTAGGTGCTGAAAGGGAGATAGCAAGGCGGGCCTGAGCCCTAGCTTGAGGACTTCTGGGGCATGGCTTGGGGCAGATAACACAGGCAACTTTGGCAAAAGTAAAGAGAGACTTCCTGGACATGGGGGCTGTTGCTCTGTACTAGAATGGGCTGCCAGGTGATGTGTTCCAGTCGGGTGGCACTGATTCTCAAGGAGAATCGCTTGAACCCAGGAGGTGGAGGCTGCAGTGAGCTGAGATTGCACCATTGCACTCTAGTCTGGGTGACAGAGTGAGACTGTCTCAAAAAACAAACAGGCCAGACTCGGCGGCTCATGCCTGTAATCCCAGCACTTTGGGAGGCTGAGGTGGGCGGATCACCTGAGGTTGGAAGTTCAAGACCAGCCTGACCAACAGGGTGAAACCCCGTCTCTACTAAAAATACAAAATTAGCTGGGCATGGTGGCACATGCCTGTAATCCCAGCTACTCGGGAGGCTGAGGCAGGAGAATCGCTTGAACCCGGGAGGCGGAGATTGTGGTGAGCCAAGATTGCGCCATTGCACTCCAGCCTGGGCAACAAAAGCAAAACTCCATCTCAAAAACAAACAAACAAAAATTGCAAAAATAGTACACAGTACCACGTACCCTCCACGCAGTTCCCCCTAATGTTAACGTCTCGCGTACGTAACCGTGGTGCATTTGTCAAAACTATGAGATTAACATTGATTCAATACTATCACCAACTGCAGACTTTCGGTGGATTTCACCAGTTTTCCACTAATGCACTTTTACTATTTCCGGATCCAGTCCAGGGCGACCGGGGTGCATTTAGCCATCGTGCCTCCTCCGATGTGAGATGGTTTCTCAGTTCTTTCTCGGTTTTCATGACCTTGGCCCTTTTGAAAAGCAGTGACGAGGCATTTTGTGGGTGTTCCTCCATTTGGGTTTGTCAGATGTTTTTTTCATGATTAAACTGGAGTTCTGCATTTTTGGAAAGAATAACATGGCGATGAAGGGCCCTTCCCATCATGTCATATCAGGAGTAGGTAATTTCAACACAATTTATCACTGGTGATATTAACCTTGTTTCTTGATTGAAATGATGACTGCAAGGTTTCTCCACGGCAAAGCTGCTATCTCCCTTTCCATACTTTATTTGTTAGAAATGTGTCACTAAGTCCAGCCCACACTCAAGGGGAGGAAAATTAAGCTCCATTTCGTGGAGGGGAGTTCTCTCCATATATTATTTGCAATTCTTCTGTACAGAACTGTACCTTTGCTTCCATTTGCTTATTTACAATGCATTTTCGTTATCTCCTGTCCCCTCCCTCTAAGCTGAGTGGCTAGGTGAGCCCCTCCCCTGGGGCATGTGCTAAGGGAGAGCTCCATCCCTGTGCTTTCTCCTTGCATTTCGTGAACTATACCATAATCATTACTTTCCTTGTGAGCTTCCTTACCAAGGGACAGTTTTTAAAAAGTCATTTATTTAGTAGTCATCGGCAGGCACCTTTGTCAAGTATTTTTCTGAGCATGATCTCATTTTACTCCCATGATGTCCTGTGGTTATAGTTTCCATCCCCATTTTACAGATGAGAAAACAGGCTCAGAGAGGTTAAGCTACTGGCCCAAGGTCACACAGGAACTGTGTCACACCCCTCTCTCCCCAGTGCCCAGCCCAGTGGCTGGCAGCATATCCGGCTCCAACAGGAACTTGCTTACTGAAGAGCAGCCCACACGTGAATGGGCATAAAAAAGCAAAACAGCAAACTCCCAGGTGGTTGTCCATCACTGCCTCTGGGAGTTGAGCCTATAGTCAGGGAGTTCAGTGAGTTCAGTCCAGGGTCTTGCCCCCTCCTGCCATGGCCCAACACCATCAAACAGTAAGAGGGGTCCTTCTTGTAGTAGAGCGACAGCTCCCACTTTTTCTTTTTCTTTTTTTCTTTTTTATTTTTTTTAAGATGGAGTCTCACTCTGTTGTCCAGGCTGGAGTGCAGTGGCGTGATCTCGGCTCACTGCAGCCTCCACCTCCTGGGTTCAAGCGATTCTCCCACCTCAGCCTTCCAAGTAGCTAGGATTACAAGTGCACACTACCACACCTGGCTAATTTTACCCACTTTTTCAAGTTCCCACACAGCAGTGGTAAACTGGGGAGAGGACAGCTAGGGTTAGTGAAAGGAATGACGATTCCGTCCAAACTGTGAGTGCCAGATGATTGCAGACAGGCAGACTGTGCTTCTCTCAGCTCCCCATGCCATGCAGAGTGACCCAGAGTGACCCAACGAGACCCAGCATGGATCTATGAGTGACACTGAGCCAGGAAGGTGTCCAGGGAGGGGCTGCAGACCAACCTGGGCACGAGGCCTCTTTCTAAGCCCACCCTGGTTAAGTGCTTTGCCAGTTTCTAGGTGAGGATCAGCCTCAGCCTGCACTGGGCCTACTCAGTAAAGGTTTCCACGGTCTTTGGATTTGGAGCCCCCAATTTAGGGCAGAGACAAGTATAAACTGACCAAGCAATAGAAGAGATGCCCACATGAGGACTCCTGGGAGGGGCACTGACTGCAGCCTGGGTGGCGGCTCCTGGGCAGAGGGGGAGCTGCTGTGGCTACGGAACAGGCCAGCAGGAGGAGCCAGTGGTGATGAGTGCCCTGGTGCCAGGAAAGCCCCTGGCAGAGGGCCTGGCCTGTCTGGGGGAGGCTGGTGACTCCTGGTTCCAATGTGCTCAGCTCTGAGCCAGAGGCCAGCCTGCCTCAGACGGGGCATTTCCTTCAAGTGGTTAAAATTCGTTTTTGTGCTGAGTCAGGAAGCTAGCCGGCTTGGGCCTCCCCACCTCCAACGCTGAGTGGCACACAGTACCAGTCATCAGCCTAAGCAGAGACCTGGGTAAGTGCCCCCTGGCTCTGCCCAGGGGACAGGAATGACAGCAGCATCCCAACAGATTCCTGCTCAGGCCCCGCAGGGATCCACACCAAGTCACCCTGTGAGATGTTTCTCCACTGGTCACTCTGTCAGTGCCTTGAGCTCCTGGCCTGGCTGGCCCTGCTGCCCTGTCTGCGCTGGTGCCAGCACTATGCTGGGTCACTGGGGAAGTCGGGCTGGCAACATACCCAGATGCAAGCAGTTGGCTGAGCAGATGGGCTGGGTAGCCACGAGGACCCTTGGAAGCCTGCCCTCCCAGGCCAGTCGGCGGTTTGTTCTGTTGCCCAGAGACATGCTGGCCTCCTGAGGCTTTCTTCTGGGGCTGCTCCTGGGGCACTCTGTCCAAGAGGTGGCAGGGTGGCACTGCAGTGTGGTTCGGGGTGGGACTCAGCGTGAGTCTGGAGGCAGGGCATCCAGTCATTCCTCTGCCCACACTTTGAGTAACTAGGACAGGCTGCTTCTGTTCTCTGTGTCTCCATTTCCCTTTCTGTAAGATGCAGAGATTGGACTAAATCAGTGGTTCTCACTGCCGCGATTCCTGGACCAGTGGTGTCAACAACATCTGGGAACTTATTAGACATGCATATTTGGCCAGGAGCAGTGGCTCACGCCTGTAATCTCAGCACTTAGGGAAGCCGAGGCCAGCAGATCACCTGAGGTCAGGAGTTCGAGACCAGCCTGGCCAACACGGCGAACTCCTGTCTCTACTAAAAATACAAAAATTAGCCGGGCATGGTGGTGGGCATTTGTAATCTCAGCTACTCGGGAGGCTGAGGCGAGAAAATTGCTTGAGTCCAGGCAGTGGAGGTTGCAGTGAACTGAGATGATGCCATTGCATTCCAGCTTGGGTAACAGAGCAAGACTCCGTCTCAAAAAAAAAAAAAAAAAGACATGCAGATTCACAGACCCCAGGAAGACCTGCTCAGTCAGCAGCCAGTGGGTAGGCCCGGCAATCCGTGTTTTAACGCGCCTTCTGGGCTCATGCTGGAGAACCACTGGCCTGGACAAAGGCCTAAGCGTCTTCCTAGGCTTATTTCAATTCACTGGGCACCCACCGCATAGGAGGGGCTTGTGCCAAGAGCTGGAGAATGCAAAGGCGGACGAGGTATGAAGCTGGTACCAAAAGGGCACCTCTGTTTCCTGGGTGGCTACCTCCTAGCTGTCCTTAACACCCAGCTCAAATGATGTCTTCTTTGGGCACTGTCCCAGACCAGCCCTCCCACCAGTTCCTCAGACACGAGTAATCGGGTCCCACCTCTTCCCCCGACGCCTGTGCCAGCACGGCTCTTGGTATATAGGATGTACCATTGTTTGTGAGTCAGTTTCCTGCTGAACAGTAGGGATGGGAAGGGCCGAGGGTGGCTCCTGTTCCTCCACGGTCCCACAGCCCTGAGCACCAAGGGGTCCCATTCCCCAACATAGACTGTACTAGCCCAGCCTCTGCAAGGCCCCTGCCAAGTGCCCATGTCCTCAAAGAAGCTTTCAGGGCCCACTACACCCATAGCCCCATTCTGGGGCTTTCCTTTGGCAAAAGTTGCAGATTGGGCCATGTGGCCCCCCTACTCTGAGCCTAAAAGCCTAAGCCAACCTGGTTCTCCCTCTTGGGAGGTTTGAAGACGTATCACACAGTGAGGTTGTAGCGCAGCCTGGAGACACAGAAAGAAGGCCGAGTGCAGCCACTGAGGCAGCCAGAACCACGTGGCAGGAGGTGTGTCCAGTGTGGGGAGGGGTATGGCAGCCACAGCAGGAACAAACTGCACTGGCCTCCTCACCCTCCCTGGAGTGATGGGACTGAGCACCCCCTTTTGTGCCTGGTGGGAGCTGCCCACAGCCCCCGACTCTGGGCCAGCTTACAAGGACTCAGCACGTGCTCTTAGCAGCCTCTTTTCCAGGGGCAGGCAGCTGGGACAAAGCAGCACTGGACCCGAGCTGGAGGGATGGATCCCGGGCCCTCCACTCACTGGCCGACAATGACGGGCAAGTGGCTTCACCTCTCGTCCCTCAGTGACTTCATCTATAAATGGGGCTGAAATCAGGGAATCAAAAGGCATGAAGAGCTAGCCCCTAGCATGACACTTGGCCTACTTTTGGTATTTAATAAACGTCTTCTGACCTGGTCCTCCTTCGTACCTCAACCACATCAGACACAGCGTCATGATGATTTTTCCCCTGAGCAAAGTGGCTTTGTGTGAAGTTGCTAGGCCTGAGTTTCCCCATCTAAAATACGCAGGTTGACCTGGATGATCTGTGCCTCAGCTACACCTACAGACCTCTCTGCTCACCATCATGAGTGCCCCTAGCAAAGGGAGACAGGGGCCCTGGGGTGTTGGGAGGAATGGACACTCAATTTCCAGTCAGGCATTGAACAGGTCAGTGGATTAGTGGGTCTGTGATTCATTCATCCATCCATTTTGTCAACCATTTGTTAGATCATTTGTCAACCAGCCAGCCAGCCCAGTGGCTGGTCAGCTCACAGCATATTCTGGTCCTTGTACTGCTTCCAGCCCAGTAAACTCAACCAAAGAGAAAGAGAACAGAAGAATGAGAATAAACAAACTCCAACTGCCCACAACAACACACTGAGTGAAAGAAGCCAGACCCCAAACTGAACATACTGTATGATTTTCTTTGTATTATAAAAGTGTCACACACACACAAAAAGTGTCAGTACATCCAAAACCAACCGAAAGTGTCAGAAGCCATGATAAGGATTATCCTATGCAGGGGATCAGGGAAACGGTAAGTAGTGACTGGACGGCAGCTCATGGGGCTTTTGGGATTCTGGTAATATTCTGTTTCTAAATCTGGGTGCTGGTGACACAGTGTTTGCCTAGCGAAAATTCATTGAATTGTACATTTAAGTTTTTACACTTTCCTGTATCTACGCTATGCTATAGTTCAATAAAAATTTACCCAAAAAAATAATAAAAGAAAGAAAAGAAAAGCAAGAAAAAGCAAGGAAATGCACAGAGCAGTTAACTCAGCAATTCCAGTTCTAAGAGCTGCTTATCCTGTAGTTATCCTTCCAGGTGGGCAAATGATGGAGGGGCATGATGTTCCTGGAAAACTGGAAACCTAAAAGTCTTGGTTATTCAACCAGAATGTTAAATAAACAACACATCCATATGATGGAATATTACTTAACCATTACAAAGTATGATCGTTATGTACCAATTGCAATAAGCCCTTAGACTGAAAAGTCAGTAAGTGAGCCCAGGAGGTATACAGCACTACCCTCTGTAGCAGCAAGCGTGCATAGCCACAGGCTCTCTCTGGAACGACACAGGAGAAAGTGGTGGCATTCTGGCCTGCAGGCTCACGCTCTCCCCTTAGGGGATGTTATCTGTGGCCACATCCAGTCTGCCTGCCAGACCATGCTCTTCCCGAGGGTCTACGGAGCCTGGTGCCAGTAGTCTTAGTTCAGTCTCCAAGTGAATGATTCGCAATAGTCTGTAGCTTACAAATTGCCATCCCTCTGACTGCGGGCAGGGCCAGATTCAGGGGTTTGGCGACGACCACAGACTGTCTGTCCATCTGGAAGATGGGCTAGATGTGCGCAGAACAGGGGCTCATGGCTGAAGAGGGCACAGTTCCCACATGCGCCTGCTGTCCAAGGAGCAGAAACAGACCCTGGGGCAAGAGAAGCCAGAGTGCCAGTTCAGGGAGAGCTGCTGCCGCCTTCTGTCCTGCAGGAAAGAAGACTTGGCAAGGTCACACCGGCAAAACAAGGATTTGTATGCAGGTCTGACTCCAAAGCCCGGGCATGCTGCCTTCTGCAGAGGCCAATCAGGGAGGGCTTCACTGGGGAGTCATATGCAGTCTTTTTTTCTTTTTTTTTTTCTTTTTTGAGACGGAGTTTCACTCTTGTAGCCCAGGCTGGAGTGCAATGGCATGACCTCGGCTCACTGCAACCTCTGCTTCCTGGGTTCAAGCGATTCTCCTGCCTCAGCCTCCCGAGTAGCTAGGATTACTGGCTGATTTTTTGTATTTTTAGTAGAGACGGGGTTTCACCATGCTGGCCAGGCTGGCCTCAAACTCCTGACCTCAGGTGATCTGTCTGCCTCGGCCTCTTGAAGTGCTGGGATTACAGGCGTGAGCCACCGCGCCCGGCGGTCTCATGCAGTTTTGCAAAGTCAAAGCAGACGAGGGTTGGCATGTTCCACGCAGAAGGAATGCTGTCTAGAAACAGAAGAGAGTGGCGTGACCTTGAGAGTACAGGGTTCTGTATTGGGTCAGTGGGGGCAGGAAGGCAGCAGGGAAAGCAATTTGGGAAACTGGTCAGAAATGATGCAGGAAGTGCTGGCTGGAGCCTGGCTACAAAGACTCATGGGTTCCTGGCCATGGAGCCTGAAGTCAGTCCTATAACTGTTTGGATTCCAACTGACGGCTTGAATACAGGTTCAGCTCCACCTCTGCTTCCAGAAGATCATTCTGGCAGTGAGGTGAGGGCAGATTGTAGGGCGTCTGGCTGGAGGGAGGGAGACCTGTTGGGAGGCAGTGGCAACAATTCAGGTGAGCAGGTGGTGGCCAGGACAAGGGCTGGCGTGGGTGACATAAGAGTTTGAGAGGAACTGAGAAGGAAGAAGGGCATGTAATTGGCGGAAGACAGCAACTGTGCGAAAGGGAGGAGGTAAAGGTGACGCTCAGGTTTCTAGATCAAGGAACAGGGTCTCCAGTTGTACCCTTCACGGAGGTGAGAAATCCAGATTTGGCTGGAATCCGAGTTCAGTTTTTTGTTTGTTTTTTTGAGACTGAGTCTCTGACGCCCAGGCTGGAGTGCAGTGGTGCGATCTCGGCTCACTGCAATCTCTGCCTCCTGGGTTCAAGCGATTCTCCTGCCTTAGTCTCCTGAGTAGCTGGGATTACAGGCGCCTGCCACCGTGCCAGGCTAATTTTTGTATTTTTAGAAGAGACGGGGTTTCATCATGTTGGCCGGGCTGGTCTTCAACTCCTGACCTCAGGTGATCCGCCCGCCTCGGCCTCCCAAAGTGCTGGGATTACAGGCGTGAGCCACCGCGCCCGGCCCTGAGTTCAGTTTTTTTAAGGACACAATTAGAGGTGCTCACGGGATGTTCAAGCAGGGAGGCTGGTGGATACCTTCGATTCGCTCGTTCACCTACGTGGACTTATTAAACAGCCAGGCTCCCTGGCCTTGGGAGAGTCCTTCTGGTGGGGAGACAGATGATAAATAACTGAAGTAATGGAAAAGGGGCAGTTCAAGAAAAGTGTTGTGGAGGAAGAAAACAAGAAAGCCCGCCAGAAGGGGACTGGAGGTCGGCCCCGAGGGTGTGTCCGCTAGAGGGGGCCTCTCCAGGTGGACTGCGGGTGAGAGTAAAGGGGGCATGTGGGGGAAAAGCATTCTAGGGAACAGCAAGTGCGAGGACCTGGAGACGGCAGAGGGGCTGGTGGGACAGGCGCCCAAGAGGAGGCCCAGGCTGTCCCTCCGGGGCGTGGGGAGAGGCATGGGGCTGGGTCCCTGCAGGAGCTCACAAGCCACAGTGGGGAGCAGAAGCGTTACGCTGAGTACAGTGGGAGCCACTGAAAGGGTTAAAGACCCCTGGGGGTGCTGAGTGGGAAGAGGCTCTGGGAGCTGGAGTGGACGCAGGGAGACCAGTTATAAGGCGAATGCAGGAGTCCAGGCAAAAGAGAATATTCCAGTGTGTATCTTAAGACTTAACTTTTTACACACAGAACACCCTGCGCCCCTCTCAGAGCCTCCGGGGTCTTCATGCGAGCAGTTTATCACGGTTCTTTCGTCTTAAACCCTCTTACTATTTCAGCAAACACCCTCTCCTCAGCCTGGTCAACCCCTCTGCCCAACCCGAGTGGGCCCCGAAGGAACAAGTGGGGACCAGAGTCCTGCTCATGTGAGTGGTGGGGCCCAGCCCGTTCCCCTAAGACCAGAATTCTCTCGCTCAGAGCAAAGCCCCGGGGTGCCGGGATTCTCTCTCTGCTCCCGCTCCCTGGATGGAGCTTTTAAAAAAGGAGGATTCCTCACTGCGGCCTCTGCCCCTTGCACTGAGCGCCAACCCGCATCACAGCTCAGCAAAGGCGCGCGCAGTGAACAGACGGAGGAGGGGTGGCTCCTCGCTGAGCTGAAGGCTGCGGCGACGAAAATAAACAGCATGGTTCCTGCTCTCCACGAACCTGGCGCTGCAGACGTGGGCAAACCACACCAAGAGACGCGAGCAACCGAAATATAGGGAGAAAAAAAAAGGTGCCCTGGACAGCGGGCTAGATGTCTCCTGCAGGCTCGAGGACTTCCCGGAGGGGGCGGCGTTTTCTCGGGGCCTGGGAAGAATGGGCGGGTTTCAGCGGGCGCCTTCTGGGTGACTGCCCGTTTCGGCTTCCCCTGACCCCGTAACAGAGCGGAAGAGGCCCAGAGACGCCAGAGGAGGGGCGTCAGCGGGACACTCAGGCCAATAAGCTCTGACTCCCGCTGTCTGCAAAAATGACCGGATGCAGGAATGTCACCTAGAACCGGCCAGCTTTCCGACCTCTCCGGTCAAGGACGCATTCCTAAGAGACGAAGGGAGAATGACAGAAGTTAAAAACAACCAAACAAAAGCCAGGTTGAGGCCTCTAGGTGGGTCTCCGCTACCGATGGATTCAGCCGGTGGGGCTGCAGGAGGTTCCTATAAGCGTGGTCCCCTCTCCCCGCACCGAGTCCGGCCCCGGCCCTGGGATTTCCCCAGCCGCCGCCCCGCCCCCTCCGCCCCGCCGCCCCCGCCGCCCCGCCGCCCCCTCCGCCCCCGCCGCCCCCTCCGCCCCCGCCGCCCCCTCCGCCCCGCTTGCCCCTGGCGCCGCTGCGACCTTTCCCTTACTTTCCAGGGCCTCAGGCCCCGCCCCTCGCTCCGACCAAAACACGTGCCGCGTCCCGCCCTGCCCGATCACGCCGCGGCCAGGCTCCGATCACGCGGCCCCCCGCGGCGCTCATTGGCCGGCCGGGCACGAATTGGCTGGTGGTGGCCGGCCCCGCCCCGGCAGGGGCGCGGTGTATTTTGGTTCGCCTCCGCGCCCCGCCCCGCCAGCCGCTCCCTCCGCGGCCGCCCCGCCCCTCCCGCGCCGCGAGGGCCGCGCCGGGGCAGAGCCGCGCGGGCGGGCGAGGCGCGTGCCGGCCGCAGGAGCTCCGGGTTGCCGCCGCCGCCGCCGCCCGCAGCCCACGTGCGGCCGCTGCTGCGCCCGAGCTCACGCCCCGCGGCCGCTTTGTTGCTCCCGGCCGGCCTGCACGATGCACACGCCGGACTTCGCAGGCCCAGACGACGCGCGCGCAGTGAGTGGTGGGGCTGCCGCGGCGGGACTACTCGTCTGAGCGAGGGGCGAGGCGGGGGAAGTGGTGCGGCACTCGCGCGCCTGTAAATGCGGGAGGTGGGGCGTGCAGGGCTTCGCTGCGGCCGCGCCGGTAGGGGCCTGGGCGGGCTCCGGAGCCGGGCGGGGCGGCGGCCGCGACGGGCGCGCCCGGGTCGGCGGGGGCGAGGAGGGGGCGTGTTCCCCGCGCAGCTTTGTCTTGCGCTTCCTGGGCGGCCCCGCCCCGCTGGCCCCGCGGCTATTTCCAGCCATGACGTCACCCCGGTCCTGTGAGCCGGACGGCCGTTGGGCGGGGGAGCGGCTGGCGGGAACGCGGCACGCGGCCTTGGGGGCGGGGCAAGAGCTGCTGGCGGGAACGCGGCACGGTTTTGGGGGCGGGGCACGCGGCCGTCGGGCGGGTTAAGAGCGGCTAGCGGTAGTGCCGCTCGGGCCTGGGGGCGGGCAAGGTCTAGGGGCCGGGGCAACGACGGGAGGCGGGAGCGCCGCACTGCCTTGGAGGCGGGGCAACGCTTGGAGGCGGGAACGCGGCACGCGAGCGTTGGGGGCCCTAAGCGTCGCGACCTGGGGGCTTCGGGGAGGTAGCCGTGGACGTGGGCAGAGCGCGGGCCTCGTGGTGTGCGGGCACTGTGGGCCGGGCGAGCCCCTTCCCGCCCGTGTGGTGAGTCGGCCTCGGCGCCCGGTTCTGTGACATCACAGGGGGTTTAGTGGCGCAGCCTGCGGGACAGAGGCCGGGGATTTGAGGTGGCCTCGTCTTGTTTGATCTCGGGGAACCTCGGCAGACGGAAAGCTTTGATGCTTTGGTGCATGGCAGATAGAGAGGAAACGTGTATCTTCGTACATTTAAAGTTTCCTTTCCTTTTTTTTTTTTTTGATAGGGAGTCTCGCTCTATCGCCCAGGCCGGAGTGCAGTGGGCGCGCGATCTCGGCCCACTGTAACCTCCCTGGGAGGGAGGGGTATTACTCTTCTCAGAGTAATATCACCCTCTCGCCCCCGGCTTAGTTTTCTTTTGGAAGAGATCAGCTCATTCCAGCCTCTTCCCTCCTCCCCTCCAGATTAAAGAGACGGTGAGGGTCTGGTGCGGTGGCTCACGTCTGTAATCCCAGCACTCTGGGAGACCGAGGTGGGCGGATCACCTGAGGCCGGGCTTTCGAGACCAGCTTGACCAACATGGGGAAAACCGCTCTCTACTAAAAATACAAAAATCAGCTGAGCATGGTGGTGGGCGCCTGTAATCCCAGCTACTGGGGAGGCTGAGGCAGGAGAGTCGCTTGAACCTGGGAGGCAGAAGTTGTGGTGAGCCGAGATGGTGCCACTGCACTCCAGCCTGGGCAACAGAGCAAGACTCTGTCTCAAAAAAACAAGGCCGGGCGCCTGTAATCCCAGCACTTGGGGAGGTCAAGGCGGGTGGATCGCCTGAGGTCAGGAGTTGGAGACCAGCCTGGCCAACATGGTGAAACCCCGTCTCTACTAAAAATACGAAATTTTCTGGGCGTGGTGGCGGACGCCTCCCAGCTACTCTGGAGGCTGAGGCAGGAGAATCGCTTGAACCCGGGAGGTCAGTTCAAGGCCAGCTTGACCAACATAGCAAAACTCTCTTTCTACTAAAAATACAAAAATTACCCAAGTGTGGTGGCGGGCACTGCAGTGAGCCGAGATTGTGCCACTGCACTCCAGCCTGGGCAACTGAGACTCCATCTCAAAAAGAAAAAAAAAACTGCAAAGAGATCCTCTCCGGGTTCGCGGCAGGTTGGCTTCTTGTCACCACCTGCTAGCCTTGGGACAGTAACAGATGACTTCCACTCCCGAATCTGTGGAGGGAACTGGTGGAATCGCCATGGGCCCTACCTGCGTGGAGTGCTGGAAGCCTAGGCGGAAGGCCCCAGAGTCCCTGAGAGCATCTGTAGGGACACTGCTTTGGCGGCTTTGCCGCCTCAGAGAGCCATGGTCAGGGCGCCGCGGCCACTGGCAGACCGACTAGATGGCCTCAGTGTTGGCTCCTCCTCCCTGGGCAGCTGCTCCTCCTCCCAGCCACTTTTTGGCTTGAACCTCAGGAGTTAATTTTATTAATCATTTACCCAAGAAAAATATGAACTTAGTAGCCCTTTTTAAGAGTCAGGATTTTTGGTGGCAACGCTTGCCAGCTTAGTTCTGTCTGTGAAATGTTGGCTTAAAAGCCGAATTGTCATGAGCATTCCTTGAATGTCTTTTACTACACCTCGGTGTTTGTTGCTATAGACTATTGCATGTGCATTACATGCCTACTGTAGGCTTCTGATATGCATATCCACATGCCCATCATGGGTGGCCTCTGTATTTCCCCTGCACTGAGAAGCCGTTGTGTTGTGTCGCCTTTAGGTTGACATCATGGACATATGTGAGTCCATCCTGGAGAGGAAGCGGCATGACAGCGAAAGGTCTACTTGCAGCATCTTGGAGCAGACAGACATGGAAGCTGTCGAGGCTCTTGTTTGTATGAGCTCCTGGGGTCAAAGATCCCAGAAAGGTGACCTGTTGCGGATAAGACCCCTCACGCCTGTCTCTGACTCTGGGGATGTCACCACCACTGTGCATATGGATGCAGCCACACCTGAACTACCAAAAGACTTCCATTCTTTATCGACTCTGGTAAGAGGAGGTGGGAGGGAGGAGCGTTTTTGTGAAATGACTAGAGTAGCTGAACTCAGTGTGTTGAAGAACTTGTGAGAAGATTCCCTGGGATGCTGGCAAATAAGTTGCGTATCCTCTCTGTGTGGGTCTGAAGGAGTAGAAACTCTTCCTTTGGCCAGGCATGGTGGCTCAAGCCTGTAATCCCAGCACTTTGGGAGGGCCAGGCAGGCAGATCACAAGGTCAGGAGTTCGAGACCAGCCAGACCAACATGGTGAAACCTCATCTCTACTAAAAGTACAAAATTTATCCGGGTGTGGTGGCGGGCGCCTGTAGTCCCAGCTATTCAGGAGTCTGAGGTAGGAGAATCGCTTGAACCCGGGAGGCGGAGGTTGCAGTGAGCCGAGATCGTGCCACTGCACTCCAGCCTGGGCAACAGAGCGCGAGACCCCATCTCAAAAAAAAATAAAAGAACAAAAAAAGAAACTTTTCTTTCATTTCTGAAAAATGTGCTCTTTCTATGGATGGATCATACCTTGCTAGCTACGTGGTTAATGTCCGTGGGATGAAACCTACAGATTAATGTGAGAAAGTGAAATTTACTTCCCCAGGGGAATCTCGGGGTGGAGCTTAGGTTCTCCAGCCTAGTGTCAGAATATATCGGTAGCAGCTGGAGAAAGCATGTACTTTGACATCAGATTGCCTTCGTTGGGTGGCACCTCTGCCCTCCCGTGGCAGCCGACTCCTTAATGTGAGTTCTGTGAGTTGGGTGCAGTAAGTCACTCTTGCTTTTTGTTTTTTTAATTTGCTACATCTGTGAAAGTACTTGGAAAAATTGCATCTCAGCTTGGAGAAGCTGAGAACTGTAGGTTGCTAACAGAAGTGGAAATTGTGATTGTCCTGGGCTGGAAGCTTGCTCTGAAAGAAGAGTGTAGAAAGCAGATTTGGAGAGGGATAGGAAGGGCCTGTGGGTTGTCGGGAGGGTTGCAGAAGTGGTGGGCCTGGCGGCCAGGAGCTCCTCTCAGAGTTCCCTGCACTGGGCTCTTGTGTAGGTTTGGGAGAGGTAAACACGTTGGGAATAAGCTGAGAAAGCAGAGTGCCTCATGCAGCCTTGAAACCCACTGGGATGTTGAAAACAGGGTTAACTGAGTGTCTAGATGATTCTGTGTAAAGGTATTGGGAGCATTGTGATGAATTAAATCCCTTTTAAAATTTAAAGCAACCTTTTAACATGGTACTTTTTTTTTTAGTGCATAACTCCTCCTCAGAGCCCTGATCTCGTGGAGCCATCGACAAGGACACCTGTTTCTCCCCAAGTAACAGATTCCAAAGCATGTACAGCCACGGATGTTCTCCAGTCCTCTGCCGTAGTGGCCAGAGCTCTGAGCGGGGGCGCGGAGAGGGGCTTGCTGGGTTTGGAGCCAGTGCCCAGCTCTCCCTGCAGGGCCAAGGGGACTAGCGTGATCCGACACACTGGGGAGAGCCCTGCTGCCTGCTTTCCCACCATCCAGACTCCAGATTGCCGGCTTTCTGACAGCAGAGAAGGAGAAGAGCAGCTTCTGGGACACTTTGAAACTTTGCAGGACACACACCTCACGGACAGTTTACTCAGCACTAACTTGGTGTCCTGTCAGCCCTGCTTGCACAAGTCTGGTGGCCTGCTGCTCACTGACAAAGGCCAGCAGGCAGGGTGGCCTGGTGCAGTTCAGACTTGCTCACCAAAGAATTATGAAAATGACCTGCCCAGGAAAACCACCCCTCTGATTTCTGTCTCTGTCCCTGCTCCCCCTGTCCTTTGCCAGATGATCCCTGTGACTGGACAAAGTAGCATGTTACCAGCTTTTTTGAAGCCCCCTCCCCAGTTGTCTGTGGGGACTGTGAGACCCATCCTAGCTCAGGCTGCTCCAGCGCCTCAACCTGTGTTCGTGGGACCTGCTGTGCCTCAGGGAGCTGTGATGTTGGTCCTGCCCCAGGGAGCCCTCCCTCCGCCTGCCCCCTGTGCAGCCAATGTCATGGCTGCCGGGAATACCAAGTTGTTGCCCCTTGCCCCTGCTCCAGTGTTCATCACCTCTAGCCAAAACTGTGTCCCTCAGGTAGACTTTTCCCGAAGGAGGAACTATGTATGCAGCTTCCCAGGTTGCCGGAAGACCTACTTCAAAAGTTCCCACCTTAAGGCCCATCTTCGCACTCACACAGGTAAGCGCTGGGGCAGGTGGGGCATTGGGCACACCAGACCCTGTGGTTAGGAAGCACACCTTGAGCCGCCTTTGGCTGGGAGGGGATCATGAGAACCCCTGGCGAAGGTGGAAGTGTGGCTTTTTCTTTGGTTCTGAAAAGCCCGCACAACCTTGTAAGGGTGGGATTGTTTGCACAGCCATCAGGATTTTGCCTACAGAGCGCTCGCCCTGGAAGATAAAATGTAGTATAGTTCTGTGATTGTGTCTTTTGGTAGCTTTTAGAGTGACTTACAGTGCCCCCTTCTGTTCACATTGCAGTAGACGTTTCATCCTTTTTTTTTTTTTTTTTTTTTTAAAGAAAACATGCATTCATTCACATTTAGTAAATGTATCTTACCAGTGTGACTTATGTTTATGTGAGAAAAGGTCTGGCCAAACTATAGAAAAGTTCAAATTCTAAAATATTTTTTAAAAGAGTATAGTTTTCTTACCTCTGAGAGTAGTTTTTAATTTAAAGTAAGTCACACAAGAAACTATGCTGACCTAATGATCTCTCTGTTGTCTAACCAGCTCTGTCCAATATAATTTTTTGCAATGGTGGAAATGTTTGTTGTCTGTCCATTAGGGTAGCCACTGGCTGCTCACACTTGAAGTGTGTGGCTAGTGTGCCTGAGGAACTGAATTTTACATTTTTTAGTATTTGAAGTTTAAATAGCTCCATGGGACCTGTGGCTGCCCTGCTGCGCAGCAGTGGTCTGAGTGTTGCTGGATAGACAATCGCTTCAGTAGGTGAGGGCACCATTTCTCAGGTGTTCTGTGAGTTTGTGTTCTGTTGCTCTGATCGTGGTAGCCTCCACGTGTAGAATAAAGTGCAGTCTGGTGTTCAGACATTATAAGAGGAACTCTACTACTCCATTCTACTGAGTGGCTGCTTGCTTTGAGGATAAAGCCAAACTTGGCCCATGAGGTACTCACCTCTGCCCATTCAGAAACAGTCTCCCCAACATTCTATGTCTGGTTCCATATTTCCACCCTTCCCTCTTGGCCCTCTGCCCATCTCTACTTACTGAAACCCTCTGAGGGCCTTCCTAGGATTAGTTATTAGATTGTTTCTTTATCTTCCTTCTTTGACCCTAGTGGTTTATTGTAGGTCTTACTATAGTCTCCCTTTGTTTTTTAGTTAGTTGTATATCTCACCTGGATATATTCCTGGTGCTTGATAAAAGGGCCTGACACTAGTCAGTAAATGAGGGTTGGTTGTTTGCATGGCAGATGGACGTGGGGCTGTGTCAGGGAACGGGTGTTTCTGAGGGGAATTGACCTGCCTGCCTCTTTTAATGGGCTTGTTGACTTGGTGAGCTCTGCATTTCACCGGGACTCTCCAGGGGAACTTTGCATTACACCAGAGCACAGCTTCCAAATGTTGGAGGTGACTGAATGAAGTTTTACCGTTTATTTGGTTTACCTTGGTAGAAGTACTGACAGAATGACCTGCAGTGATTGAAACAAGTTGCTTCCATGTTTCCTAAAGTACTTCCAATTCAATAACAGGCCTTGTACAGGGGCTCACGCCTGTCATCCCAGCACTTTGGGAGGCCAAGGTGGGCAGATCACAAGGTCAGGAGTTTGAGACCAGCCTGGCCAACATGGTGAAACCCCGTTTCTACTAAAAATACAAAAATTAGCTGGGCCTTCTGGCGCATGCCTATAATCCTAGCTGCTCAGGAGGCTGAGGCAGGAGAATCACTTGAACCTGGGAGATGGAGGTTGCAGTGAATGGAGATTGCGCCATTACACTCCAACCTGGGCGACAGAGCGAGACTCTTATCTCAAAAAAAAAAAAAAAAAAAATTGGCCAGGCACTGTGGCTCATACCTGTATTCCCAGCACTTTCCGAGGCCAAGGCAGGCAGATCACGAGGTCAAGAAATTGAGACCATCCTGGCCAACATGGTGAAACCCCGTCTCTACTAAAAATACAAAAATAGTTGGGCTTGGTGGCACGCTCCTGTAGTCCCAGCTACTTGGGAGGCTGAGGCAGGAGAATCGCTTGAGCCTGGGAGGCGGAGGTTGCAGTGAGCCGAGATTACGCCACTGCACTCCAGCCTGGTGACAGAGTGAGACTCCGTCTCAAAAAATAAAAATAAATAACTGTAAGAGTTCTGAAGAATCCCCTTGTGCCATTTTGTAAACTTGGAATTTTCATGAGAAGTAGAAACTGGGCAAGTTTACCTTGGATAAGATTGCTTTTTATATATATTTCTGCCAACCTGAAAAATATTTAAATTGGAGTAAGGTAGAGTGAATAGATGCTACCTTTTTTTTTTTTTTTTTTTTTTTTTTTGAGATGGAATCTTGCTCTGTCGCCCAGGCTGGAGTGCAGTGGCGCGATCTCGGCTCACTGCAAGCTCTGCCTCCCGGGTTCACGCCATTCTCCTCTCCTGCCTCAGCCTCCCGAGTAGCTGGGATTACAGGTGCCAGCTACCATGCCTGGCTAATTTTTTTGGTATTTTTAGTAGATACGGGGTTTCACCATGTTAGTCAGGATGGTCTCCATCTCCTGACCTCATGATCCGTCTGTCTCAGCCTCCCAAAGTGCTGGGATTACAGGTGTGAGCCACCATGCCCGGCCGGTGCTACTTTTTTTTTCTTTTTTGGACAGTCTCACTCTCACCCAGGCTGGAATGCAATGGCGCGATCTCCGCTCATTGCACCCTCCGCCTCCCAGGTTCAAGCGATTGTCCTGCCTCAGTCTCCGGAATAGTTGAGATTACAGGCACCCACCACCACACCCAGCTAATTTTTGTATTTTTAGTAGAGACAGTTTCGCCATGTTGGTCAGGCTGGTCTCGAACTTCTGACCTCAGGTGGTCTGCCCGCCTCGGCCTCCCAAAATGCTGGGATTACAGGCGTGAGCCACCGTGCCCAGCTGGATGCTACATTTTTTATTTTTAATTTTTTGAGACGGAGTCTCCTGTGTCGCCCAGGCTGGAGTGCAGTGGTGCAATCTCGGCTCACTGCAAGCTCTGCCTCCCGGGTTCACACCATTCTCCTGCCTTAGCCTCCCAAGTAGCTGGGACTACAGGTGCCCGCCACCACACCCGGCTAGTTTTTTGTATTTTTAGTAGAGATGGGGTTTCACCGTGTTAGCCAGGATGGTCTCGGTCTTCTGACTTTGTGATCCGCCCGCCTCGGCCTCCCAAAGTGCTTGGATTACAGGCGTGAGCCACTGCGCCTGGCTGGATGCTACATTTTTAATTAATTTATTTTTGTTTTTTGGTAAAGATTGGGTTTTACTTTGTTGCCCAGGCTAGTCTGGAACTCCTGTGCTCAACTGATCGTCTCCAGCCTCCCAAAGTGCTGCGATTATAGGTTTGAGCCGCTGTACTTGTACTTCGCCTGATTTATTTTTAAATATATTTTGAAAGATTAGCTTGAAATCTTTGGGTGCTAACATAGCTGCATCTTAAGTGTGGGAGGAATAAATGCCTTTTGGAGGATTTCTTGACCCAAATCATCCAATTCCAGAGTAATAAGATACCACTTTCTTCTGAGTTTGATGAACACGATTTTAAAATGACATGAATTAACCCCTTGAATAAGGTGCTTAGCGTTTCCTTTCTCTTTAATATGTATTTTCTCACCTCACAGGGGAGAAGCCTTTCAACTGCAGCTGGGATGGCTGTGATAAAAAGTTTGCTCGTTCGGATGAGCTGTCACGCCACCGCAGAACTCACACAGGGGAGAAGAAGTTTGTGTGCCCGGTGTGTGACCGACGTTTCATGCGCAGTGACCACCTGACGAAGCATGCCCGGCGCCACATGACGACCAAGAAGATCCCAGGCTGGCAGGCAGAGGTTGGCAAGCTGAACAGAATCGCCTCTGCAGAGAGCCCGGGGAGCCCACTGGTGAGCATGCCAGCCTCTGCCTGAAAGGTCCATTAGGACATCACTCATGGGATTTTTAAAAAGCCTCTTTCCAGGAATGGAACTGATGGATTCCTCTCCCACTGCCTCACCCAAAAAAAACGGTCTTGGCGGCCTAGGGGAAGATCGGGGAGCTGGTTTTGATGAAAGTATGTTAACTTTTCTTTTCCACTTGGGACCCTGTTCAGTATCTTTTGTAGTTTCAGAAGTTTTTTTGTTTTGGTTTTTTTTTTAAAGAAATGGTAGAAAATTTGATAATCTGAATCACCAGCATTCAAACAAATATTTCGGCAATAAAGTTTACAAAATCTGGATTTTTACAACCTTTTCTATTGATGTTTTGTAGAAATAAGACAGGGTACTAATTTTTATACTGGTTTTTAGAAAAATATTTATATTGTTGGTGCTCAAATCACCAATTTCTAGCTAGATCATTTTGCAGCCTTCTTTTCAGTGTTTAATAACAAAGTTTTTCCTAATGGCCCTTCTTTTAGTAAACTGGACATGTTATTCCACTACAAAAACCACAAGTTATCTGGCCTTTTAGATCTTTTTGGAATCGGACCTGGTTGAGTAAGGACCTCTTAAAAGGGAAAAATAAATTTTGCCGTCAGCTTCTTCATAACGTTTTCAAGGAAATTCTAGGCAATCATTCCTGTCACCAAAGAACTAAAATTTTGGTTGACTGGAACTAGTGAGCTGTGTCCATGGTGTGTCATGAAGGATGTACCCCAGAGAGTAACATGAGCCACTGGGCAGATCCCAGGGACCAGTACTTGCTGCAGGATCTAGTCTGTAATAGTCTTGGCCATGGCTCTGCTGAAAGCAAGCCATTCAGTTTCTTGTTTGTACCTAAAACACCAAAAAAGAAACACTCAAATCCAGCTGCTTTGTCAATTGTCAGTTCTGACTCCTTTTGCTGTGGCCTTATCCGTACTATATTGTGGGTAGAGTAACTTCTCAGAAAAAAAGGAAATGTCTGTATTGGTTGGATGAAACTCCACCAGAGCACAGCTTAGCTGGGGCGAGATGCATGTGAAGGCAGGCAGTGCCAAGATTCCGCTTCCTTTGTTTGCCAAATACTAGAAACACAAGGAAATGCAAGTTACGCTAAATGGCAGTAATACTACCCAACTGCCTTTCTGTTCATTTTGTTTGAAGGAAATTGTTTTGACCAAACAGAAAATTACTTGGAATGGTGTGTTTTACAGTCTACCTAGAAAATAGATGGACAATATTTTTCAACTGTATGAGCACGTAGATAACCGAGAGAATGTGGCCACCTGTGTTCAAGAAGCCACTGATACTGGTTTTTGTTAAACATTGGAAGTTCAGGCAATGGAATAAATGTAGGAACATACAGAATGTTGCACTAATTTGGTAGCCTGGGAATTTTTTTTATTGTGCAGTATGTATTTAAATTTTGTCTATGTTAATTACCAGCATTTACCTTTATTTAAATGATGGTAAGGTGGAATATTGAATAAAATTAGGTTTTGTGTTTTGTTCTTTGTAGTCTGATAAAATCTCCACCTGGTCATTCATTGTGTGTGACTTGATACCTGTTAACTTGCCCCTTAGTATCAGCTGTTACTTGACACAAATGTGTGTGTTATTCAGAGGTTTTCAGTCTGGACACTCCATAGGTGAGTGTCGTGTCTTCGTGAGACAGCACAGTTGTCTCATGTTGTGCATAGTTCATGTTTCCTCACCACCCAGTCCTTTCTCCTGCTCATCAAAATCAGCATACACATTTTTGACTGTACACACTATAAATGGCATCAAATTTGGATATTTTTCTTAATTATGACATGCAAAGTAATGTGAGTCCTGCCAGTATTCTGGTGGATAAGGTCTTTTGAGTATTTGGTTGCTTGTCACAACATTCTCCAAGCAGTGATATTTCTAAAGAGGAGATACATGTTGAAAACGGTTTTAATTTACACTTCCATTTCCTGATTACATTTGGAAATACTTTGTGTAAACCATCCCCCTTCCACCTCCATTTGTCTGTTGAAAGATTTTAAGTTGGAAACAGTTCCTGTCTGAAAACTCTTCTGAGAACCACAAACCTTGTGTATGGATTCGGCATGGAGCCCTCAGCTGGCGGCTCTGGGTGCTGACGGCCGCTGGAGAGGTGGGCTCCCCTCGTGCACTTTATTGCCTGGGCAGTTTTGCTTGATCTTTTGTGACTTTGAGCCTTTTAAGTAGTTTGAATGATAAGACTTAAAATGTTTCATAATTATGTTTTATGTAACAGACTTTGACATTATTTAAACGAGCATGTGTAATGTAACTTTTCTCTTTGAATCATATAAAACTTGATTTTACATTGGATGTGTGTCCTGTGTCATTTAACTGTACCTGGTGGCCTAAGTATACCTAGAGACTTTTTGGAAGAATCTATAAAATTCATTGTGTATTGGCTCAAACTAAACTCTCCTCTTTGTTTTCTGGAGTTTTATTCTGTTTCTTTGGGTTCTTTGGAGGGTTCTTTCTGAAAAAAAATGTGTGAAGCGAGCTGAGTATGGTGGCTCACACCTCTAATCCCAGCACTTTGGGGAGTTGAGGCAGGAGGATTCCTTGAGCCCAGGAATTCGAGGCGGCTGTGAGCTATGATCATACCACTGCACCCTAGCCTGGGCAACAGAGCAAGACGCTGTCTCAAAAAGCCAACATGTGAAGTGGCCACTCTGGCAGTGGGTCTGGTCCAGACAGACCCAGTAGTGTGCCGGGTGACCCTGTGGCCGTCAGTGCTCGTGCCCTTCCTGTGCCAGGGGGTGGCTGCAAAGAGGTAGAATTGAAAGTGGTTTTCCAGCTACTCTGGAAGAAGTGCTTGGAAGTCTTCCATTATTTCCTTCCACCCCTGGCCCAGGATTGCAAAGTACATCATGGAGCCACAGGCTTCACTGTTCCTTCTTTTCCTTCCCAACTCTTAAAACTAAAGGCTGCCATATGTCCTCAGAAAACACAGCCCCTGCCCACCTCAGAAAGTCCGATTTGTCCCCAGGGGGTCCAGACCCTCACCACACAAAAGGTCTGATTACGGAGCCTCCTTCTAGAGGGAAGTATTAGAGCCGCAAGTGTGATTATCCCTCTCGTGGCAACTGACAAGACTTTTCTCCTGCCTCATTATTGCCAGAAAGGAAAAAGGAAAAAAAAAAAAAAAAAGCCACGGATTCTCTCTTCCGTGAGGTGCTTGGCTACACTTCGACAGCCTTATGCTCTCCCATGTGCTCACACGTGCACGAGCGTGCCCCACTGCTGGGAACAGAGAATGCTCTCACGGATCCACCAATCAATGTCAGCAGCAGGTGTCCAGGCAACGTGGGTGAGTGGGGACAAGTGGCCCTAGGTCTTTGGAACAGCAGAGGAAAGTGTCTTAGAAAGGGCTGTCTCAGGGAGGCGCAGGGAACCTGAGCCAACAGCAGCCGAGGGAGGAGGTCCCTTCCTGGGTGAGGCTAGGAGCCCACGGGCCGGTGAAGAGAGACTTGGGAACACACATGTCAGGAGGAGGGCAACAGCAGGACTCTGCTCCTTCCCTAAGAAAACACACCCAGCATTTCTCAGAGCCAGGGGTGGACAGTGTTTCCTCAGTTCCTGCGGCTTTGTAGCATCTTCGAGGAACTCTCATACTACAGAAACCAGAGACACATGGCCGGGTGTGGTGCCTCACGCCTGTATTCCCAACACTTTGGGAGGCAGAGGCGGGCGGATCACAAGGTCAGGAGTTCGAGACCAGCCTGGCCAATATGGTGAACCCTCCCGTCTCTACTAAAAATACAAAAAAATTAGCCAGGTGTGGTGGCGCATGCCTGTAATCCCAGCTACTCGGGAGGCTGAGGCAGGAGAATTGCTTGAACCTGGGAGGCGGAGGGTGCAGGGAGCTGAGATCGCGCCACTGCACTCCAGCCTGGGCAATAGAGTGAGACTCTGTCTCAAGAAAACTAAAAAAGAAACCGGGAGACACATTTGTGGTCACTTAAGATTTTTCCAGACAACAACGTGCGTCATTTTTGCCTTTGAGATGTGTTTCTTTCTGCCTCCATTCCAGCCACAGTCCCATCCTGGCAGTGAGCAAATCCCACACGCAGTTCTAGCAGGACGCTGAGGCTCAGCTGCAACATGGGGCAGCCAGGAAGATGCCTGAGGAGGTGCCAGGCACACAGGAGGCACTGGGACAGACTCGGGCCGGGCTGCAGGCTGCAGCAACGCCCACCCCTCTACTTCCAGGCACAGCCCCTCCGTCTCACAGGACAGAGACAGGGCCGGCTCAGCGGCTGGTACACACTGCTTTATTTGTTCTTTTTATTATTATTTTTAAGTTCACCTACAGCTGCAGTACACACACACCGCTTTATTTGGCTAGCTGCTATTCAGAAGACACTTCCTGAATTCAGGAAAAATTTTTTTAAAAACCTGAGAACAATTCCTGTGACTTCTTAGCTTTGATGAAGTGCATTTACTTTGACATTGATATAGCTTGTAACTACTTTTGGAATTTTTTTCCCCTAACACTTTGATCTCATTAAGGGTATTACACCTTTTCCACCAGAAAATGCAGAGGTATCATCTTTCTTGGAAACCAATTGAAAGCGTCCCATTTTAACAAAATGACATAAAATTACAAACATTTACATGTTTAAATTCAAAGCCTGATCCATCTGGTGGTAAGAAATGTTAACTTATTTTAAAAGATGTATTTGCATTATTAAAATATAGTAACGACTTCCATCTTTACATCAAAAGAAACGGGCTTGCATAAGCAATGGCTCCCAGCTCTGGGGAGGGTTTGAGCCACGCCCTTGCGGGGGCCGCTCCAAGCTCTGACTTCAAAAGTTGGAGTTTCCCAGCTGCGAACAGCTGGTCAAAGGCACTCTCAAAAGTTCAAGGAAATGCCCGTTTGCGGATGGCCGCAGCAGGCCTGTGGGGCTGGGGACAGCGCCAAGGAGCTGGCCGTTGGTTCCTGAGATGCTCCTGCTCTGCTGTGTTCTAAGGACCTGCGAGCTGGAGCTCTTCTCGGGAAAAAGAAAACGCTGGGGAGGCCTCCGTGTGGGCGGGTCAAGCCAGATAACCAGGCTTGTACTGGCTTCAGCAGAAGCCGCGCTGTTTCCTCCTTCCCCCTCTATCTCCTTCTTTCCCTTCTGTCTCCTCCTTCCCCCTCTGTCCTGATGCCCTGCAGGCTGCTGGGGAGGAGCCTGCCGCCTGCCTCCTGCCTCCCTAGACCGCTGTTCTCCCCACAGCTCTCCCCCGGAGCTGTCCCCCAGCAGGCCACACCTGGGCCCAGGCTCCAGACCTGCCCGCCCACACAGGAGTCCCCTCTAGCCGGAGCTCCGCCCCCTGTTCCCAGGGCGTCCTGGGCAGGTCAGTTTTCCCATCTGTCAACCAGGAACATTCCAAGGCTCTTCCTGCCTCACTGCTGTGGTTTCCCACCTTCCACCCAGGCAGGAAGAGAATTTAAAAGCCCCGCAGGCACTGGCCAGGCTGCCTGTGAGAGGGAGAACTGGAAAGCCAGTATCAGGCAGACCCTCTCCCGGTTGGACCTGGGCGCTGGCTCCCCGCAGGGAAGGCACTGCTGTGCCTGGGGCAGGGGACCAGCAGTGGCAGCAGTTCCAGATTGTCAGAGCTGGGGAGGGCCTCCAAGAGCTGCCAGAGCTGATTTTCCAGAGAGGGAAACTGAGGCCCAGAGAGGCAGTGACGAGCTCTACCTCCCACTGCAAGGCAGATCAGAGCTGGGGTTCTCGCTCCTCAAAGTGCAGTTGGGGCTTCGGAGCTCGGGCCTGGGCTGGGAGCTGGTTAGACGTACAGAACCTCAGGCCCTGCAAGTCAACAGCACCCCCAGGCTGCTCATTAGGGAGTTAAAGTTGAGAAGCACTAAGCTGACCCGGCCACCCCTGGAGAGATGGGCCCGAGACTGAGGGAGCAGCGCGGGTGCACCTTCCACAGCAGAACCTTCCGGAAGTGTTGTGGCGCGGATGCCAGGAGGGGCTCGCTTGTGTCACCTAGTCCTCGTGAGCCCTCCCCACTGTGGAGAGCGGGCAACCAAGAGGGGCACGCATTTCAGGCTCCAGAAGAACTGGGCAGGCTCCCCGCGTTGGGGAGGAGGCGCCGGCGGCCCAGGCCCACGCACCTGTGGGTCTACACAGCTAATCGCCCCCACCAGCAACCATGACCGCCAGTGGCTGGCCCAGGTCAGCGCGGTCTGAAAGTGGATTTGAAAGGGCAGCTTTGAATATCCGGGAGTGACTGCGTTTTGGAGGTGGTTCAGCTCCTGCTAGAGCTCTGTGCAAGCAGAGGGTGCCCCAGCCAGCAGGTGCCTCCGAGGCCTGGCGGGGGTGGAGCATGCTGTCCTCAGCGGCAGTACTCCCGCTCGATGCTCGCCATCAGCCCCTCTTCCGAGTGGTCGTAGGAGATGGCTGCCGGCCTCTCGGGCTTCTTGCGACCGCTGCCTGGGGCTCTGTGGGTCAGAAATGGGACAGGGCTGTCAGGAGGCAGGATGGTGCGTTCACACTCATTTCCCCTGGCCACCACAATGGCTCCTAGTGGGCCCATCCTGAAACCCAAACCGAAGTCTTTGCCCTGGGACACCCTGTGGCGCTCTCGCCCAGCACATATCCACCAGCAGGCTTCTACTGCGTCCGCTTCATCTCCCACAACGCTGAGCCCTCGCAGAGTGGAAGCCAGCACCTGCCCTGGTTGAGGGAGGACGGGCTCTGGGGTGGGAAGACCGAGCTTGAATCCCAGCTCTGCGGCTCACCCGCGCGCCTCAGGCAAGGCCAGTGTGTCTCCGAGCCTCGGTGTTTTTTCTCAAGCACGTAACTTTATTCATGAGTCGTTCTGAAGCATAAGATAATGCATGGGCAGCATGTGATGTGGAATCGAGCACACCACAGCCTTAATCAATGGGAATCACGGCCAGGCGCAGTGGCTCATGCCTGCAATCCTAGCACTTTGGGAGGCCCAGGTGGGCAGATCACTTGAGGTCAGGAATTCGAGACCAGCCTGGCCAACGTGGTGAAATCTCATCTCTACTAAAAATACAAAAATTATCCGGGTGGGGTGACGGGTGCCTATAATCCCAGCTACTCAGGAGGCTGAGGCAGAATGGCTTGAACCCAGGAAGTGGAGGTTGCAGTGAGCCAAGAATGAGCCTCTGCACTCCAGCCTGAGTGACAAAGTAAGACTCTGTCTCAAAAAAAATAAATAAAAAATAAAAGGGAATTACTGTCATGTTGGCTGCTTGCCGACATCGGTCCGTGCTTGTACCCTCTGGGGTCTCACAGGAGCTGCTCATTGTGGGGAACCACACGTTCAGGATCCCGCCAGTCCCTCAGCCCACCTGGCAGCCCAGCTGAGAGGGACCGAGACCAGAGCTCCTGCTCCTGCTGCCTGGGTTCCAGAAAGCGGCTGCGCCAGCCTGGACCCTGCTGGCTTGTCCTGCTCTCCCAGACCTTCTGGACTTTGTGTGGACACCTGGGTGGTGCTGACTGCCCCCGGACCTGCCACGGTTGTGTCGAAATGTGCAGACCTTTGCAGGAGGCAGTCCCGGGAGCCCAGGGCAGGGCATGAAGCCTCGGTCAGGCTGGGTGCTGCCTCCTGGAGATGCTGCCTCGGAAGGGGGTGTGCAGGTCTGCAGCTGACAGGGTCCAGGAGAGGCAGGCCAGCTGCCCACAGCCAGGTGTTGGATGCTGCCCTCCCAGTGGCCAGCCAGGGACTCTGGGCAATGGGAACACCGCCAACTGCTTTGCCACTTGCCAGACATTAGGGCTAGCCGCCCCCCATTTCCCGGCCTGGTTCCCCCTCTGCGAGCTTGGGGGGCTGGGCTGGATGGACTTAAATGTCCCTCTGACTACTCCCACTGATGCTCAGAGCACAGCCTCCGGGTCCCCGTCTGGCTCTCTGGGAACTCAGGGCAAGAGCTGGGCTCCTGGCACAGCCACTTGACTTCATCCCCCAGGAAGGATCGGCATCTAGCAGAGGGCCTCCAGGCGTCCAGGGGACACACTCCTCCCCTGTCCCGGAGACGTCATGCCCCTATTGACCAGCTGGCTCCAGGGACTATACTTATTAGCACTGCCCGCGGCCAGTGCGCAGAAACAGCTGCGTGGTCACTGTTGACGCCTGCAGGGCTCTTGGCACACTGCCTGTCTGTGAAAGCACTGAAGGCAATATGTGTTCCTTGCAGCCCTGAGACACAGTGGAAATGCAGACGTTCTGGAGCCAGGCAGATCTCACCTGGCTCTGCCACGCAGTCGCTGTGTGGCTGTGGGCAAGGCATGTACCAGGCCTCACGCCCCTGTGGATAAAACCCAGCAGCTACTCCACGAGTCCAGCCTGAGGGCTGGACCAGGCGCCATCTGCGGTGTGTCTACCACAGAGCTGGGCACTAAGGAAGCACTCAACAGAAGTCGCTGCGATGCTGTTAGTTTCGCAGTGGCTCATGCCTGGCCCGGCGCAGTGGCTCATGCCTATAATCCCCAGCACTTTGGGAGGCCGAGGCAGGTGGATTGCTTTGAGCTCAGGAGTTCGAGACCAGCCTGGCCAACATGGTGAAACCCCATCTCTACAAAGAGTACAAAAATTAGCCGGACATGGTGGCATGCGCCTGTAGTCCCAGCTACTCAGGAGGCTGAGGCTGGAGAATCACTTGAGCCTGGGAAGTGGAGTTTGCAATGAGCTGAAATTGCACCACTGCACTCCAGCCTGGACGACAGAACAAGACCCTATCTCAAAAAAGAAAAACCAACCAACCAAACAAACAAACAAAAAGGCAGAGTAAGGGACCAGCAAAGCACCCAGTACAGAGGAGAGACCCGGCCACTGCCCTTCCTGTTTCCCACCATCCTCCTGGGCTCACCTCCCCTGAGGATTGTTGGGAAGAAGAGAAATGGGCACGGGACGCCCAGACACCCTCAAGGGCAACAGGATCTCCTGGCCAACAGGAATCCCAAGCAGCACTTCTGGACCTGGGGACCCCCACAGGAATAAAAGCCCCTCTGGGCTCACCAGGCAGCCCCCTGCTTGCCTGTGGATGTGAAGCTGAGCCCTGGGGGAGGTGGCTGTCCAGATTCACACAGCCATTCTCCTCACTCGTCCTGTCTCACTCAGCACCCGACATGCCCTGTAGGTGGAATCTTGGGGAGAAAGGAGAGCAGGGACTGGCGCAAGGGAAGCTGACGGGCAGCCCTGGGGCTAGGGTGAGTAGGACGGTAGGCAGTCCTGGGTCTGTGAGAGGTCAGGCTCCACTGGGCTCCACAGCCACCCCTGCCCTGTCTGCCTGGCAACACTCCACCAACACCGTGGGGCAATTTGTGGGGCTTAGAGAGCCAGGTGGGGCCATAAGCTCTTTCTTTCCCCTGCTTGGGTGGGGGCACACAGATAAAAGGGAAAAATTGATCCTAAAGGGATTCTTGGGAAGTCTCACCACTCTTGAGGGAGTCAAGAAATGAATTTTTGTTTAAATTCTCATTTACTGTCAGGTTTTCCATCAGCAGGGACTCCTAAAGTCATGCTTTTTTTTTTTTTAGACAGGATCTTGCTTTGTCACCCAGGCTGAAATGCAGTGGCAGGATCACGGCTCACCATATCCTCCACTTCTCAGGCTCAAGCCATCCTCCCACCTCAGTCTCCTGAGCAGCTGGGACCCCAGGCATGTGCCACCACGCCTGGCTAATTTTGGTACTTTTGTGGAGACGAGGTCTCCCTATGTTACCCAGGCTGAAAGTCACAAATTTCTTAAAAGAAAAAGACCTTTCCAAGGAAAATCACTCCAAGAAAAGAAACCAATACGCTTCTCCAGAGAGAACAAATCCATTGTAATTGGGCCTCAGAAACCCACATGTTAAATGAGGCAAGAACATTTGTGTTATTCTACTGGGTCTAGAATTTTCTCTTTTTTTCTTTTTTTTTTGAGATGGAGTTTTGCTCTGTCACCCAGGCTGGAGTGCAGTGGCGCACTCTGCGATCTCGGCTCATTGCAACCTCCCCATCATGGGTGCAAGGGATTCTCCTGTCTCAGCCTCCCAAGTACCTGGGAATACAGGCACGTGCCACCACTCCCGACTAATTTTTATGTATTTTTAGTAGAGATGGGGTTTCACCATGTTGGCCAGGCTGCTCTTGAACTCTTGACCTCAGGTGATCTGCCCACCTCAGCCTCCCAAAGTGCTGGGATTATAGGTATGAGCCACTGCGCCTGGCTGGGTCTAGAATTTTCTAGAATCTGCCGCCTCTCCAACCTGGGGAAATACTGCCTTGGATCTCAGTTTACTCACTAGGAAAATGGGGAGGAGTAACCTCTCTCACCAATACCGTAATGTGTCTGGCCCAAGGCCTGGCTTACAGTGGGTACTCAACAAGCATTTGCAGAATGAACAGTAAGTGAATTTCAGCAGCAGCTGCAGACAGAAGTTTCTAGAACCCCTATGTTCCCCTCCATGAGCCCCTGGGCTTCCACTAGCCCTTCCTTACAGACTTCAGGTCAGGATGGCCCAGCCAAAAGCTCAGGGAAGCAGCGACTTCCTCCCGCATGGCTGCTTCCCTCTGCTGCTTCCGCAGGGCCCTCCCGGGGGAAGGACCTGGCGTTGTCAGGATGGTCAGGACTGGGGTCAAGGCCCACACGCCCCAGGCTGACATTAAACAATCCTGTCAATAAGCGTCTATGAAATGCTACCATGTGCCTGGAGCTATGAGGGCCCAGAGGCGAATCTGATTCCTTCTGTGATGAGGCCTGGAGAGAAGAGAGGGGACAGGGCAGGACCACATCACGTGGACCTACTACAGGAGAGGCCACATGTGGGAGGGGCTGGGAAGTTGCACCATGCGGGAGGAGGGACACTAGTTTGACCAGGAAGGGGATAGAGTATGAGGGGGAGATGTTTAAACTGTGCTTTGAAGGGTTTCTTCTTCGATATTTTATTATGAAAAATTTCAAACATACTGAAAAGTTAAAATTTGTAGATTCAACAATTAAGTTCAACTTTGCTATATTTACTTTATCACGTACTTATTTACTTCTTCATCTGATTTTCTGATGCATCCCAGAGTCAGCTGCAGACATTAGCACCTCCACCCTGAAACACCATTGGAAGGACCCTGCCTGGGAGGGTGAGGGTGACACTGGAGGGAGGAGATTGAAGGGCGGGACACTGTTGCAGCCACAGGGTGAGGCACTGGTACCCAAGAGCTGCACGCTGGGGGGCTGAGACTGGCCTGCAGGGTCCACGGCTGCCACGGGAGTCAGGTGTGTGCCGTGGGCAGCGAGAAGCACAGTGGGTACAGGGCAGATGCTGCCAGCCCTGACCCTGGGGCAGGACTGCTGGGACCTGGGGCTTCCTTCCTGGTGGAAGCACGGTGCTGGAGGGGCTGACAGAGCCCTGGGCACTCCTACGCCTAGGGCAGCACTCAGGGAGGCTCCCATTAAAGTATACTGAATGAAAAGGCTGGGTGCAGTGGCTCACGCCCATAATCCCAGCACTTTGGGAGGCCAAGGTGGGCGGATCACCTGAGGCCAGGAGTTTGAGACCAGCCTGGCCAACTTGGCGAAACCCTGTCTCTACAAAAAATACAAAAATTAGCCGGACAGGGTGGCTCGTGCCTGTAATCCCAGCTACTTGGGAGGCTGAGGCAGGAGAATTGCTTGAACCCGGGTGGTGGAGACTGCGGTGAGCCGAGATCGTACCAGTGCACTCCAGCCTGGATGACAAGAGCAAAACTCTACCTCAAAAAAATAAAAAATAAAATAAAAATAAATAAATAAATAAGTATACTGAATGAGTGAAGTACCACTGGTGAGTGGTAGTAACGGATATGTCAGGGGTGTCCTGGAATGTGCACGTGTAGAAGTCAGAAGAAGTAATAGCTAATTAGTTCATGGTAGGATTTAATCCTAAATTCCTTGGGCTGATGGAAACTCTAAAGTCCCTGCTGACAGTGCAGGGGCAGAGCTGCGTGGGCATCATCCTCACTCCTCACTACCTCCCCCTCTGCAGCAGCTTCTAACATTGCCCAGAGCCGGCCACAGCATTCTACTGGGAAGCAATGGCCAGCAGTTTCCACTCAGCATTCAAGGCCCTCCCAACACTTTAATCCTCCCTCCCCAATTCCCTCCTACCACCCCCACCTGTCCACACAGTGTCCCAGGAGCCTCTTTCCTTCCTCTCTCCTCGGCGAACTCCTGTACGTCCTTCAAGCCATATTATTTTTATATTTTTATTTATTTATTTATTTTTTTCTGAGACAGAGTCTCCCTCTGTCACCCAGGCTGGAGTGAAGTGGCGCGATCTTGGCTCACTGCAACCTCCACCTCCCGGGTTCAAGTGATTCTCCTGCCTTAGCCCCCGGAGTAGCTGGGATTACAGGTGCGCACCACTGTGCCCGGCTAATTTTTGTTTTTGTTTTTTTTTTTTTTGGTATTTTTTTAGTAGAGACAGGGTTTCACCATGTTGGCCAGGCTGCTCTTGAACTCCTGACCTCAAGTGATCCGCCTGCCTAGGCCTCCCAAATTGCTGGGATTATAGGCGTGAGCCACTGGGTCCGGCCCCTTCAAGCCATCTTAAACACCAGTTCTGACCTCCCCTGGAGCTCGCTGCTTGCATTTCCCGAGACCATGCCCCTCCCGGGCTGGGCCTCAGACCCGGCCCCTGCACTGCAGCCCTCAGCACCGCTGTGGGGCTCAGGGTAGGACCTCCCAGTGTCTGTTAAATAAGCGAGTTCAGCAGGGTTCCTGTCCTGAAATCATTTGTAATTAAGGACAATGGCTAACATTTCCAAACTTTTTCACTCCCACAATCTTACCTGACAATCACCCACTCCCAGTGACCCCTTGCCACATTAGCTGGAGGTCAGCAAGCCAAGGGGGTGACCGGCCTGGGGTGGAAAGACATCCCTGGAGCAGACAGACAAGGCCTGGGCTCTGGGGTTGGGGGATTTTAAAGGAGGAAATGAGCCCAGGCTCCTCGCCTGCTACCTTCAAGGGTGTTCAGCGTGGTTCCCTGGTAACGTGCTGTGGAGCTGCAGGTGGGCCCGCTGCTGGCCCTGGGCTGCGAGTTCCTTAAGGGCTGTGTCTTGTTCCTAGATCTGGCCACAGCGCACAGCATGGCACCTGAATATTTTTGAATGAGTTACAGCACAAATAGGAAATGGGTTGGGCATGCCCTGGTCTGATCCAGGTCACGACCTTTTTTAGGAGGAAGAGCAAAGCTGCGGTGAGATGGTTAGCCTTCTGCAATCTCCTTGGCAGGACCTTCCCTTGAGGGCTAGGGCTTTGCATTTAGAGGGAGCTGCCTCTGGAAACCTCGTGAGGACCTGGAGGAAAGTGGGGGACAGGAGGGCTCTGAGGCTGGCTGGAGTCAACAAAAAGAACCCGTGGCTTCTGGGAGAGATGTGCCTCCCTGGTACTTACTCAGAGACATTGCCGCTCCCCGGGTGGCCCTCTGTGCTCTGCTCTGCGCACACCTTGAGAAAGATGAAATGAAGAGACATTCAAAGATTGTCAACAGTGCAGCCTGCCTAAGGCTTTGGCTTTGTGTGGACAGACGATGGCCACCACTTTCAACCCAGGATCCATAAGCCTCGGAGCGGAAAGGCTCTCGAGCTGTCAAGTTCCATCCACTCATTGCACAGGCAAGAAAACGGAGGCTGCAAAAAGAAAGCGACTTGGAAAGCTCACACACAGAGCAAGTGGCAGAGCCAGGGCCAGACTTGCTGCCTCCCAGACGGCCACCCATGTGAGGGTTGTCTCTCACCCCCAGGGGTCATGTGACCCACTGCCACCTAGCACGAGGGCACCCCGTGTGTCACCTCCAGGGATCTTGGGACCCACCGCCACCTAGCACGAGGGCACCCCGTGTGTCACCTCCAGGGATCTTGGGACCCACTGCCACCTAGCACGAGGACACCCCGTATGTCACCTCCAGGAACCACGCGACCCCGACCCCACTCTAAACATTGCCCAGAACCCTCTCCCTCCCCCACTGAAGTGCTTTCTCTTCATAAGGCCAGGACGTGTCTACACAGCATGTGGCTGCCGTGGATTCTATGGTCCGACAGTCCACTTGTCTACCCGTGCAGTGCCAGAACCACCCTGTCTCATTCCTGGCATCAGGCAAGCCTGGCTGTCCGCTAAAGCATGTCTTCCCAGCTTCTTTCTTTTTCCAAGAGAGTCTTGGTGATTCTTGGCTATTGGCACTTCCACGTACAGGTGCTGCTCAGCTTACAATGGGGTTACGGCCCGAAGAAAACATTGCAAAGTGGAAAAATCCTATGTTGAATCATCAAAATCAGGGACCATCTATACATGTATTATAATCAGCTTGTCATATTTGGGGGAAAAAAACCTTGGGGATTTTTCTAGGGTTGTATTAAACTATAGATCATTTTAGGGGGACTTATAGCTTTACAATAATGAGTCTTCAAATTTATAAATAGGGAATATCTATTCATTTAGGACTCCTTTAGTGTCTTCTAAGAAGTTATCATTTTCCCTATAGAGATACCATGGATATCTCTTTTTATTTTATTTATTTATTTTTGAGACAGAGTTTTGCTCTTGTTGCCCAGGCTGGAGTGCAATGGTGCGATCTCAGCTCACTGCAACCTCTGCCTCCCGGATTCAAGTGATTCTCCTGCCTCAGCCTCCTGAGTAGCTGGGATTACAGGTGCCCGCCACCACACGCAGCTAATTTTTGTATTTTTAGTAGAGATGGAGTTTTCCCATGTTGGCCAGGCTGGTCTCGAACTCCTCACCTCTCAGGTGATCTGCCCACCTCAGCCTCCCAAAGTGCTGGGATTACAGGCGTGAGCCACTGTGCCCAGCCAGCAATGTTATCTTTTTAAAATAAAATTTTCTACTTGCTTGATGCTTCAGAAATGACTGAGATATATACATTTTAAAAAAATTCTTTTCTTTTTTTTTTTTTTTTTTTGAGACAGGGTCTTGCTGTGTTGCCCAGACTGGAGTGCAGTGGCCTGATCATAGTTCACTGCAGCCTCCACCTCCCAGGCTCAAGCAACCCTCCCATGTCAGCCTCTCGTGTAGCTGGGACTACAGGCTCGTGCCACCATGAAGAGCTAATTTTTCATTTTTTGTAGAGATGGGGTCTCACTGTGTTGCCCTGGCTGGTCTTAAACTCCTGGACTCAAACAATCCTCCCATCTCAGCTTCCCAAAGTGTAGGGATTACAGGTGTGAGCCACTGGGCCTGGTCAGAGATATATGAATTTATCTTGTGCTTAGCAGTCTTACTGAATTCTCTTATTAATTCCAGTAATTTATGGCTTCCTTTGGATTTTCTTATTTCCCATTCACATGATCTGGGAATAATGGCCATTTGATTTTTCCCTTTCTGGTCCTTATACATTTTTCCCCTAACCTTTCTGCACTGGCTGGGACCTCCAGTAGTACAGTAAAAGGAAGTGATGATGACAGTCATCTCTATCTTAATCCTTTATTGAAAGAAAAAGTTTCCATCACATCATGACTGAATATGATATTTGCTGTAGTTTCTTCTCCAGCTATCTTGTATCAGGTCCTTGTCTCTCTATGCTGTGTTCTGGGTCATTTCTATCTCCCTCTCTCCATCTCACTGATCCTCTCTTCATCTCTGTCTAATCTGTTAAACTTATACCATTGATATCTTTCATTTTGCTTATTATATTTTCCATTTCCAGATGTCCTATTTGGTTCTTTTTCACATCTTCTAGGTCACTTTCTATAGTCCTTGTCCTTTGCAGGTGTTTTCTTTAAACATAATAAACGTAGCTGATTATAGTCTGTGTCTGGTGATCCTAGTAACTAAGATCTTCATTGGTATATTTTTGTTTCTTGTTTCTTCTAAGTCTTCACTTGGTTCTTTGGGGAGTTGATTATTTTTTGTCATTGGCAGCTTGTCATCATTGAAAAATTCCCTCTGGGTATTCTTTGAGGCCTAAGAGGCCTTCCTCCAGAGAGGGGATGCATTTGCTTTTGTCAGGCACATAGCAGGCATCCCTGGTCTGAAACCACTTCAAATTAAATCTATACTTTCAAGTATTTTGGACCACCAGGTGATGAGAATTTAGGCTGCAAACATAAGAGGTGCCTGGGTTGAGCTTACAACTTCCTAGAGCTTGCAAGATCTTTCTGTTCAAAGGAAAAAACTTTTGGGTAAATAGGTGTACACGATTACAAAGAAACCCACTCCAACTGCATGTGCTAGTCAACCAGTTTTTGGTTCATAAATATAAATGGTCATAAAACGACTCACAAACATTTAAAGGGGGAGGGCACATGAAAGAATAATCAAGATGAACCAGCTAGGCGTGGTGGCTACCAACACTTTGGGAGGCCGAGGCGGGTGGATCGCCTGAGGTCAGGAGTTCCAGACCAGCCTGGCCAATGTGGTGAAACCCCATCTCTACTAAAAACACAAAAACTAGCAGGGTGTGGTGGCGGGCACCTCTAATCCCAGCTACTGGGGAGGCTGAGGCAGGAGAATTGCTTGAACCCAGGAAGCAGAGGTTGCAGTGAGCTGAGACTGCACCACTGCACTCCAGCCTGGGTGACAGAGCGAGGCTCTGTCTCAGAAAAAAAAAAAATTAAATTTTAAAAAATAAATAAAAGTCTCCAGGAAGGGATGAGCAGGCGGAGACAGGCCACCTACAAAAAGCCAAGAGTCAGGTGGCCTCACCTGCTCATCAGTGACACTGGAATCCACTGTTATAATGGCTGCAAAGGTATAAGGGAAAGCTATTTTGAACTCAGAATTTTAATTCCAAATAAACTATTAATCAGGTATTAAGAAAATGAAGATATTTTCAGACATACAAAGACTTAGAGTTTATCTCCTATTACCCTTTCTGGAGGAAAAAAAATTAATTATTTTTATTTTGTTGTTGTTGTTGTTTTTTGCGACGGAATCTTGCTCTGTCACCAGGCTGGAGTGCAGTGGCACAATCTTGGCTGACTGCAACCTCAGCCTCCTGAGTTCAAGCGATTCTCCTGCCTCAGACTCCCGAGTAGCTGGGACCACAGGTGCGTGCCACCACGCCCAGCCAATTTTTGTATTTTTAGCAGAGACAGGGTTTCACCATGTTGGCCAGGATGGTCTCGATCTCTTGACCTCATGATCCACCTGCCTCAGCCTCCCAAGATGCTGGGATAACAGGTGTGAGCCACTGCGCCTGGCCGAAAAAAATATTTAAAAAAAATTTTTTTTTTAATCATAGAAGATAGAGGTTTCATGAGCCTAATGGAATGCAAGGCAGAGGAAACTTTGGATAATGTGTAATAAGGCCAGAAAGCAACCTGTCAGTGTCCAAAGTTCCCATGACATAAATTGAGCGATCAGAGTAGCTGCTCCAAATATCTGAAGAGCTCATGTGGAAACAGGCCACACTTCTTCTGCCTGTCCCAGGGGCTCAGTGTGTCCCCACTAAAGGGAGGTGGGTTGTGTTCAACACAGAGGACTAAGTCAGAGCTGCCTGTGAGGGAAAGGCTGCCCCAGGAGGCAGTGAGATGCCTGTCACTGAAGCCAGACAGAGGCTGGGTGATCCAACAGCTCATGCCCCCTTCTTAGAATTCAAAATCAAGGCCAAACACACACCCTGAAGTCACGCACTTCTATTTCTAGGGTCACTGTGAACGCTCAGCAGGTGAGGAGGGGGAGGGCAAGGGTAAGAAGGGATCGCGACAACAGCGTCTTCATGCTCCCGTCTCCTCACCTTCCGGGCCTTGGTGTACTTGGTTCAATGCCAAGGAGCTCCCCAGGGTTCTCCCAGCCTGGCCCAGTACCCTCTGATGGGTGTGGCTTTGCCTTGACCTCTATCGCTGCGGTCCCCGTGCTGAGATGGAGAACCTGTTTTATTTTTATTTTTCACTTTTTTTGAGATGGAGTCTTGCTCTGTCATCCAGGCTGGAGTGCAGTGGCGTGATCTCGGCTCACTGCAACCTCTGCCTCCAGGGTTCAAGTGATTCTCCTGTCTCAGCCTCCAGAGTAGCTGGGATTACAGATGTATGCCACCACACCTGGCTAATTTTTGTATTTTTAGTAGAGGTGGGGTTTTGCCATGTTGGCCAGGCTGGTCTTGAACTCCTGACCTCAAGTGATCCACTCGCTTCAGCCTCCCAAAGTGCTGGGATTACAGGTGTGAGCCACTGCGCCTGGCATATTTATTTATTTATTCGAGACAGGGTCTTGTTCTGTTGCCCAGGCTGGAGTGCGGTGGCCTGATCATAGCTCGCTGCAGCCTCAACTCCTGGGCTCAAGCAACGGTCCCATCTCAGCCTCCTGAGTAACTGAAACTACAGGCACATGCCACCACACAAGGCTAATTCTTGTACTTTTTGTAGAGACGAAGTCTCCCTATGTTGCCCAGGCTGGTCTTGTACTCCTGAGCTCAAGCGATCCCCCCACCTCGGCCTCCTAAAAAGTGCTGGGATTACAGGCATGGTGAGCCACCACGCCCAGCCTGAGAACCCTTTTTGTTTGTTTGTTTGTTTTGTTTTGAGACGGAGTCTCGCTCTGTCATCCAGGCTGGAGTGCAGTGGCGTGATTCGGCTCACTGCAACCTCTGCCTCCCAGGTTCAAGCGATTCTCCTGCCTCAGCCTCCCGAGTAGCTGGGATTACAGGTGCCCGCCACCACGCCCAACTAATTTTTTGTATTTTTAGTAGATACGGGGTTTCACTATGTTGGCCACGCTAGTCTCGAACTTTTGACCTCAGGCCGTCCACCGGCCTCGGCCTCCCAAAGTGCGGGGATTACAGGCGTGAGCCACCGTGCCCGGCTCTGAGAACCTCTTAAAGCTAAGGCAGGACATCCAGCCAAGCCCAGGGCCTGTCAGGGTGGACACTGAGCTGCCTGCTGCTGCCCTTCTGAAAGGGCAGCGGGACCCTTGCGGCAGGGGGCTTGGAATGCCTGGCGTAGGGACCTGACTTTGCACTGCTCACTAACATGAAGACACTGCAGCTTCAGGGCAGCCTTAAGGATGGAATGCCATCCAGTGCGTGAACGGCCCCCCAGAGCGGACGCAGGAGGAAGCAATTTCCCCAATGGCTCAGCCTTGCTGTTTCTGTTGTTTTCACCTGTGTTTTTCTCTGTGCCTGAGATTTTATTGCGTGGCCCTTTATCTGGCCAATTTGTTTAAGCCTTGAACTTACTTTCTCAGATGGAAAAAGCATGAGACTCCCAGAACACACAAGCTTGCTGAAGCAGCCAGGAGGAGCTGGTATGAAAAGCAAAGACACAGCAGCCCCAGATGGTGGCTCCAGCCTCCTGCAGACAGGGGCTCCTCCAGGGGGCTGCCTCCACCTGCAGATCACTGAGACACCTGGACGGACGTGGGGAACCGGCAGCACCTGGGCTGGGGCCCTGGGAACTGAGCTGAGTTCAGGACCAGTGTGTGTGTGCGCCCTGTTTGTATGTGTATGTTTGTGTGCGTGCGAGGGGTGTGTGTCATCCCTTGAGATTCTAGGGGGGCTTTGGAAAGACCAAACCACAGCTAAACAAGAAGCAGAAAACATATGAGAATGAAGCGAATAAGATCATCTCTTAAAGTTTTTGACTCTTAAAACTAAAGTTTTCGTGAAAATTAAAGTTTCAAAGGTTACTTTTTTTTTTTTTGAGACAGAGTTTCGCTCTTGTCGCCCAGGCTGGAGTGCAATGGTGGGATCTCAGCTCACTGCAACCTCTGCTCCTGGGTTCAAGTGATTCCCCTGCCTCAGCCTCCTGAGTAGCTGGGATTACAGGCATCCGCCACCACACCTGGCTAATTTTTGTATTTTTAGTAGAGCTGGGGTTTCACCATGTTGGCCAGGTTGGTCTCGAACTCCTGACCTCAGGTGATCCGCCTGCCTCGGCCTCCCAAAGTGCTGGGATTATAGGCGTGAGCCACCGTGCCCGTGCCCGGCCCAAAGGTTACTTTTTAGAAAATCCACTGCATATTTACCCAAAATAAAATATACAGTGGATTTCTTCTCCTGAAAGAGTTCTTCCATTAACTCTTAATTTTTAGCAGCTTAATATGTATGTATGTACATACACCAGTTATATGTGTAATTGGCAGAACAATTCCATTCCTTTTATTCCATAGTATGGATACACTTCCCCCTTCCTCTTTCAGAATTATCCTTCTTTGAAGCCCAGGTTTGGTTTGTTTGGCTTTTCGGTTTTCTTAAGGAAACTTGAACATGTACAGTAGAGAAACTCCTACAACGGCTCTCCTGGACCTGACCCAGCTTTCACAATTTTGCTAGTCTCGTTCTGTTGCTCACCACCAGAGGGCACTGTTCTCCCCACACAGAGGCCAAGATCCCAGTGCCCTGGGGAAGCTCCACTGTAGGGCTTTGCAGGCAGCAGAAGCTGAGCAGTGCAGGTGGAGGAGCGGTGGGGGAGCGGTGCAGGCAGGCTGTGAGTCGGAGAGTGGTGCGGGTGGGCTCTGCGTAGGGGGGGATGGCGCAGGTGGGGTCTGCGCGGGGGAGCAGTGCAGATGTGTGGGAGCAGAGCAGATGTGTGGGAGCAGTGCAGATGTGTGGGAGCAGAGCAGATGTGTGGGAGCAGAGCAGATGTGTGGGAGCAGTGCAGGTGGGCTCTGCATGGGGGGGCGGTGCAGGCTGGCTGTGTGGGAGTGGTGCAGATGGGCTCTGGGGGGCAGCGGTGCAGGTGGGCTCTGCGATGAGACCTGTCTTGCATGGCTAACATGACAAGGACGTGACAAGGGGCTCTGGGAACCGCCCCCCCCCCCCCCCCGGCTGTGGGCTGCCAGTCCAGGGCCCGTCTCCACTGGGAAGGCCTTGCCTTGAAGGAGGTGTTTCCAAAGCCACAGGGAAAAAGGCAAGGGAGACCCAGAGAGGCTGTCACTGGACTCAGGGTCTGAGAGACTTGTCCGTGCTAACAGGGTGTGGATTGCGGTTGGCCTGACCTGCAAACAGGCACCCTCCCACTCCTTGCTGGGCCCCAAAGTCCTCCGATGTAAATAAGAAGGTGGGACTGAACCATCTGTGAGGTCCCTTAAGCTCAAGTCATCTCGGATTTCAGCAATAGAAAGAAATGACAGCTGTCTGGCCATATACTATCAAGAAACAGAGCTTGGTGGGAATCGGAATGGGTGGCCTTGGGCAGGGGGCTGCTTTCCCTGCTGGGTAATGGGCTCACGGCATTTAGGGGCAGAAGGGCCTGTGTTGTGCACAAACCACTGCTCTGACCCTCCTTCCCAGAGTCTAGTTAGGGTCTGCCCCAGCCCTATGGGACTCAAAGCTCCAAGGTTAAGAGCTCTTGGTCAGCATCTCTCGAAGAGTGCATGAGCCGACATCCTCCTTTCCACGGCATTTCTACACCCTGCCGTGCCCAGTACTCAGCAGCAGCCACCACAGCCTCTCAGCAGGGCAGGAAATGTGAGGCTGTACCCCTGACCGTGATGCAACCAGGCTTCTAATCACCTACAGCAGCCAGCAGCCAGGGACCATGAAGGGAGAGAGCCTCTGAGGCTGCCCGCTCCTCCCCCGGGTCGAGGCACTGGGCTTCTAACATCTTTTAATCCTACTCTTTTTATAGAACTCCAGAGAGGACAATTCTTCCTTCAGTTTTTGATGTTCATGTTCCAGGCTTGGCATCCTTCCCCACCCATCCACACGCTCTCCCTCAGCAACTGTACTCTGGTATGGCATCAGCCACTATCCAAATGCTGATGTCCACGAAATGACAGCTCCAGCTCCAACCACTTTTCGCAGTTGACAGGAATTTCGGACAGCCCACGGAAATTATCCACCTAGGACTCAAAACTCAACTTGTACAAAACTAGGCCCATCCTGTTAATAGCATTCTGAATCTTCTCAACTACACAAGCAGGGAATCTTGGAGTCTTTCTAGAAACTCACTTTCCCTTGCTTGTCAAACTCAGTGGCTCACCTCACCTCCTCCTCCACCTCTCACCTGGATTCCTCCCTTACCTGGGCTCCTGCCCCCATGCAGTCTCCCCCAGTACAACCTCCCCCGCCACTGTGGATCCTTCTATTACACAGGCTGGGAAGACACACAAGAAACTGAGAAGCTGCTTGTCTCTGGAGAGGGGAGCTGGGGAAAGAGTTGGGAGGAAGGGAAATTTTCTTTGCAATGCATGTTTTCAATGTCCCCTCATGTGCCTGTGTATTACCTCTTCTAATTTTTAAAATAAACATTTAAAAATAATGAAACACAGAAAACTTCGCCTAGCTCCCCACTGCCTACAGGACAGTTCAACCTCTTAGCTTGGAATCCTGTGAAAATGTGACCCAAACCCGTCTCATTGGTTTCTGCTCTCCGACATCACCTGGCTGAATGGCACATAAACTCCAGGCTGTTCAAAAGCACTTCTGGGCCAGGTGCGGTCGCTCATGCCTATAATCCCAGCACTTTGGGAGGCTGAGGCGGATGGATCACTTGAGGTCAGAAGTTTGAGACCAGCCTGGCCAACATGGCGAAACCCCGTCTCTACTAAAAATACAAAAATTACCTGGGCATGGTGGCACATGCCTGTAGTCCCAGCTACTCAGGAGGCTGAGACAGGAGAATTGCTGGAACCCGGGAGGCGGAGGCTGCAGTGAGCCGAGAATGCGCCACTGCACTCCAGCCTGGGCAAGATAGAGTGAGACTCCATCTCAAAAAAAAAAAAAAATCGCTTCTGGACCTCTGGAGTTTTCTACACATTGTTTCCTCTTTATGGAAAGCTCCACCCTTTGTCAACCGCTGGAACACATTAGTGATCCTTTAGAACCAACTCAGACACCAGATCCACTGGAAGACTTCTGCCTCGGGTGGGATTCCCACGCCTCCACGTGTGCAGACGCACTGGAGCATGCCTTTACAACATGCTTCCACGGGAACTTGCAAACGTGCATTTACGCACCCCTTCCCAACACGGTTATGAGCTTTTTGGGGGTCCGCACCATCCTTTCTTCTTGTCCCCTGGATCAATTGAAATATCACTCATTGCCATTTAAATTTGTGTTCTTTGCTACAGACTTGAACGCAGGCAGATAGTCACCGTCTTCAGGACAGTGACTTTGTTTTGCTGCAAGTCCATTAAGTTACCCATCACCTTGACGTCCTTCTGTGGAGGTGCTGTCCCGCCAGGCACTCACTGTGACTGCTCTCTTTACACCGTGAGTTCCATAGCAGCTGCATGCCAAGATTACTGTAAAGTCCTGGCTGGGGTAACAGGCAAGAAAGAATTATCCGGATGCTCCATGGCTACAGCAAATGGAACCTTTCCAAAAATGGTGGATGACAGAGTCCCTCAGCCTAAGGAGAGGACACTATTGCCCGAGACTCTCTTGCAAAACAGAAAAATTCTCAGATAACGTACTTCCCTTGACCTTGAGTGACCCAGGTTTATAGGCAGAGGGAGGAAAACAATCTGAATTACCACCTGCTAATAAAAATACTGAATCTGGCTAGGCACAGTGACTTACACCTGTAATCCCAGCACTTTGGGAGGCCAAGGCAGGGGGACCACCTGAGGTCAGGAGTTCAAGAACAGCCTGACTAATATAGTGAAACCCCATCTCTACTAAAAATACAAAAAAATTAGCCAGGCGTGGTGGCATGCTCCTATAGTCCCAGCTACTCGGGATGCTGAGACAGGAGAATTGCTTGAATCCTGGAGGCAGAGGTTGCAGTGAGCCGATGCACTCCAGCCTGGGCGACAGACCAAGATTCCATCTCAAAAATAAAATAAAAATTAAAATTAAAATACTGAATCTATGTCTACTTGATTAAACCAAAATTTCTTCTCCAAGGGTTCCTTCAAATTTCACGAGGGCATCTAATGCTCAAAACCTCCTCTTATCCAGCCCATTCTGGGACTAAGATTTTCTGGTGAATTCCAGGTCCAGCAGCACCATCCCTACCGCCATCCACTACTGCTGCGCTGTAAAAAGAGCCTTCCTACAAGAGCTGACTGCACCGCCCTCCTTGTGTCCTATTCTCCATGAACTCCAGCCCAAGGCGCCTCCCACCACTCTCTGACCCATCTCTCACCAAGGACCTTGAGACCTCCCGAGTGGCTCAATTCAACCACCAGCTCTCAGGCTTCCCGCATATATCCCACCAAGCAGCACTTCCAGCAGCTGAGCACGCCCTCCGTCCTAAGCACCTTCCTCCCTTGGCTTCCGGATGTTCTCTTGGTTTTCTCCCCTTTACTGGCTGTTCTTTAGGATGCCTCTATCTCCTCAACCTTTGAACAGCGTGCTCAACCCCTGGCCTCGTCCCACGTTAGTTCACATACACGAAGCTCCCAGGACAGAGCCCGGTGCCCATCCATGCTTCCTAAGCACACGCTGGCAGCATCGTCACTGGTGATCCCATCTAATCTCATGGGTTTAAATCCTCCCATGTTCTAATGGCTTCTAAACGAACTCCAAACCTGACCTCTCCCCTGAATGCCAAACTCTTACAAAGATCTACTCACTTGACATTTCTGTTTGGATGTCTGACAGGCATCTCAAATTTAACATACTGAAAACCAACTTCCTGGTTAATGACACCCCAAACCTGCCCCTTCCACATTTTCTGTGTCTGTTCACGGCAGCTACATCCCTCCAGCTGCTCTGGCCAAGAACTCCTGGTTCACCTTTGATTCCTTTCTTTCTCACACATCCCAGTCACCCCACTAGTGAGTCCATAAGCCAACCGCCCCTCACCACCGCCCGCCAACCTGGTCCAAATGACCCCACATCTCACTTGGATGACTGCAGAAGCTCCCCTCCCCCAGCACAACCCCAGCTTCTGTGCCTGCCACCTCACTCCCCCTTTCTTCACTCCAGCGAGACTCTGTCTCAAAAAACAAAAACAAAAACAAAACATAATATTCAGAATGATGATTCAGGGATAAACAGACCATCTCTAAGACATTCCCAGTCAACAGTGGTCAAAATTTTTAAATGTGAGTGCTTAAAAGAATAACTTTCACTTGAGTTTGATGTTCTTTTATGAAGAATATGTCTCTCCTCCAAAATGCTAGACAGTTATGAAGCTATTAAAGGTTTCTTTTCCTCCTTTCTTCCTAAAGAAACTAAAAGTAGTGTTATTGGCCGGGTGCAGTGGCTCACACCTGTAATCCCAGCACTTTGGGAAGTCAAGGCGGGTGAATCACCTGAGGTCAGGAGTTCAAGACCAGCCTGGCCAACATGGTGAAACCCTGTTTCTGCTAAAAATACAAAAATTAGCTGGCCGTGGTGGCGCACATCTGTAGTATGCAGGCGTTATCTGAAAATAATGAATTGGACCCAAGGGCTCCCTTCCGCCTCGAATAATCTGTGATTCTAGGATTCATTTATTCAAGAAATATTTATGGTGCAGAAAATACATACAGTCGGCTGGGTGAGGTGGCTCATGCCTATAATCCCAGCACTTTCGGAGACCAAGGTGGGCGGGTCACCTGAGGTCAGGAGTTTGAAACCAGCCTGGCCATCATGGCAAAACCCCGTCTCTTCTAAAAATACAAAAATTGGGCGTGGTGGCAGGCACCTGTAATCCCAGATACTCAGAAGGCTGAGGCAAGAGAATCGCTTGAACCTGGGAGGCACAGGTTGCAGTGAGCCGGGATCACACCACTGGACTCTAGCCTGGGCAACAGAGTGAAACTCCGTTTCAAAAAAAAAAAAAAGAAAGAAAGAAAAAAGATACACACAGTTCACACCCAGAAGGGCAACTGCAGCTGGCTGACCTCCTCAACAATTCCTGAAACCATCTCCTCTGCAAGCCTCTCACCGCCACTGCCTTGGTTCAGGACTCGGCCACCTGGATCATTGCAGACTCCCCCACCCACTCACACAGGTGGTCATGTTATCCCTAGTCTGACTCTGTCCAGTTCATCCTCCCTACAGTTGTCGGTGTGACGTTCCTAAAACACAAACTGTCACAATCCTTACCTTTCAGATACCCAGAACTTTCATAGTAACCCAAACTCGCTAACATGGAATACCCTTGGCATGGCGCACTGCAGCCTGGCATACTCTCCTAAGACCTCTCTGACCCATGCCCTGGGCACCAGCTGCCCCAGCCACCAGTGACATTAGGCATGAGGTTCTCTCTGCACAGAACTTGCTGCCTGGATCACGTCCACAGACCCTTCCAGATTCAGGACAACTTCCAAATTCATCCCTTCGGGAATGCCTACCTGCCTCCCTTGGGATTAGCCGCTTTCTCCTGTGGCCTTTTGATACGGATCTCTCATCGCCCTGCTTTCTACTTTCCCCCATCGAGCTGCAGACTTCTTTAAGGCAAGGGCTATGCTGTGTGGCCTCATCCCTAGCACCCACAGCGGGACCGGTGCTCAAAGGATAGCTGGAAAATGACTTAAAGAGCGAGCAGTCACCATGATGAATAATATCAGCAAATCAGAGGGCACAACATTCACTCTTGCTATTTGCCTCTCATTTTCACCTCCGAGTTTCCAAAGCACTTGAAAATGAACACTAAAATTAACTGCCTCCTTGCTATGTGTGAATTCCTCCCAAATTTCTCAGCTATTTGTCCAGGCAGTGTTATATAACTGCAGGCTGATGTGGTATTAAAGGAATCTTGTTATATAATTCAGCCCTACTCACTGCAGCTCGCTTTTCCTCTTTAAAGACCGTAAGGGAGAGGAGCAGGGAACCAGGGCCAGAGGGAGAGAGCTCTGTGCACTGTCGCCTGGGGCTGTCCCTCTCCCCCACCCTCCCTGGGGCCTTTTCAGGATTCCTTGGTGCGGTAGCCACCCAGGAAGGCATCTTCCTCGGCTCCCAGCGGCTGCTAAGCAAAGCCTCCCGGGCCTCAGGGAGGAGGACGAGGCCCTTGGCATCCTCCCCGAGCCCGGGAGCGGATGTTAAAGATCTTGTTCATTCAGCTCTGCTGGAGCGAAGACGGTTGCCAAACCAGAGTGCTTGTTTTATTGTTTTTTTAGAACAGCAGGACTGTTATTACGAGTATTCAGGGAGAGAGAATAGGAAGCGCAAAAGAGATTCCGCAGCATCCTAAAAATATCAGTAACATGAGAATTGCCTGCCCAGCAAGGCAAGGATCTGGACCGGTGGGCGCGGCAGGGCGCTTCTGAGCCACCGTCTGGCTGCCGTGCCACCACCGCCGGCGCCCCGCTCCAGGGCGGCCCGGGAAGGCCAGGCGGGGCCGCGGGCCCGAGGGGAGCCGGGAGCCCGGCGCGCTCCGCCTAGGGGTGTCCTTCCTCGGCCGCTCCCAGCGCGATCGCCCCCACGCCTGGACACAGACCCGGAGACGGGGCAGAGAGGGAGGAAACCTGGGGGCCCAGGGGCGGGGAGGCCGGGGCAGCGGGGAGCACGCAAGTCGGAGGCTGGAAGGGGGCGCAGCGCGACCGGCGCCCAGGGCTGGGGCGGGGACGCGCGGCCGGTGAGTGGGGTCCCCGCCGTCCCCCGAGGCCCTGCGGCTCCCACACTCACCGCGCTCCCCGCGACCGCGGTGGGTCGGAGCCGGGCTGGGCGGCGCGGGGCGGGCTCCGGGGGGCCCCAGGCCGCCGACTCGGCCAGCAGCTCGTCCAGCAGGCGCAGCGTCTCGTCCCTGCCGTCGGGGGGCGCCACGGGGCTGGGGTCGCGGCCGGGCGCCTCCTCCGCGGCTGCCCCCGGGACCTCGGCCGCCGCCACCGGCACCCGCCGGCGGGTCCCGCCCTCCAGGGCTGCCGCTCCGGGCCCCGCGGGGAGGCTCTCGGGGCTGCGCCGCCGCCTCAGAGTCCGGCTGCTCCGGCTGCTGCCGCTGCCCATGGCGCGCCCGCCGCCTCCCGGACCGCCGAGGGGGCCCCCATGAGGGGGCGCGGCCGGGGGCGGGGACGCTAGGGGGTGCGGCCGGGGCGGGCTGCAGGGGGAGGCGCGGGGCGAGGTCCGGGAAGCGACCGCGGCCAGGGGCTAGGGTTCCCGGGCGGGGGTCGCGGCCGGAGGACGGGGGTGCGAGCCGGAGCCTGGGGAGGGGCGGGCGAGGCAGGGCTGCATAGGCGTCCCGAGGGGGCGCACACCGGCCCTAGGGAGGGGCGGGCCCGAGACCCCGGCGAGGAGCACCGGGTGCGGGCGCGGCCTCCCCTCCCGGGTCTCCCCCTACAGTCCCCCCACTCCCGCCCACGGGTCCCCTCGCTCCCCGCCGTCGGGTCAGCCCTGTCCCGGCCTTCTGGAATTGCTGAACCCTGCGGGGGGCCCGGCTGAGTTTGTTCATTTATGGAAACGCTCCCCAGACGACGCTCGCCGGGCCCGTGGGAGGCCGCGGGAGCTTGGGGGGACTTCCCAAAGCCTGAGCCCCCTAGCGATGCGCGGGGTGGGCGGGGGAAAGACCCTGAGGGCTGCGCGCGCTGCGTTCGCGAGGTCCGGCCGTCAGTGCGCCCCGACCTTTCAGTGTCCGCCAGGCCTGAGACGCCCCGGGAGGGAAGGGGCGATCCTCCGGGCACCAACAGCCCCCTCCGGCCTTCTCCTTCCCTCTGTTGCCCCAGCGGAGACTGGATGTGTGAAGGTTGAGCCTCATCAAAACCTCCAAATAGTCACTACTTTTGGGAAAGAAAAACTTTGAAAATGAAGGAGAAAGGCAAAGCAACCCCCACCTCGCCCTCCCCCCGCCACAGGAAAGAAGCAAAAGGAAATACCTAGGTGGTGGTCATAAGTCTAGCTTTTGGTCTCGGATTTTTTTTTTTTTTCCCTTAACCGCTTTTCTTTTTAAGTGAACTAACCACAACCCAGACTAGAAAACACTCCAAAGCTGCCGAATTCAAACCCAGCGAGCCTTCCTGTTGGTTGGTTCTGTGTTTTACTTAAATGTGATTACTTCCTTCCCTTGCCCACCTCCTGCAACTTTAAATTCCAGCCTTTCCAAGACAGGGCAATTCAAAAGTCCTGGGTTTAACTCACCTATCTTGACTTGACATTAACTTTTATCCTGATTGATTGGATTCCAGAATAATTGTGAAAATGGAATTTCGGCTAAACTTTCCCAACCACAGACTTGAAATTCTACTATTTTATCACTTCAGGAGTAGACATTAAAAAACATATGCCTAAGAAAATGGAATAAAAATGGGACTCAGATTCACATCCATTTATTTTTATTATTAAGAGAGAACAAGAGGCCGGGCGCGGTGGCTCACGCCCGTAATCCCAGCACTTTGGGAAGCCGAGGCAGGTGGATCACGAGGTCAAGAGACCGAGACCATCCTGGCTAACACGGTGAAACACCGTCTCTACTAAAAATACAAAAAATTAGCCGGGCGTGGTGGCGGGCGCCTGTAGTCCCAGCTACTCAGGAGACTGAGGCAGGAGAATGGCGTGAACCCGGGAGGTGGAGGTTGCAGTGAGCCGAGATCGCGCCACTGCACTCCAGCCTGGGCGACAGAGTGAGGCTCGTCTCAAAAAAAAAAAAAAAAAAAAGAACAAGAAAGTATTTATAATCTAGCTGGACGTGGTGGCTCATGCCTGTAATCCCAACACTTTCAGAGGTTGAGGCGAGCAGATCACTTTAGGTGAGGAGTTTGAGACCAGCCTGGCCAACATGGTGAAACTGTCTCTACTAAAAATACAAAAATTAGCTGGGCATGCTCACTTGAACCCAGGAGGTGGAGGTTGCAGTGAGCCGAGATCACGCCACTGCACTCCAGCCTGGGCAACAGAGCTGGACTCTGTCTCAAAAAAAAAAAAAGAAAGAAAGAAAAGAAAAGAGAGAGAGAAGAGAGGTGAGACAGAGAGGGAAAAGAAAAAGAAGAGAAAAAAAATGAGGCTGTAATCCCAGCACTTTAGGAGGCTGATGCGAGCGGATCACTTCAGGTCAGGAGTTCGAGACCAGCCTGGCCAATAGGATGAAACCCTGTCTCTACTACAAATACAAAAATTAGCCGGGCATGGTGAAGGGCACCTGTAGTCCTAGCTGCTCGGGAGCCTGAGGCAGGAGTCACTTGAACCCGTTAGGCGGAGGTTGCAGTGAGCCGAGATCGCACCACTGTACTCCAGCCTGGGCAACCAAAGAGACTCCGTCTCAAAAAAAAAAAAAAACAAAACAAACAACAACAACAACAAACAATAAAGAAAAAGCAAAAAGAAAAGAAAAAAAATTTTTTAAAGGGAAGTATTTATGATCCCCCCTGCCTTTTTTTTGAGACGGAGTCTCGCTCTGTTGCACAGGCTGTAGTGCAGTGGCCGGATCTCTGCTCACTGCAACCTCCGCCTCCCGGGTTCAAGTGATTCTTCTGCTTCAGGCTCCTGAGCAGCTGGGATTACAGGCACGCACCACCACATCCGGCTAATTTTTGTATTTTTAGTAGAGACAGGGTTTCACCATGTTCGCCAGGCTGGTTTTGAACTCCTGACCTCAGGTAATCCACCTGCCTTGGCCTCCCTAAGTGCTGGGATTACAGGCGTAAGCTACCGTGCCTGGCCTCTCCCCCCCTTTTTTTTGATGTGCCATCTTAACCATCCAGGTGTAGGATGTGGGGCCAAACACAGATGTCATTTGGGTGCGCTAAGTCTACAGATGTGTCTCGTTTGGAAGCTATTGATATAAGTTTTTAAGAAAACAAATCTCATCTTGAAACTCTTTAAACCCCAAAGAACAACAACACTTAGAGGCAAACGAGATTTTTCTTGAGTTCACTCAGTTTAATGATTTAAAGGAAAACATGTTTTGCTTCTGCCTAAATAGAAGCTAGTCATGTGACTCATGTTTAAATACATCCACAGCTCCCTGTGTTCACCTCCCAGGGCAACCAATTTTTCTGGCCACTCTTGATTCCAACACTGTTTCCCAAAACTTGTCATTAGCTCCGCTTCAGCGGGAGGAATGCCAGAGCCAGCATTCTTTCCACTTTGAGAGAACATTTTAAAATCTGCTACATTTGTAGACCTGGCTTCCATCAAATATGCTGAAAACTCAGATTGATTTTATTAGAAGCTTCCCATAATAAGCAAACAACCTAAAAGCTTTCCGCATGACTAATGTCCCTAAGATCGTCTCTAGAATTTTTGTCCGAAAGAGTTAGCAACGTCTCAGGAATATTGGAGAACTGAAATGGGGTGTAATCCTTCTTAAGAAAATATCTGGCAGTCACACCTGCAGCTGAAGGATTCTTTTATGCGGTGATAGTGCTCGTGGGTGCTGGTGATGGTGGGTGGAAGGTGAAGCCCAGTTTGGGAACTCTCTGCTTAACTCTGGGAAAATAGAACTTCCTTTCCTTAAACAAATTAAACCCTGGAAGAGGACTACAGTTGGTGATACTTTTCGGAAGGACTCGGGCGCCCGAACGATGTTTTCCTTGGTTTCAGGAGTAGCCAGGCATCTACTGCAGATGAAGCCAGTTCCTCCCACCACGACTCATGGACCAGTCATTACAATAGCCTGCCAAACCAACCCACCTTTCAAAACCCCACTCCAGGGCCCCTGCTTCAGGACTCGCAGATCTACTCTCCCTGCTCAGATATCCTGCAGTTTCCCACCAATCATGGCACTCCCAAGCCGTTACGTAAGAAAGATGTGTTGTGCAGGTGCTGGTTCTTATGAATATGCAGACAGATAATATTTGCATTTGGGTGATAAATGAGACGGCATTTGAAACATAAGCAAGCCATGTTTCTATTTTTAATGCTTAATCGGTAACTTGAGAGAGCCACAGTGCTATTAACGAATGCTGATATGTTTGGACAGCAGCAGCCCACATAATTGCTATTGTCTTTTACCAAAGTGTCCAAGCTTTTGTATTTGGTTTCATGGTTTCGGCATCAAGAGGGGAAAACAAAATATAAGGGTGAATCACCATTATTCATTAAGGACAATTAATGAGTTACAGAACTTTTTTCAATATTTACTCAGAAATAAGATACATGAGGTCCTTAGGGTTGGCAGGTCCAGGTCATGGCTGATTTGGTGCGTTCTATAACACTGTAAAAAATTCTGACAGTAAAATGACAATGACTTGTACCCCATCTAAACAAAAGGTTTAGCACTGGAATTTACGATGCATACTTTCCATGACTAGAGCAGTTCTCGTTTAGAGGCATCTCATGGCTTCTGGCTCAAAACAGCAGACCGGGTGCAGAGTTGCCTTCTCTTGGTACTTGCGACTTTGCTGGAATTAAGATAAAAGAAAAAGGGATAGAGGAGGAGTTGTAAGAAGGAGGGAAATCACAAAGGAGAGGTTTCAACGCATTTCTGAAAGATGGAAAACTGACAGTAGAGAGCTGCCAGATGACACAGGCTGAGCAATTGCAGTCTATGCCATGATGACAGACGCTGGAGAGGAAACGGGGTCAATGGACTGACAGATGAGACTCCGGGACACAGTCAGCGGGTATAAAAGGAGATGGGAGTGAGAAGTGGGCATCGGACCTAAGGAGCGATTAAGATCTTTACATGGGACAAGGGCATCATCCCCCACTGACTCCTGCTTATATTTAAGAAAAAAAAATGACCAGGTAGCTGATGTGGTTTCACTCCGCTGCCATGTGTATAAGACTCTTTTCCCATTGGATTTTTACTCCGGCTAGGAATTTAGACCGGGGGGCGGGGGGTGGTGGGTTTGTGGGGTGGGGTGGGGTGGACAGGCTTCGATTAGCTGAGCAGGCAGGAAGCTGGCCGCCTTGAACTGGAGCTACTTGAGGTTCAGGTGCCCATCCCTGGCCCACTGAGTAAGACGATGTTTGTGTGGGACTGTCCTGTCTCCAGGGGCAATGCACACAGCAGCTGAGAAAGATCCAGTACAGTGTCCACAGCCGCTGGCCTCAGTGAACGTAAGCTTCCTTCTCCTTGCAAATCTGCTACACAAAGTGATCTGTGAGCTGACTCCCCTGTCCATGAACCCACAGTTTTGAGTGTGAGATTTGGAGGCCACTCAAAACATACTTGGACCCTAGGCTTTGGTGGGGTCATTTATCATCCTGAGGACAAGGTTTGAGGGGAGAGGGAGGGCAGTGCTGGGAAAGGGAATTGAGTCTGTGTAAATTTGACCATTAACGTGTAATATTTATTACAGAGGTTAACCTTTAAATACTGTTGGCTAAAAAGAGTGTGCAACAAACATAAAATGTCCAACTTTAAGCTCAAACCCCCCACTGTGAATATCAACTTCTCTAATGTGGAAGCTGCCTGGTGGGGGTGGTCACCTCTGCACACGAACATCCCATGGTCCCAGACACCTGGGAAGATGCTTAAGTTCCTTCTTCTCATTAGAGAGCTGAGAACCAACCAGTCAATTAATCAGCTCAAAGGAATAGAGTGCTGTAGTCAAGGCCCAGGTTAAATATTAAAAGCGTCTCTTAGCTCTTTAATTTGTAGCTGTTTAACTTGGTAAGTGGAGTTGAAGTCCCAGCCTGCTCATGGCGATTACTGATTAATGCCTGTGCACATTTGTACAAGACCCCCTGGCTGCACGATCCCTGTCCTCTGGAGTGCAACTTTCCTTCACCGCGCAGTCAACCTCCACCCAACGGGGACAGCTGACACTTCGAGAGGCCCTGCCCTGACCATTTACCGACTGTGGCTCGTTAAATGAGCCTCACGGTAACCTTGTAAGATAGATATTTTCTGCCTCTATTTTACAGATGGCAAAACTGAGGCTCCGAAGAGTGGGGAGCTGGCCTAAGGTCTTGAAGCCAGAGACAGCCAGAGCTGGGACTCAAGCCACTCTCTCTGCAAACCCCATGGTTCTTTCATGATGCTATCTGTACCTAAATAAATGACAAACCTAGCAGAATAGACCAGCGAGCTCTGAATATATGCAACTATTACCGTTACCCTGGGCCACCATGTAGGTGGGGTGACTGATATGGTTTGGATTTGTGTCCCTGCCCAAATCTCATGTTGAAGTGTATTCCCGGCAATGTTGGAGGAGAGACCTGGTGGGAGGTGATTGGATCATGGGGGTGGACATCCCCCTTGGTGTTCTCGTGATAGTGAGTGAGTTCTCGTGAGATCTGGTTGTTTAAAGTGTGTCCCCCTGCCTACTTCTTCCTGCTTTAGCCATGTAGGATGTGCTGGCTTCTGCTTCGCCTTCTGCCATGGTTGTTTCCTGAGGCCTCTGCAGCCATGCTTCCTGTACAGCCTGCAGGACCGTGAGCCAATTAAACCTCCTTTCTTTATAAATTACCCAGTCTTGGGTAGTTCTTTTTTTTTTTTTTTTTGAGATGGAGTCTCGCTCTGTCAACCAGGCTGGAGTGCAGTGGTGCCATCTCAGCTCACTGCAAGCTCCGCCCCCCAGGTTCACGCCATTCTCCTGCCTCAGCCTCCCGAGTAGCTGGGACTACAGGCACCCACCACCATGCCTGGCTAATTTTTTTGTATTTTTAGTAGAGATGGGGTTTCACCATGTTAGCCAGGATGGTCTCGATCTCTTGACCTCATGATCTGCCTTCCTTGGCCTCCCAAAGTCAGGTAGTTCTTTATAGCAATGTGAGAACAGACTAATACAGTGACCACCTATTTCTGTTACCCCAGAACTGAGAATATTCCCAGGTCATGGTGGTCAACCAGATTAGTTGGTCACCCTACACGTAGGGTTGTACAGGTTGTTCACTAAACAAGAGTGCCTGACCAAGAAGCAAATAGAGGCCTCAAGCCAGCCATGTTCCATTCACCAAGCTGTCCTCATGGAGCAGGGCTGTATCCCCCTAGAGGAAGGTACAATATGGGCTAGCTAAGGCCCTACTAGTCCCTCTGACACTATGAACCCGGAAGTTTGAGCAGCTCAGTGATTTGGGTAGTGATCTCATTGTAAACCAACCTCTCTCTTGCCAGGGAATTTCTCCCTCTCCCCTAAACACACACACACATTCCTAATCACGTTCTTATAAACTGTTCAAGTCGTGGGAAATGAGGCTGGAGAAATAGGAGAGATCCAAAATGCCATGTCTGATAGCCCTCAACACTGTTCTCCAAACATCTCCTCCTGGATACACAGCAGGAAGGCACTCCCCGCCCCGTGTGATCAGGTGTCACTTCTGGCCTGGAGCATTCAATCCTGGTGAAAGATGCCATCCAAATTCTCCTTCTCTTGGCTGCAGCAACTGGTACCGCTCGCTATGGTGGCAGCTCCATCAACCGGGGTCCTGGAAGGGGAGTCGTGGAGCAGGTCCCCTGGCTGGCTGGTGATGGACATGTAGCCTGGCTGACAGCCAAACCTTTGCTGTCAGAAGCCATTTCTGCTGGGGGCCGTTTCTTGCTGTGGCACAGCCCAGCTGTCCTCACTGAGACTCCAAAGTAAGAAAACGTGCACTTGATTCTATGAGCTGCACAGCTCCCCTGGAGAGTAATGGAGTCAGCTTTGCAGTTTTCTTCTTCTTTTAAAGAAACAGAGGCTCACTCGGTTGCGCAGGCTGGAGTGCAGTGGTACGATCACAGCTCATTGCAGCATTGAACTCCTGGGCTCAAGTGATCCTCCTGCCTTAGCCTCCTGAATAGCTGGGACTACGGGTGCGTGGCACCACACCCAGCTATTTTTTCTCTTTTTTTGTAGGGTTAGGGGTCTCACTATGTTGCCCAGGATGATCTTGAACTCCTAGCCCCAAGTGATCCTATTGCCTTGGCCTCCCAGAGTGCTGGGATTACAGTCCTAAGACCCTGTTTCCTGTACTGGTCTAGGTTTGCACTTGTCAAAGATCAACCTTCTGTATCTCTTCGGGGGTTTTAAACATGAGTAAGTTTGATAGTGGACTTAGTCTTAAATACATTCTTAGAAACTAAGATTTTAATCATTGTGATTATACTTTTTTTTGGTAAAAGTTACTTTAATGGTAGTCACATAAAATCTCTCTGGGTAATAAGCAAATTCTCATTCCTACATATTTTTAAAATTTGACATTTCTAGTTGGTTGTCTTGGGCTTTCTCTGTCACGGAGCCGGCCCACGCTTCTGTGTAGCTTTGCGGCCTTCCCAACTGTAAAGCAAATCCCCACATCTCAGCCCATTCCCTTCATGGCCCCTCAGAACTCAAAAGTCAGTGGGCGCTGGGTAAAACAGGGTGTTAGTGAAAGCCAGATAGGCCATTGAAGGCGCCAGGGACAAAGAGAGGGGATGTCTACCCAGGTGGGAGGTAAGTCATCCTTTCTACCATCCAGACACACACATCTGACATCTTTTTTTTTTTTTTTTTTGAGATGGAGTTTCCCTCTTGTTGTCCAGGCTGGAGTGCAATGGCGTGATCTTGGCTCACTGCAACCTCCGCCCCCTGGGTTCAAGCGATTCTCCTGCCTCAGCCTCCCGAGTAGCTGGGACTGCAGGCGTGCACCACCATGCCTGACTAATTTTGTATTTGTAGTAGAGACGGGGTTTTGCCATGTTGGCCAGGTTGATCTCGAACTCCTGACCTCAGGTGATCTGCCCGCCTCGGCCTCCCAAAGTGCTGGGATTACAGGCATGAGCTAGTGCTCCCAGCCTCATCTGACATCTTTCCAGTCCTGAGAGGTGTGTTTTTTTCACTCATAACTTGGTCATGGCTGGGAGCTGTGGCTCACACCTATAATCCCAGCACTTTGGGAGGCTGAGGCAAGCAGATCACTTGAGGCCAGGAGTTTGAGACCAGCCTGGCCTACATGACGAAACCTCATCTCTACTAAAATACAAAAGTTAGCTGGGCGTGGTGGCTCACGCCCATAATCCCAGCTACTCTGGAGGGTGAGGCATGAGAATCGCTTGAACCCAGGAGGCAGAGATTGCAGTGAGCCAAGATTGCACCACTGCACTCCAGCCTGGGCAACACAGTGAGACTCTATCTCAAAACAAACAAACAAAAAATAATAATAATTTGGTCCCTGTGCCATATGGACCTTACAACTTTGGTGGACATCTCTTCCTTTTATATAAGCATGCTGTGTGTTACAGACCAAAGGTTTGTGTTCCTCCAAAATTCACAGGTTGAAATCCTAACCCCCAGTGTGTTGGCATTAGGAGGTGGGGTCCTTGGGAAGTAATTAGGTCATGAGGTGGAGCCCAAGTGACTGGGATTAGTGTCCATATAAGAAGAGACCCGAGAGCTTGCCCCTTTCTTCTCTCTGCATCATGCGAGCACACAGCAAGAAGGCTGTCTGCAAACCAGGAAGACAGCCCTCGCAGGACACTGGATCTATTGGCGCCTTGATCTTGGAGTTCCCAGCCTCCGGAACTGTGAGAAAGAAACATTTATTCTTTCAGCCATCCAGTCTGTGGTATTCTGTTAGAGCATCCTGAGCTAGGATGGTGTGTTTAAGAGAATGGGAATACTTAGACCTGAAAATGGAGTGTTGCATTCAGGGGTCAGCAATCTGTAGCCACCAAGCCAAATTTAACTTCCAACTGTTGCTGTAAATAAAGTTTTATTGCAACACAGCTACCCGCCCGTTTGTTTGCATGTTTCTCTGGCTGATTTTGCATCACTATGGCTGAGAAATAGTCACCATCTGGCCCTTACAGAAAAAGTTTGCCAATCCCTGGTTTAGTTAATAGTTCTCTGCGTTTCACCCATTAATCCCAGGTGATATGGTTTATTCACGAAAGAAAAGGCAGTTAATATTAACCACCTAAGATCTTTAGTTACTTATTTCTGCCTTCATAGCTAACTCACTGTTCTCACCTGGGGCCTCAGGGAAGATTGTTGAGTTATGAAACCCAAAGTAAAAAGGGGAAATAAATTAGTCTCCCTCATGTTTAAATTCCTCCTTTTGGAAGAACAAAAAACTAGATCTGAAAATCATTTTTCCTTTTCTGCTTCTTCTAAATTTCTTTATTCCTACCAGATAAATGTGTTTTTGTTTTCCAGCTGTGACTCCAGACAGGATCCAGAGAGGGGTTCACAGTCTTCTCTGGGTTTTATGGAGACTTACTTTGCCCTTCTGTGTTAGCCTCTTAAGGCGCTGTGTTAACCTTAGGCACAGGAAGGCAGGAGAATCGCTTGAACCTGGGAGGCGGAGGTTGCAGTGATCCGAGATCACGCCATTGCACTCCAGCCTGGGTGACAAAGACTCCATCTCAAAAAAAAAAAAAAAAAAAAAGGCACAGGAAAGGGGGCAGATAAAATGTTAAAAGCATTTCCACTCCCTTGTTCTTTTTCTTCTTCAGACTCTAATAAAAGGATAAAATCTTTTAGATTTCCAGTTTTGCAGCATCGGCACTAGAAATCAATTAAAATCTATTTTTAGTCCACTCAAGAATACTTATCCAAAAAAAAAGAATAGCTATCCAAATGTTTTGACTACTTAAACTGAAAGCAAACTTACACCAAAATGAAATTATCAGAAAAGAAGCTCAATCTGTTTGCACAAGTGTACACCTCACATGTTCCATTTGATTCAACTCTACAAATGTTTGTAGAGCACCTACCGTGTGATACATTTAGGGATATAGACATGAATAATCCATAATCCCTACCCTCAAGATGCTCAGGGGCCAGTGGAATAGTTAAAGTAACTGGAGAAACATGTAATAACAGGTGCAAACTACAAAGGAAGGGCCATGCACAGTGGCTCACGCCTGGAATCCCAGCACTTTGGGAGGCCAAGGCAGGCGGACTGCTTGAGCCCAGGAGTTCAAGGCCAGCTTAAGCAACTTAGTAAGACTTTATCTTTACAAAAAAAAAAAAAAAAATTAGCCAGGCATGGTGGTACACACCTGTAGTCCCAGCTACTCAGGAGGCTGAGGTGGGAGGATCCCTTGAGCCCAGAGGGTGGAGGCTGCAGTGAACTGTGATCACACCACTGCACTCCAGTCTGTGCAACAGCGTGAGACCCTGTCTCAAAAAAAGAAGGAAGTAGGAGTTTCTCCAAGCAGAAGAAAAATGAGAAGGGAAGGTACTGAGGTAGTGAGAGGTGACAGCGTGCTGGCAGCCCGCGCTCGCTCTCGGAGCCCATTCTGGCCACGCTTGAGGAGCTCTTCAGCCCGCTGCTGCACTGTGGGAAGCCCTTCCTGGGACGGGCGAGGCCGGAACCTGCTCCCTCAGCCTGTGGGGAGGTGTGGAGGGAGAGGCACGGGCGGGAACCGGGGCTGCGCATGGTGCTTGCGGGCCAGCTAGAGTTCCGGGTCAGCTAGAGTTCCGGATGGGTGTGGGCTTCGCGGGCCCGCATACGGAGCGGCCGGCCGGTCCATCGGCACCAGGCAGTAAGGGGCTTAGCACCCGGGCCAGCAGCTGCGGAGGGTGCATCGGGTCCCCCAGCAGTGCCGGCCCACCGGTGCTGCGCTTGATTTCTCGCTGGGCCTTAGCGGCCGCGCCGCGGGGCAGGGCTGGGGACCTGCAGCCCGACATGCCTGAGTCTCCCCCACCCGCCATGGGCTCCTGCGCGAACTGAGCCTCCTGGACGAGTGTCGCCCCCTGCTCCACGGTGCCCGGTCCCATCGACCGCCCAAGGGCTGAGAAGTGCGGGCGCACCAGACGGAACTGGCAGGCAGCTCCACCTGCAGCCCTGGTGCGACATCCACTGGGTGAAGCCAGCTGGGCGCCTGAGTCTAGTGGGGACTTGGAGAACCTTTAAGTCTAGCTAGAGGATTGTAAATACACCAATCAGCACTCTGTATCTAGCTCAAGGTTTGTAAACACACCAATCAGCACCCTGTGTCTAGCTCAGGGTTTGTGGATGCACCAATCAGCACTCTGTATCTAGCTCAAGGTTTGTAAATGCACCAATCAGCATTCTGTGTCTAGCTCAAGGTTTGTAAATGCCGCAATCAGTGCTCCGTGTCTAGCTAATCTGGTGGGGACTTGGAGAATCTTTATGTCTAGCTAAGGGATTGTGAATGCACCAGTGGGCACTCTGTATCTAGCTCAAGGTTTGTAAATGCACCAATCAGCACTCTGTGTCTAGCTCAGGGTTTGTAAATACACCAATCAACACTCGGTATCTGGCTAATCTAGTGGGGACGTGGAGAACTTTTGACTCTAGCTCAGGGATTGTAAATGCACCAATCAGCACCCTGTCAAAATGGACCAATCAGCTCTCTGTAAAATGGACCAATCGGCTCTCTGTAAAATGGACCAATCAGCAGGATGTGGGTGGGGCCAGATAAGAGAATAAAAGCAGGCTGCCCCAGCTAGCAGTGGCAATCTGCTAGTATAGTGATTTGAGACTGTAAAGGGTTTGTTCTTTTGCTCTTTGCAATTAAATCTTGTGAGTGTTCACTGTTTGGATCCCCAGTGCTTTTATGAGCTGTAACACTCACCACGAAGGTCTGCAGGTTCACTCCTGAAACTGGCGAGACCATGAACCCCTACTGGGAGTGAACGTACAATTCTAGACGTGCTGCCTTAAGAGCTGTAACAGCGCAAAGGCTTGCAGCTTCACTCCTGAGCCAGCAAGACCATGAAGCCACTAGAAGAAACTCTGGACATGCTGCCTTTAAGAACTGTTAACACTCACCGCAAGGGTCCGTGGCTTCATTTTTGAAGTCAGTGAGACCAAGAACTCGCCAATTCTGGACACAGTAGGACTACTAAAGAAATCAAAAGGGAAGGTGCTGAGGTAGGATTACTAAGGGCACAGAACCTTCAAGGAGGTCAGTGTGCCAGGCAAAGACAGAACAGCAAGAGATGGTGCTAATTCCCATGTGGACTAAGTTCACTGCTAGAGTGAGGAAAAGAGCAATCTGATTTTTTTCTTTTTTTTTGGAAACGGAGTTTTGCTCTTGTTGCCCATGCTGGAGTGCAGTGGTGCAATCTTGGCTCACTACAACCTCTGCCTCCCAGATTCAAGCAATTCTCCTGCCTCAGCCTCCCAAGTAGCTGGGATTACAGGTGCTTGCCACCACGCCTGGCTAATTTTGTATTTTTAGTAGAGACGGAGGTTTTGCCACGTTGGTCAGCTTGGTCTCGAACTTCTGACCTCAGGTGACCCACCTGCCTTGGCCTCCCAAAGTAGTGGGACTACAGGTGTGAGCCACCGCACGTGGTGGTTTTTTTTTTTTTTTTTTTTTTGGAGACAGAGTCTTGCTGTGTCGTCCAGGCTGGAGTGCAATGGCAACCTCCACCTCCCGGGTTCAAGCCATTCTCCCTATTCAGCCTCAGAGTAGCTGGGATTACAGGCACCCGCCATTATGCCTGGATAATTTTGTATTTTTGTAGAGACGAGGTTTCACCATGTTGGCCAGGCTGGTCTTCAACTCCTGACCTCAGGTGATCCATGCGCCTTGGCCTCACAAAGTGCTGGGATTACAGGTGTGAGGCCGAGCAATCTGATTTCCAAAAAGCATCCTGCGTTTCGAAGAAAGTGAAATCCAAAAGTGAAGAGAGGCTCCTCCTGCCCCCACGATGGCGTTAGGCATATGGCCTGTGCAGCACCACTCGGGTTCTGGATGAGCACACAGCAAACACGGAGTTTTGGAGTCTGCAGTGGAAGGAACCCTGGATAATACTCACTCTGGGAACAGAGCCCTGAATAAGGTAGTGACTCCTCCAAAGCCACTCAGCACGTGCTCCAGAGCAGTGCTTTGTTGAGGGCTGTGGTGTGCTGGGCACCCTGTGAGGCTCTGAAGTTCCCTCAGCAGCATAATGGGGTAGATTCTGTGAACGTCCACTTGATGGACAGGGCATGGAGTCTTGGGGAGCCTAAGATACTTGCCCACAGTCACACGGCTAATCCATGGGGGAGCCTCGGGGTCTCCCTCCAGGGACCATGCCCTTCTGACACCTTCCTTAACCTGAGGCCAGGATCCTGGCTCCCGGCCGTGACCTCCATCACCAGCAAGCCACTGATACTAATAGACCAGCAGACAGTTGCACAAATGGCTTCAGTGGCATCTGTAAAGCATGTGTACCTGTCCTTGAGGGAACTCTCTCCCAGACTGGAGCCGGGTCGGCATCTTCCACTCCTGAAAGGATCAGGGTCCATCTTCCAGTTCGTATAACCTGGCACCCACGTGCCCGCCTCTAGTGGCCAAATGCGTGAGGGGATTATTTGGATTTGTGTGGCATCTGAACCATCATTAATTACATTAGGCTCTCCACTGCATCTCTTAAGTCCAAATGAGATCTGAACACCAGCTGCCCTTAGAGCAAGCTCGGGTTGCCATGGTAACCGAGCCATCCTGCTCCTCTGGACTCCAGCAGTCCAAGTAACACCACTCGGGTCTTGGCTACAAAGCTCAGCTTTCAGCAGGCCCGTCTCTCACCTCTAGCTGCCTGTTTCAGAACACTGGGTGGGGAGCGGAGAGCTTAAGTAAGGTACTTTCCTTGATCTGATCTTCCTCTGATTAGCCTATCAGCTAGTTCACATGCATTGACTGCGCACCAGCTGCATGTGAGGCCCGGTGCTGAGCGTGGGTATGGGGGTGCCTTTAGCATATGGAGATGGAATCTAAAGTCTAGGGAACATGTCGTTTGTAATTCTGCAAACACTTGTGGCCCGGCTAGTCTCAGGCATTGTGCTAAGCACTGTGGGGAGATGAGCTTGACATAGACCGACCCTGCCCTCAAAAAGCGTGTACCGACTGGGGAGATAAAAGGGTGAACAAATAACTGCAGTCCAGCGGGATAAATTGGATAGAGCTCGCACACAAAGTCATGGGGCAAGTACCTCTGCCTGGGGGCATCAGGGCAGACTTCCCAGCAGAGGCAGGTTTTGAACTGCTTCTTAAAAGATAGAGGTTGCTGGGCACGCTGGCTCACGCCTGTAAATCCAGCACTTTGGGAGGACAAGGTGGGTGGATCACTTGAGGTCAGGAGTTTTGAGACCAGCCTGGCCAACATGGCCCATCTCTACTAAAAATACAAAAATTAGCTGGGTGTGGTGGCACACGCCTATAATCCCAGCTACTCAGGAAGCTGAGACAGGAGAATGGCTTGAATCTGGAAAGTGGAGGTTGAAGTGAGCTGAGATCGTGCCACCGCACTCCAGCCTGGGCAACAGAGTGAGACTCTGTCTCAAAAGAAAAAAAGATAATTAGGCGTTCACCAGGCAGAGACAATGGAAAAGGGCTGTGCAGTCATGCAGCCAAGAGAGAAGAGCATCGGCAGCCCAGCGAGCCAGTCGGGATGGGAAAGCGTGCGGGATGGGAGGGGAGGTGGGTGGGTCCAGATTAGAAGAAGCTTGACCGCTGCTGAGCAGGTTGGTTTTCATTCTGAGGACTGTGGGGAGTTTATAGAGTGAGTTTCAGCTGCCCAGCACAGGAAATGGAATGGAGAGGACAAAACAAAAGGCCCAGAGCCCAGCTGGACGGCTGGGACAGTGGTCCCGATGAGCTGGGGCGAGGTGGGGTCTCTCCTTCCAAATGGCAGCATTCTTCCATCTCAGTAGCAAACTGTGGAGCTGATACTTTGATCCTGAATGGGTTTGCGGGGGCCAAACCCTTTCCTTCACCATTTGTGCTGTCAGGGGGAACAGGCATCTCAAGAGGGTTGTTTCCTGCCTTGCTAATTTTTTGTATTTTTAGTAGAGACGGGGTCTCCCCATGTTGGCCAGGCTGGTCTTGAACTCCTGACCTCAGGTGATCTGCCCGCCTTGGCCTCCCAAAGTGCTGAGATTACAGGTGTGTGCCACCGGGCCCGGCCAATCCAGATCCCTTTATTTTGCTTTATTTTCTTTCCATAACCCTTTGCCTTCTAAGGTACAATTCAATGTACTTATTGATTATGTTTATCAATTGTTATACTTATTGGTTGCATTTACAGTGTCTGAACCTCAATAACTATTTGTTACCTTGCTGAATAGTGTGAGAGGAGGATGTATGACAGCCTCTCTCTTCTCCGGGACAAGCCTGGGCAAATAGTCCTCAGAACTGCTCCTCATAGGTTTTTGTTCTTCTAGGGCAGGGATATTTCTAGCCACATGCACATTGTCTGTCTGGAGCAGGAGTGGGGTCTGTTCCCAAGTGCCAACTCTAGGGAGCAGTGGCGCTTGGGAAATGGAGGCACTCTGGATTCAGGGGAAGTCTTCTATCTGTGTGCTGTGGATAAACTACTTCATCTCACCGCGCCTTCAAGTGCAATGAATAATAAATGCCCACCTGGCTGTGTTGTTGTGAGAAGTGAATACAATTAAAAGTGATTATGCATGTTGAGGAATCAGTACAGCATGTAGAAGATAACGAGGCTCAAACAGTGAGCTATAAACGGTTTTGCAAAAGACAGCTACTTAAAATTCGAAATACATTTTCCCAGAAAGTCAGTGGAAAGAACCTGTTCCCTGGAGTTCATGAGAAAAGTTTGGTAACTGAGTGGAGAATGTATCACCAGCTGAAGGCTGGTGTCAACTCAGTGACCGGTTTTGAGGCCCTAGCCCCGGCCACCCTGTTCTGGTGATGGGTGGGGCTGCTTTAATCATAGCCTTATTTTACCTTTGGCTCTGGACATATGAATAGGGTTGGAAATCAGAGCTCAAAGGACAGAGCCGGCGCAGCCTAAACGCCATCCTTCCAGGTGGGCAAGCAGAAGCCTGGGGAGAGGGAAGCAGCTCCCCTGGATCACAGGACAGAGGACCAGTGGGAGGACTGCGCAGGGTAGCAGGTGAAGGCCTCCCAGCGCAGCGGCTCCCAGAGGAGTGTGGAGCTGCCCCAGGCGCTAGCAGCCAGTGAGCAGAGAGGGGCTCCACAGGGGTCGGCCTGTCCTCCAAATCCATCCTTTTTTTTTTTGAGACAGACTCTCGCTTTGTCACCCACCTAGAGCATAGTGGTGCGATCTCGGCTCACTGCAAACTCTGCCTCCTGGGTTCAAGTGATTCTCCCTCCTCAGCCTCCTGAGTAGCTAGGATTACAGGCACATGCGACCACACCCAGCTAATTTTTCTATTTTTAGTAGAGACAGGGTTTCACTATGTTGGCCAGGTTGGTCTCCAACTCCTGACCTCAAGTGATCTGCCTCTCTCAGCTTCCCAAAGTGCTGGGATTACAGGTGTGAGCCACCACACCCAGCCCCATTTGATGCTCAGCTGACTGTGTCAATACCTGTGTGCAATGTGGAATAAAAATGTCTCTTCTGCAATAAGATGTCTCTTCTGCAATAAAAATGTCCCAGTGTCTTCTATATAATGAACAACTGCATCCTGCCCTCGCCTCCAAACCAGCCCCCACCCGGCGGCCCCTGTTCCTTCAGGTCGTGTTTCAGGTCAGTTTCTCCCAGTTCCTCCCAGCAGGAGAGCCAGAGCTTTTCACTGCTTCTGCCTGGGGGAAAAGGCCCTGAGCCACTGCGAGGCTGGGGCTCCCCCAGCGGCCGCCAGCGGTACACATTTCCAGGCTAACTCCAGAGCTTTGGCTGGGTGGGGCTCCTGGAACTTCCACACGGGAGGACTGAGGGCAGCCTAGTCATCTGCCCCTCAGTGGAGGGGGTGAGAGTGGCTAAGGGGCTTGACAGATGCCAAGGGGGAAAGCGCACTATTGGATTAGGGTCCTCCATGTATTTGAGGAGGGAAGCACTTGGGAAACTGATGACCCTACCCCCTACCCTGCACCATCACTGGCTCTTAACAAAATTTATTATTTATGTGGTCCTGCCATGTGCAGGGCCCAGTGCTGGAGGAAATACGGAGATTAATAAGATCTTTATGTCTGGCCCCAAACACAGCATGTCGTTCCATTCCACTTGTGGAGCACCTGTTATGTGCGAGGATTGCGCTCTGCAATTGTTTAAAGGTAATCATCCTTAACAACTCCAAGGGCAAGATACTCCTTTGCAAATGTTGGCGCAGTGCGTGCTCAGGAAAAGGAAAAATGGACTCATTGAGGTTCTGAGTGGGAGATGGGGCTTTTGGTAGAATAAAGGACACACACACACACCTGTACACCTGCTGCTTTGGTTCAAATGCATTTCTTCTCTCTTAATAACATCTATGGTACTGGGAAAATGGCATGAGTGGTTTCCCTCTTCTCCCCGAAAAGCCTGCAAGAGTGAGGCGGGGCGGGGGAGGTCTTGGTGGAGGAGGCTGGGGAGGGAAAGTAGTGTTCCTTGGCCTTCTTTTCCACCCTCAGCTACAGAGGAAGATCCAGAGGGTGAAGTCCAGGTGGTGGGCCTGGGAACCCAGAAGAAGGGCCAAGGGACAGGCTACCTGCTCCAATTGTATCCTAAGTCCAGTGAAGTTACATAAGTTTCTTTCCTGCAAGAATTCTCAGGACCTTCACTCTGCGAATGAGAGCTCCAGGAGGGAGATGAGGTGAGTAGTTAACACTTCCCAGAGCTCTTTGTCAAGGAGCATCTCAGGGATGAGTGTTCAGAGGGGGAGGAAGAGAGTCCCACGGCCTTCTGGGGACCCTGAACCTGCAATCATCATGGCAGCATTTCTTGGTGCATCAGAAACTCAGCCTTGACCAAATGCAAGGCACTCCAAAGAGTGATTCTCCAAAAGGTTTCTGAGACTAAATCTATTTGTGGGTCTTTTTTTTTTTTTTTTTTTTTGAGATGGAGTCTCACTCTGTTGCCCAGGCTAGAGTGCAGTGGCATGATCTCGGCTCACTGCAAACTCCGCCTCCCAGGTTCAAGGAATTCTCCTGCCTCAGCCTCCCGAGTAGCTGGGACTACAGGCGTCTGCCACCACGCCTGGCTAATTTTTTATTTTTAGTAGAGACAGGGTTTCACCATCTTGGCCAGGCTGATCTCGAACTCCTGACCTTGTGATCCACCCTCCTCGGCCTCCCAAAGTGCTGGGATTACAGGTGTGAGCCACCACGCCTGGCCTCATGGGTCTCCGCTTCCTGTGTTCAAGCGATTCTCCTGCCTCAGCCTCCCGAGTAACTGGGATTACAGGTGCGTGCCACCACATCTGGCTAATTTTTGTATTTTTAGTAGAGACGAGTTTCACCATGTTGGCCAGGATGGTCTCGATCTCTTGACCTTGTGATCTGCCCGGCTCGGCCTCCCAAAGTGGTTTTTTTAAATATATTTTTTATTTTTTTGAGACAGGGTGACATTTGTCACCCAGGCTGGAGTGCAGTCAGTGCTCACTGCAGCCTGGACCTCCTAGGCTTAAGCCCAGCTGGGCTTGAGTGATCCTCCCGCTTCAGTCTCCTGAGTCCTGAGTAGCTGGGATTACAGGCATGTACCACCATGCCTGGCTAATTTTTAATTTTAATTTTAATTTTTAGAGATAGGTCTTGTTTTGTTGCCCAGGCTAGTTTCAAACTACTGGCCTCAAGTGATTCTCCCACCTTCACCTTTCCAAAGTGCTAGGATTACAGGTGTGAGCCACCGTGCCCGGCTCAACTGATGTTAGTTCAGAATCTGTACCAGGCCTACTCTGAGAAAAGACTTTTTCTAATTCAGTCTTCTAAGATTATTGTAACCCTGGGAAGATACCTAGATAGGCATAGTTATTAGTAAAGAAAGGAATGAGAACCATGGAGTTATCCGTCAGGGTCCTGGCAGAAAACAGCTGGCACCCTCAAATGGGTTCATTTGAGAAGAGCTTAATAAAGGAACTCTCTGGGGAGCATATATTCAGGGCAACTCCAATCTATGTCTCCGAGGTTAAAAAATAAAAACAAAACAAAACAAAATAAAATAAAATAATAAAGGAACTCTCTGCAGGTGAAGGAAACCCTAAGGGTGGTGCCATACCCTGGGGCTAGGAACAGTGGGGTGGACAGCGAGCAGTTACCAGACCCAGAGAAGCAGGACTGTATGAGGACAGGAGTTGAGACCTCTGATCAAGGGATGCAGACAGCCTATGGTGACCCTCACAGAGTGAGCCAGAGAGAATCACCCACCTCAACTGCTCCCTCTCAGTCTCCTAGGGACACTCCCTCCCATCGCCTGAACCTGCTGGAATGAGGCCATGGGGAGGCTCTTTGCTGCCTCCACCCAGGCCAGGGCATTCCCCTCCCTCCCTGAACAGAGTGGAGTGGGACATGGGGATGCATCTGCAGGGGCTCCCGAAAATGCTCTTTGTGACTTTGTGAGCATTTTATTTATTTGCAATAGCAAAGTATTCAAGTGAATCGGTTATAATAATTTGTAAATATGACTTAAGTCACTTATGAGAATTGATATAAATTTGCAATAATTTAAAAAATATTTAAGACCCCCTCAACCCCCCCCCACATATATTTTTGAGATTGGGGTCTCACTATGTTGCCCAGGCTGGCCTCAAACTTCTGGCTTTAAGTTATGCTCCTGCCTCAGCCCCCCGAGTCACTGTGACTACAGGTGTGAGCCACTGTACACCCAGCATAACATAATGATTTTTAAGGTTTTGTTTTACATATAGTTGGTCTTGACTTAGGATGGCTCAACTACAATTGCTCAACATTACAATGCTGTGAAAGAGATACACATTCAGTAGAACCTGTACTTCAAATTTTGATCTTTTCCTGGTCTAGCAATATCGGTAAGGGACTGTTTGGCCATGATGGGCAGTCATAGCTCCCGTCAGCCTGGCGATCACGAGCAGTAAACAGCCAGCACTGCACAGTGCACTGTGTTGCCAGCAATCTCTGGATACTGTATTTTGTGATTATACATCCCATAATGTCTACACAATGCCCATCTGCGTATGGAATCCAACCCTTTGTTATAAAATAGGCTCCTGCTGGACGACTTTGCCCAACTGTAGGTAATGTAAGTGCTCCAAGCACCTAAGGCAGGTGAGGCTGGGCTGTGATGTTCAGTAGGGTGGGTGTATTAGATGCATGTTCCAATTATATGTTCAATTATGATGGCTTTATCAGGATGTAACCCATCATAAGTTGGGGACTGTCTCTCTATTCAAGTGTTGGTATTTATTTATAGAATACTGTCTAAACATCAAGTTCAATTATGATGGCTTTATCAGGATGTAACCCATCATAAGTTGGGGACTGTCTCTCTATTCAAGTGTTGGTATTTATTTATAGAATATTGTCTAAACATCAGGGAGATGTCTTTTGTCAGGCCCTAAATTAATCACTAGACTCTTTTTATGAGGAAGCAAGTAAAAGGTTCAGATTTTAAAGAACTAAGTAACAGCTGAAATAGTATTATTTTTCTACTCAAGCTAACATTAATATTTAGATATTTCCTGCACTGCTTTTGAGCTCTTTGCTTGATACATTCTTCTCCTTGAATTGTTTTCTAGGTCAAAGCAGAACTGGACACACACACATGTGCACGCCGTCTTAGGAGGGGCAGGAAACAGGAGAAACGGGGGGCTGCCAAAGGTCAGATGATCAGCTGCTTAGGAATCAGGAGGCCATGGGGTGAGCACAGCCACACGGTGTAGTGCTGGGGATGCAGGTGGAGGCAGAAGGGGATGGCCAACTTCTGGCTCTGTTTCGTGTTTAGGAGCAGTTACAGTGGAAGAGTCACTGTGAGCTTTGGGGGCACAGGAGCCAATAAACACTCCTTTGCCTGTCTGTTCTCATGAAGAGTCTCTTTCTGTCTCAGTTCTGCTTTCCTCTTTGTCGATTCCATTTTCTACCCTGTGCTCCTAAGAGCCCCCGCCTCAGTTCTCCAAGCTTCACATACAGCAGAAAGACGGTTTCTCTCTCCCTGCACAGGCAGCCGATGGCCTGAATCCAGCTTCCGTAGTAAAGCTTGTGTGGGTTGCCTGTTCCTAGTGGGTCAGGAGAATAGAAAATGTCCCTCCCCAGACCTTTGGGGTCAAGGAGGAGGGGGAGGGAGGGAGTTGGCTCCCTTAAATCTTGCAGACTGGGAATGGGGGAGGGTGGTCCCCAGTAAATGTGGAGAGTTGCTAACTACAGATGGGGGAAAGCGTAGGCAGGCAAGAACAAGAGCTGTCCATGACTAAGACAAAATCTTAGTCTAAACTCCACTGGTGCCTATTTCTGGTTGATTAGAACAGGGATGATTTTATTCTGTCTATTTTTTCTTACTCTCTACAATGAAGGTGCACTAGTTTTTTTGTTTTATGGTTCTGTCATCCAGGCTGGAGTGCAGTGGCACAATCATGGCTCACTGTAGCCTCAATCTCCCAGGCTCAAGCAATCCTCTCGCCTCAGCCTCCTGAGTAGCTGAGACTACAGGTGTGCACCACCACACAGATAATTTTTTCTTTTTTGTAGAGACAGGGTCTCACTATGTTGCCCAGCTGGTCTCGAACTCCTGGGCTCAAGTAATCCTCCCACCTGACCTCCCAAAGTGCTGAGATTACAAGTGTGAGGCACTGCAGCCAGCCTGCATTAGTTTTATCATGGGAAACATACAATAAATTTTAATTCAAAAATTGAGGAAGTCAGCTGGGCGTGATGGCTCATGTCTGTAATCCCAGCACTTTGGGAGGCCAAGGCGGGCGGATCACCTGAGGTCAAGAGTTCAAGACCAGCCTGACCAACGTGGAGAAACCCCATCTCTACTAAAAATACAAAATTAACTGGGCGTGGTGGTGCATGCCTATAATCCCAGCTACTCGGGAGGCTGAGGCAGGAGAATCACGTGAACCCAGGAGGCAGAAGTTGCGGTGAGCTGAGATTGTACCATTGCACTCCAGCTGGGGCAACGAGTGGAAAGCTCCATCTCAAAAAAAAAAAAAAAAATTGAATAAGTCTAAGCTTTGCTGTGGTACTAAATAATTGTTTTATATACATTTCTTTTGTCTTCCCAGATGACTGCAATCTCCTTGGAAACAAGAACTCTACCTCCCTCTGTTTCTGTGTTCCTCCGGTGAGTGTCCACTGTGTACCAGGTGTCATTCTAGATGCTGGGATGCAGCAGTGAGCAGAAGAGGTAAAAATGTCCATCCGACATTCTAGAGGGGATGAGGAAATGTGAGCAAGTGAAGAAGTCAGTATTATGGAGAAGGCAATTGGTGCAATGGAGAAAGATCAGGAGGGGCCAGAGAGTGGGGAGTGCAGGCTAAGTGTTTAGGGTTTTACTCGAGCCTAGTGATGACGGAGGCCTCGCAGTGAAGGTGACTTTGGGGAAAGCCTTGAAGGAGCTGCAAGGCCAGAGGAGCCCCTGAGGCAGCTGTTGTATCCTCAGTTTCCCAGGAACAGGAGGAGGTCATTGCGGCTGGAGGGGTGGGTGTGGGGAGGGCACAGGGAGAGGAGCTGGGAGAGGATCACGTGGCACCCTGGGGCCTTTGAGGATTGGGACTTCTGCCAAGTGGGATGAGACAGGGAAGCCAGAGCACCTCAGGACAGCTGAAGCCCAGCCTCTGTGTCTCCGGGCCCTGCTCTTCCCACGCCAACCTGTCCCTCCACTTCCTGGAACATTGTCTTGCCACTTTGGTTTTGTCAACCCATCCTAAGTGTGATCCTTCAGGCTTCTAAACATGCATACCCACTAGGGCCAATGTCTGACTTCACTGATCTCTCCAGGACTGCCATCCCCATGGGGCCACATTGAGATAAGCCTCTCGGGCCTGCCTCTCAGGCTCCACCAGGGAAGAATGGTAACACCTCCTGGTGTCATCTTGGGGCTTTTGAGTGGTGGGTAAAGAGGGAGCCCTGGGCTGGGCGTGGTGGCTCACGCCTGTAATCCCAGCACTTTGGGAGGCTGAGATGGACGGATCACCTGAGGTCAGAAGTTCGAGATCAGCCTGGCCAATATGGCAAAATGCTGTCTCTACTAAAAATACAAAAATTAGCTGGGCATGGTGGTGAGCATCTGTAATCCCAGCTACCACGGAGGCTGAGGCTGGAGAATCACTTGAACGTGGGAGGCGGAGGTTGCAGTGAGCTGAGATCGCACCATTGCACTCCAGCCTGGGCGACAAGAGCGAAACTCCATCTCAAAAAAAAAAAAAAAAAAAAGAGGGGGCCCTGGAAAACCCCAGCAGAGCTCAGTCATTGCACCAGCTAGCATTCCCTGAGGATTCGATGTGCAGGCACTGTGCTGTTGCCCGCCGCAAGTTCACTCATGCAAGCCTCACAACACACTACTGAAGTATCAATAGCTCATTTTATAGATGGGGGGTAAAGCTCAGTGAGGCCAGGGAGCTTCCAGTTACACATTCTGAGTGCACAGAGGGGGAGTCAGCTGAGGTCTGTCTGACTCCAGAGGCACTAAAATTAAGGCCCCTCTGTCACCATGTCCCACCTCAACAAATCTCTAATCTTTTGTCCAACTTTTTCAACCTTTTTCACTAGGCAGGGCTAAGTGATATGCAGCAGAGAACAGGATCATTTTTGTTCCAAACTCTACATTGTCACCCTGTTAAAATACCTCTAAAAAAGTTAATGTTGGACATGTAAATTAAAAAAATGGTTATTAAAACAAAACAAAGCAGAAAATAAGCATAGGTGAGGATGTGGAGGAATTGGAGCCCTTGTGCACTGCTGGTAGGAATGTAAAATGGTGCAGCTGCTGAAGTTGGAAGTGGAAGTTCCTGAAAAAATTAAACATAGAGTTATGTTTATGTACTAGTCTGTTCTTATATTGCTATAAAGAACTACCTGAGTCTGGGTAATTTATAAAGAAAAGAGGTTTAATTGGCTCACAGTTCCACGGGCTGTACAGGAAGCATGGCTAGGGAGGCCTCAGGAGACTTACAATCATGGCAGAAAGTGGAGGAGAAGCTGGCACATCCTGCCTGGCTGGAGCAGGCAGAAGAGGGAGAAGGGGGAGGTGCCACACTCTTTTAAACAACCAGATCTCATGAGAACTCACTCACTATCATGAGAACAGCAAGAGGGAAATCCACCCCCATGACCCAATAACCTCCCACCAGGCCCCTCCTCCAACACTGGGGATTACAATTTGACATGAGATTTGGGTGGGGACACAAATCCAAACCACATCATTCCACCCTTGGCCCTTTCCAAATCTCATATCATTCTCACATTGCAAAACACAATCCTCTCTTCTCAACAGTCTCCCAAATCTTAACTTATTCAGCATTAACTCAAAAGTCCATAGTCCAAAGTCTCATCTGAGACAAAGTAAGTCCCTTCCTCCTATGAGCTTGTAAAATCAAAAGCAAGTTAGTTACTTCCAAGATACAATGGGGGTACAGGCATTGGGTAAATACACCCATTTCAAGAGGGAAAAATCAGCCAAAACAAAGGGGCTACAGGCTCCATGCAAGTCCAAACCCCAGCAGGGCAGTCATTACATCTTAAAGCTCCAAAATAATCTCCTTTGACTCTATATTTCACATCTAGGCCACACTGATGCAATGGGTGGGCTCCCAAGGCCTTGGGCATCTGCACCCCCGTGGCTCTGCAGGATACATCCCCCTTGGCTTCTTTCACAGGCTGGCATTGAGTGCCTGTGGCTTTTCCAGGTGCATGGTGCAAGCTGCTGGTGGATCTGCCATTCTGGGGTATGGAGGATGGTGGCCCCTTTTCTCAGCTCCACTAGGCAGTGCCCCAGTGGGGACTCTGTGTGGGGGCTTCAACCCCACATTTCCCCTCCACACTGCCCTAGTTGAGGTTTCCTTTGAGGGCTCTGTCCCTGCAGCAAACTTCTGTTTGGACATCCAGGCGTTTCCATACATCCTCTGAAATCTAGGTGGAGGCTGCCAAGCCTCAACTATTGCCCTCTGTGCACCTGCAGGCTTAACATCACATGGAAGCCACTGAGGCTTATGTCTTGCACCCTCTGGATCAGCTGCCTGAGATTAATCTGGGGCACTTTTAGCCATGGCTGAGCTGGAGTGGCTGGGATGCAGGGAGCAGTGTACTGAGGTTGCGCAGGGCAGCAGGGCCCTGCCCATGAAACTGTTCTTCTCTCCTAGGCCTCTGGGCCTGTGATGAGAGGGCCTGCCTTCAAGGCATTTTTCCCATTGTCTTGGCTGTTAATATTTAACTCCTTTTTACTTATGCAAATTTCTGCAGCCAGCTTGAATTCCTCCCCCAGAAAATGGGCTTTCTTTTCTACCATATGGTCAGGTTGCAAATTTTCTAAACTTTTATGCTCTGCTTTTTTTTTTTTAGATGGAGTCTCACTCTAATTGCCTAGGCTAGAGTGCAATGGTGCGATCTCGGCTCATTGCAACCTCCGCCTTCTGGGTTCAAGTGATTCTCCTGCCTCAGCCTCCCAAGTAGATGGAATTACAGGCGCCCACCACCACACCTGAGTAATTTTTGTATTTTTAGTAGAGATGGGGTTTCACCATGTTGGCCAGGCCAGTCTTGAACTCCTGACCTCCAGTGATCCTCCCGCCTCGGCCTCCCAAAGTGCTGGAATTATAGGCATGAGCCACTGCGCCCAGCCGCTCTGCTTCCTTTCTAAATATAAGTTCCAGTTTCAGATCATCTCTGCTTTTTTTGTTGTTGTTGTTTTGTATTGTTTTTTCAAGATGGAATCTTGCTCTGTCGCCCGGGCTGGAGTGCAGTGGCGTGATCTTGGGCTCACGGTAACTGCCACTTCCCAGGTTCAAGCAATTCTCCTGCCTCGGCCTCCAGAGTAGCTGGGATTACAGGTGTGGATCACCATGCCTGGCTAATTTTTTTTTGTATTTTTAGTAGAGATGGGGTTTCCCAATGTTGGCCAGGCCAGTCTTGAACTCCTGACTTCAGGTAATCCACCCACCTCGACCTCCCAAAGTGCTGAGATTACAGGGATGAGCTACCACACCCAGCCCTCAGATCATCAATTTGCTCACACCTCATGCATATAACCATACACTGTTAGAAGCAGCCAGGCCACATCTTGAACACTTTGCGGCTTAAAGATTTCTTCCACCAGATACCCTAAATCATCATTCTCAAGTTTAAAGTTCCACAGATCCCTAGAGCAGGGGCACAATGCCACCAGTCTTTTTGCTAAAGCATAGCAAGAATGACGTTTACTCCAATTCCCAGTAAGTTCCTCATCTCCACCTGGGACCACCTCGGCCTGGGCTTCATTGTCCATATCGCTATCAACATTTTGGTCATGATAATTTAACAATTCTCTAGGAAGCTCGAAATTTTCCCCCATCTTCCTGTCTTTTTCTTTACAGGAACATGTACACTTGCCCTTGTTCATAGCAGCACTCTTCATAATAACCAAATGGTAGAAACAACCCAAACATCCACAGATGATTGGATAAACAAAATGCCGTCTATGCACACGATGGATTATTATTCAGCCTTAAAAAAGGGACATTATGACCCATCTTACAACATAAATGAACCTTGAGAATGTTATGCTAAGTGAAATAAGACAGTCACTAAAAGAACAAACAATATATGATTCTATTCATATGTGGTACTTAGAGTAGTCAAAATCATAGAGATAGAAAGTAGAATGGTGTTGTCAGGGGCTATAGGGAGGGGGAATGAGGAGGTTTTGTTTGTTTTTTGTTTGAGACAGGGTGATCTCTGTGGCCCAGGCTGGAGTACAGTGGTATGATCACGACTCACTGCAACCTCGATCCTCCCAGGCTCAGGGGAGCCTACCACCTCAACCTCCCTGGTAGCTGGGACTACAGGCACATGCCACCACACCAGGCTAATTTTTTATATTTCTAGTAGAGACAGGTTTTTGCCATGTTGCCCAGGCTGGTCTCCAACTCCTGGACTCAAGCAATCTGCCCACCTTGGTCTCCCAAAGTGCTGGAATTACAGGCGTGAGCCACCGCGTCTGTCCTGAGGAATTATTATTTAATGGGTCCAGAGTTTCAGTTTGGGAACATAAAAAAGTTCTGTGAGTAGATGGTGGCAATAGTTGCACAACAATGAGAATATACTTAATGTCACTGAGCTTCACACTTAAAAATGGCTAAAATGGTAAGTTTTATGCTGTATGTATTTTACTACCATTTTTAAAAATGATTTTTTAAAAGTTAATGATAAAAATCACAAAATTGGAATAAAAGTGATCTCCTTTCCCTTGTCTTATGATGATTCAGAGCAATTAAAAGGCCCAGAAGATGAGGTAGGTGTTCCCTCCTGTTATCTTTTTTTTTTTTTTTTTTTTTTTAGAGAGAAAGTCTCACTCTGTCACCCAGGCTGGAGTGCAGTGGCACCATCTCGGCTTACTGCAACGTGTGCCTCCCAGGTTCAAGTGATTCTCATGACTCAGCCACCTGAGTAGCTGAGATTACAGGTGTGCGCCACCACGCCCAGCTAATTTGTTTGTTTTTGAGACAGTCTCACTCTGTCGCCCAGGCTGGAGTGCAATGGTATGATCTCGGCTCACTGCAACCTCCACCTCCCAGGTTCATGCAGTTCTTCTGCCTCAGCCTCCCGAGTAGCTGGGACTACAAGCATGTGCCACGACGCTTGACTAATTTTTTTGGTATTTTTAGTAGAGATGGGGTTTCACCGTGTTGGTCAGGCTGGTCTCGAATTCCTGACCTCAAATGATCCACTCACCTCAGCCTCCCAAAGTGCTCGGATACTGGCATGAGCCACTGCGCCCAGCCTCCCCTGTTATCTTTGTGTTCCCTGTGTAGTGCCAGTTGGGGGTCTCATGCTATGCTAGGGTAGGTGTTCCTTCAAAGGGGCAGCCCAGGCAACTTTATATTAGACTCCATGAGGCTCCCCTGCCTGTTCTTCTATTGTGTGACTTTGGGAGATTCTCTTTATCTCTGGATGTAATTTTTTTTTTTTTTTTTTTTGAGACAGGGTCTCACTCTGTCACCCAGGCTGGAGTGTGGTGGTACATCATGGCTCAATGTATCCGTGACCTCTTGGACTCAAGTGATCCTCCAGGCTCAGCCTCCTGAGTAGCTGGGACCACAGGTGTGCAACAACATGCTCTGTGTCACCCAAGCTGATCCTGAACTCCTGGGCTCAAGTGATCCTCCCACCTCAACCTCCCAAAGTGGTGGGATTACAAGCGTGAGCCACTGCACCTGGCATGGATCTAAATTTTTTTCTCCCATAAACCAAGAGGGGTAGGATCAAAGGCTTTTGGGATTCACTTCTAAAATCATGATTCACGATTCACTGGTTCAATAACTAGAATTTCACTTTCAGATCAATCTGGTAGCACCGTGCAAGGTGAATTAGAAAAAAGACAGAATGGTAGGAAAGAGATTGGAGCTAATGAATAATAACATGTTGAACAGTGAGAGAAATAGGTTTTTAAAAACATGAGAACAGTTAAAAGCCTGGGTATAGATTAAGTAGCCCCAACAAGCAGCAGTTAGGAACTTCAGAAAAAAAAAAAAAAAAGAAAAAAGGGGATAGCAGATGAGACACACCAGAGGAAAAACTGGCTGATCATTTTTCAGAATTTAAGACATGAGATTTCACAATGAAATACAATCTGGGAACTAAGCAAGATAAAGAAAAGTAAGCATTCATGTAATCACATCAGAATAGAATTTCAGAATACCAAAGAGGAAGAGAAAAATCTCAAAACTTATGAAGAGAAACACAACTGCAGACTTCTCACAAGAAACAACTGACAATGGACAATGGAGTAACAATGCCAGAGGCCTGAGGGAAAATAACTCTGGCCCAGGGAATTCTACTCTCAAACTACTGTTCAGTATAAATGTAACATATCAAAACCTTTGGAATGCAGCTAAAATCCTATTTGAAGGGAGATTTATATCATTTATTATAAAACAGAGATAGTGAAAATAAACTAAGTATTTAATTCAGGAAAGTAGAAAACATCCACAGAGTAAACAAAAAAAGCAGAAGAAACAAAAGAATAAAGAATGGAAATTGATTAAATATATACCCAATAAATATTTAAATGAACAAAACAGAAACAGCAAAACCAGGGCCAGGCATGATGGCTCACACCTGTAATCCCAGCACTTTGGGAGGCTGAGGTGGGTGGATCACAAGGTCAGGAGTTCAAGACCAGCCTGGCCAACACAGTGAAACCCCATCTCTACTAAAAATACAAAGAAAAAAAAAAAAGAAACAACAAAACCAAGTTTCTTTTTCCCTCTCAGATATATAAAATTGGCAAATTTCTACTAAGACTAATAAGGGAAAAACAGAGAAACCAAAACTAACCACTATTAGGAATTAAAATGGGTTCACAATACAAATGCTTTAGAAGCTCAAAAACTCCCTTTATTTCACAATAACGTTTTAAGTAATAAAACAGGGCCGGGCGTAGTGGCTCACACCTGTAATTCCAGCACTTTGGGAGGCTGAGGTGAGTGGATTACCTGAGGTCAGGAGTTTGAGACTAGCCTGGCCAACATGGTGAACCCCCGTCTCTACTAAAAATACAAAAATTAGCCAGGCATGGTGGTGGGCACCTGTAATCCCAGCTACTCAGGAGGCTGAGGCAGGAGAATCACTTGAACCCAGGAGATGGAGGTTGTAGTGAGCTGAGACTGCGCCATTGCACTCCAGTCTGGGTGACAGAGTGAGACTCAGCCTTGAAAAAAAAAAAAAAGTGATAAAACAATGCTATGAAAACTTAAAATAAATGTGAAAACCTAAGATCAACAGGACAATTTTCTAAAATTATAAATATCCAAAAAAGAGTTAAGAAGGGATAGAAAATTGGGATAACCCATTGCCAAGAAAGAAACATATTTGGAAGTCTCAAACTTTCCCCCTGAAAAAGACACTAATCCTAGACAGTTTATAGGAGTTACTGACAAAAATTTAAGGAACAGGCCGGGTGTGGTGGCTCACACCTGTAATCCCAGCACTTTGGGAGGCCGAGGCAGGAGGATCACGAGGTCAAGAGATCAAGACCATCCTGGCCAACATGGCAAAACCCCATCTCTACTAAAAATACAAAAATTAGCTGGGTGTGGTGGTGCGCGCCTGTAGTTCCAGCTATTTGGGAGTCTGAGGCAGGAGAATCGCTTGAACCCAGGAGGCAGAGGTTGCAGTGAGCCGAGATCATGCCACTGCACTCCAGCCTGGCAACAGAACAAGACTCCACCTCAAAAAAAAAAAAAAAAAAAAAAAAAATTAAATGAACAAAAAAATCACCATACTATACAGTGTTTTAAACAACAGAATAAAAGTTGCAAAATTCATTTTATAAGAATAAACTTCATATATAACTAAATAGGAAAAAGAACAAGAAAATAAAATTATAGGGTAATTTCAATTAATAATACTGATTTAGGTGGGGTGCGGTGGCTCAGGCCTGTAATCCCAGCACTGTGGGAGGCCGAGGCAGGCAGTCAGTTGAGCTCAGGAATTCAAGACCAGCCTGGCCAACATGGTGAAACCCCATCTCTACTAAAAATACAAAAAAATGAGCCAGGCGTGGTGGCAGATGCCTGCAATCCTAGCTACTTGGGAGGCTGAGGCCAGAGAATCGCTTGAACCTGGGAGGCGGAGGTTGCAGTGAGATCTGGCCACTATACTCCAGCCTGGTCGACAGAGACTCCACTTCAAAAAAAAGAAAAGAAATTGATTTAAAAATTCTAAATAAAGCATAAACTATGTCAATTCATCATAGAAAATAATATATGCTTTTCTGTGGAGCATGTTTCAAAAAAAACAAAAATTTTTAAATTAAAAAAAAAGAAAATAGGCTGGGCATGGTGGCTCACGCCTGTAATCCCAATACTTTGGGAGGTTAAGGCTGGAGGATTGCTTGAGGCCAGGAGTTTGAGACCAGCCTGGGCAACACAGCGAGTCCTCGGGAGGCAGAGGTTACAGGTGAGCCGAGATCGTGCCATTGTACTCAAGCCTGGGCGACAGAGTGAGTCTCCGTCTCAAAACAAAACAAAACAACATCAACAACAACCACAACAAAAAAATTTTGCATAGGATATTAGCATTGGAAAGGAAGAGATAAAACTGCCATTTTTAAAAGATAGTCTCATTTCTTTTTTTTTTTTGAGACAAAGTCTCGCTCTGTTGCTTAGGCTGGAGTGCAGTGGCGCAATCTTGGCTCACTGCAACCTCCGCTTCCTGGGTTCAAGTGATTCTCCTGTCTTAGCCTCGCGAGTAGCTGGGATTACAGGCACGCACCACCACGTCTGGCTCATTTTTATATTTTTAGTAGAGACGGGGTTTCACCATATTGGTCAGGCTGGTCTTGAACTCCTGACCTCAGGTAATCCACCCACCTAGGCCTCCCAAAGTGCTGGGATTACAGGCGTGAGCTACCGTGCCCGGCCTAGAATAAATAATTTCTAAATTCAAGACCAAATAAATTTTTTTTTTTTTGAGACAGGGTCTTGCTCTGTCACCCTGGCTGGAGTGCAGTGGTACCATCTCAGCTCACTGCAACCTCCACCTCCCGGGTTCCAGTTCTCCTGCCCCAGCCTCCCAAGTAGCTGGGACTACAGGTGCATGCCACCACCCACAGCTAATTTTTGTTTTTTAGCAGAGACTGGGTTTCACCATGTTGGCCAGGCTGGTCTCGAACTCCTGACCTCATGTGATCCACCCGCCTTGGCCTCCCAAAGTGCTGGGATTACAGGCGTGAGCCACCATGCTTGGGCCAAATACCAAAATTTAGACACTAGTGATGATGATAAATAATAGCGATAGTAGAAGAAGGTGCAGTATAAAAATGGTTAAGAACAAATACAGCCAACAGAGCTGGGAACCACTGACAATTAAGAACTCACATAGAAATTAGTAGGAAGGGGCTGGGCATAGTGGCTCACGCTTGTAATCCCAGCACTTTGGGAGGCCGAGGCAGGAGGATTGCTTGACCTCAGGAGTTCAAGATCAGCCTGGGCAACTCTGTCTCTATTTTAAAAAAATTAATTGATAAAAAATTAGTAGGAAGAGATAGGGTGACATTAAGATTTAGAAATCAAGGCCGGGCGCGGTGGCTCATGCCTGTAATCCCAGCACTTTGGGAGGCCGAGGTGGGTGGGTCATGAGGTCAGGAGATCGAGACCATCCTGGCTAACACTGTGAAACCCCGTCTCTACTAAAAATACAAAAAATTAGCCTGGCGTGGTGGCGGGTGCCTGTAGTCCCAGCTACTTGGGAGGCTGAGGCAGGAGAATGGCGTGAACCTGGGAGGTGGAGCTTGCAGTGAGCAGAGATTGCACCACTGTACTCCAGCCTGGGGGACAGAGTGAGACTCTGTCTCAAAAAAAAAAAAAAAAAAGATTTAGAAATCATATGATAAAAACTATTACAGCCCTATTAGAGACCGCCTAGACCTTAAGATCTTTGTTTAAGGCCGGGTGCTGTGGCTCATGCCTGTAATCCCAGCACTTTGGGAGGCCGAGGCGGGCGGATCACGAGGTCAGGAGATTGAGACCATCCTGGCTAACACGGTGAAACCCCGTCTCTACTAAAAATACAAAAAAAAAAAATATATATATATATATATATATATATATATATATATATATATTAGCCAGGTGTGGTGGCGGGCACCTGTAGTCCCAGTTACTGGGGAGGCTCAGGCAGGAGAATGGCGTGAACCCGGGAGGCGGAGCTTGCAGTGAGTCGAGATGGCGCCACTGCACTCCAGCCTGGGCAACAGAGTGAGACTCCGTCTCCAAAAAAAAAAAAAAAATAGATCTTTGTTTAAATCTTAAAAATGAAAAACAATTTTGTTAGTATTTTTCTTTTCTTTTTTTCTTTTTTTGAGATGGACTCTCGCTCTGTCACCCAGGCTGGAGTGCAGTGGCACCATCTCAGCTCACTGCAACCTCCACCCCCCGGCTTCAAGCAATTATCTTGCCTCAGCCTTCTGAGTAGCTGGGATTACAGGTGCGCACCACCACGCTTGGCCACTTTTTGTATTTTTAGTAGAGACGGGGTTTCACCATGTTGGTCAGGCTAGTCGCGAACTCCTGACCTTGTGATCCACCTGCCTTGGCCTCCCAAAGTACTGGGATTACAGGCATAAGCCACCGTGCCCGTCCTTAGTATTTTTCAAAGCTTTCAAAATGAGACTTCTGTTTTTTAGCTGCTTAAAACAACCACTATTTTATCTCATAATTTTGTGTATCAGGAATTTGGATGGGGCTAAGGTTGGCAATTTTTCTTCTCCACGTGATGTAAGCTGAAGTCACCAGGTAGAACTCATCTGGTGAGGCCTGGTGCAGCCGAATAATAACTTTTTAATTCCAAAGAATATTTGAAAAGAGACAAAAACTGGGCGCAGTGACTCACATCTGTAATCCCAGCACTTTGGGAGGCCGAGGCAGACAGATCACTGAAGGTCAGGAGTTCGAGACCAGCCTGGCCAACATGGTGAAACCCTGTCTCTACTAAAAATACAAAAACTAGCCGGGCGTGGTGGCAGGCACCTGTAATCCCAGCTACTCAGGAGGCTGAGGCAAGAGAATTGCTTGAACCCGGGAGGCAGAGGTTGCAGTGAGCCGAGATCGCGTCACTGCACTCCAGCCTGGGTGACAGAGCAAGACTCCATCTCAAAAAGAAAAGAAAAGAGACAAAAGAACACAAAACAGGTGGGTAAGTAGAAAACAAGTACTAATATAGTAGATGTAAACCAAATATATAAGTAATTACATTCAATGTAGATGGTGTGATGGCTGGAGGATTGCTTGAGCCCAGGAGTTCGAGGCTGCAGTGAGCTACGATCGTGCCACTGCACTTGAGTCCAGGAGACAGAGTGAGATCCTGTCTCTAAATAATAATAATGATAATAAAGTAAAATAAAAATGAGCATAAAGATTGGATAGGAAGACGTAAAACTGTCATTCTTTACAGGCACCATGACTGTGAATGAAGAAAACATAAAGGAGTCCACAGATAAACCAAATTAATTACAAATTGATCAAGGTTGTAGGATTTAAGGTTAATAATATGAAAAACAATGTCTATATATATCAGTGCATAAATTTAGAAAATAAAAAAGTTAAATGATACTACTTATCATAGAATAAGAAATAATAAATATCCAGGAGAAAAATTTTTTAAATGTGCAAGACCGCTATATAGGAAGCTACAAAAAAAAGTACTGAAAAAAATTAAGGACAACATAAATAAATGGAGGGATATACCGTGGCCATGGATTAGAAGACTCAATATCATAAAGATGTCAGTTCTCCTAAAATTCATCTAATGATTCTAACAATGTAATCTGAATGAAAAGATATTCAAAATGAAAATCAAAGCACATGGAGATGAAAAGTTTTAACATTCTAAATAAACCAGATCTAGGTAATAAAGGAAATCAAAACCCACATCTCAGACTATTTAAAAAATGCAAAAGTGAGATCACTATCCATTAAAACCTGTGGGATTTGCCAAAACCGTACTCAAAAGAAAATGTAACAGCGGCCGGGTGCGGTGGCTCTTGCCTGTAATCCCAGCACTTTGGGAAGCTGAGGCACGTGTATCACTGAAGGTCAGGAGTTTGAGACCAACCTGGCCAACATGGTGGAATTCCTTCTCTATTAAAAATACAAAAATTAGCTGGGTATGGTGGTGGGTGCCTTTAATCCCAGCTACTCGGGAGGCTGAGGCAGGAGAATTGCTTGAACCCAGGAGGTGGAAGTTGCAGTGAGCCAAGATGGCGCCACTACACTCCAGCCTGGGCGACAGAGAGACTCTGTCTCAAAAAAAAAGAAAAAAAAAAGAAGTAAACCCAACCAATATTTGAGAGGGGATAAGCAAAGAAATTAATTAGTTAGAAAGCAAGATGTGAGCAAGGGCCTGGTGACATGCATGTGTGATCACAGCTACTTGGGAGGCTGAGGTGGGAGGATCACTTGAACCCACGAGTTCGAGTCCAGCCTGGGCAACGTAGTGAGATCCCAACTCAAAAAAAGTAAATAAAACAAGAAAGCAAAATACACAGATGTCCCACACCAGGTGAACAGCCATCCAAGGAAATGCACACTACTCAGCAATAAACAGGAAGAAACTGTTGATACATTCAACAACTTGGATGAATCTCAAGGGCATTATTTCTAGTTAAAAAAAGCCAGTTAATCTCAAAGGGTTCCACATTATATGATTCCATTTATAGAATATTATCTAAGACAAATTACAGTGATAGAGACCAGATTAGTGGTTGCCGGGAGTTAAGGCTAGGGTGTTAACAATTAGGAGCAACACAGGGATCTTCTTTGTGGTGATGGAACAGTTCTGTATCCTGATTTGGTGATGGTTATTCAAATCTACACGTGATAAAATTTCAAAGAACCATGTACACATACACCTATACATGACTGCATGTAGAAACCAGTGAAATCCAAACAAGGTTAGTAATTTAATTACTGTCAACTTCCTGATTTTGACAATGTACTATGGTTATGTAAGATATTGAGTAACCTGGATGAGTAACTTTACCATTTTTGCAACTTCTGTGTGTCTTAAACTACCTCAAAATAAAGCTTAATACTTTTTTAAAAAAGAAAAAAAAAGACATAAATGGAATATTAGGAAACTAAAACTGCAACATATATAATAGAAAGAAATACTGTCCAAATCATATAAAGCCCCTATAAATCAATAAGAAAGTGATAAATGACCCAATCAATAAATGGACAAAGCCCAGGCACAGTGGCTTAGGCCTGTAATGTCAGCGTTTTGGGAGGCTGAGGCTAGAGGATCACTTAAGGCCAAGAGTTCAAGACCAGCCTGGGACCCATAGTGAGACCCTGTCTCTATAATAAAAGAAAATGAGCCGGGCGTGGTGGTGTGCACCTGCAGTCCTAGCTACTTGGGAGGCTGAGGTGGGAGGATTGCTTAAATCCAGGAGTTGAAGGTTGTAGTGAGCCATTATTGCACCACTGCACTCCAGACCAGGTGACAGAGCAAGACCCTGTTTCTTTTTTTTTTTCAGATGGAGTTTTGCTCTTGTTGCCCAGGCTGGAGTGCAATGGCACGATCTTGGCTCACCGCAACTTCCGCCTCCCGGGTTCAAGCAATTCTCCTGCCTCAGCCTCCCAAGTAGCTAGGATTACAGGCATGTGCCACCACACGTGGCTAATTTTGTAATTTTTTTAGTAGAGACGGGGTTTCTCCATGTTGGTCAGGCTGTTCTGGAACTCCTGACCTCAGGTGATCCGCCCGCCTCGGCCTCCGAAAGTGTTGGGATTACAGGCGTGAGCCACTGTGCCTGGCCAAGACCCTGTTTCTTTTAAAAAAAAAAAAAAGATGTGGCAGACACTAGGAATTTTTATTTTTTATTATTTATTTATTTATTTATTTATTTTGAGACAGAGTCTCACTCTGTTGCCCAGGCTGGAGTGCAGTGGTGCAATCTTGGCAAGCTCCGCCTCCCGGATTCTCGCCATTATCCTGCCACAGCCTCCCGAGTAGCTGGGACCACAGGCGCCTGCTGCCACGCCCGGCTAATTTTTTTGTATTTTTAGTAGAGACGGGGTTTCACCGTGTTAGCCAGGATGGTCTCAATCTCCTGACTTTGTGATCTGCCCACCTCGGCCTCCCAAAGTGCTGGGATTACAGGCGTGAGCCACTGCGCCTGGCCAGACTAGGAATTTTTAAATAAGCATAACAAACATACTGAAATCTGTGGATTCTAAATTCTAAGAGTTAAAAGCACATAGTTGTGGTTTTTATTTTTATTTATTTTGAGATAGCATCTTGCTCTGTTGCCCAGGTTGGAATGCAGTGGCGTGATCACGGCTCACTGCTGCTTCAACCTCCTGGGCTCAAGCAATACTCCTGCCTCAGCCTCCTAAACAGCTGGGACCAGAGATGCGTGCCACCACAATCAGCTACTTTTTTATTTTTCACAGAGACAAGGTCTATGTTGCCTAGGCTGGTGTTGAACTTCTGGGCTCAAGCCATCCTCCCACCTCAGCCTCCCAAAGTGCTAGGATTACAGGTGTGAGCCACCATGCCGGCCAGTTGTCATTTTAAAGTGCTAATATTTGCAACATGATGGAGATTACATCTCCTGTAACTATTTATGACTAAAAGTTTAAATGTCAGTTTAATTCTTATTTATTTTAGTTTTAGAGACAGGGGTCTTGCTGTGTTGCCCAGGCTGGTTTCAAATACCTGGTCTCAAGCAATTCTCCTTCCTCAGCCTCTGGAGTAGCTGGGAGTATAAGGGTGTGCCACTGTGCCTGGCTAAATGTCTATTTTAAATGTGTGTAAAGTGGCACATAACTGTTCAACATCATTTTAGAGGTTATCTGAGCACGAAGAAAATCATTAATCCCAAAGGCTCTGCACTGTGCTGGCTGCCTCATCCTCACCATCTCCTGAAAATGGCCTCTCAGTGGCTGAAGCTCTCCAATGCGAATGTTCTAGACACAAATGATGTGGTGACACTCACATCAGCATCAAACAGCTCCATCTGGTTGTCCACCCTGCTTCCTGCTTAACCATTTCCTGCTGACTTCTGAGTGAGTGACACATAAACTAACTACAAAGTTGAACTGGGCTGCTCCTGAGACTTGTGGTTGTGGTGCTGCTGTGCTGTGCTACATTAAGAATGTTGGGCTGGGCGCAAGGGCTCATGCCTGTCATCCCAGCACTTTGGGAGGCCGAGGTAGAAGGATAGCTTGAGCCCAGGAGTTTGAGCCCAGCCTGGGCAATATCGTGAGACCTCATCTATATATATATATATATAAATATACGTAATTGGCAGTTCATATTAAAACAAAGTTTTTGAGAGTCTGGAATTCTGGAGTTAGTCAGACCTGGGTTCAAATCCTAGCTATATTATCACGTATGAAGTCTTCTTGCCAATAACTTTTAGCCTTAGGCTAATAACGATCCCCCGCCGGACTTTTTTTTTTTTTTTTGAGACGGAATTTCATTCTTGTTGCCCAGGTTGGAGTGCAATGGTGTGATCTCGGCTCACTGAAACCTCTGCCTCCTGGGTTCAAATGATTCTCCTGCCTCAGCCTCCCAAGTAGCGGGAACCCAAGTAGCGGGAATTACAGGCGCCTGCTGCCACGTCTGGCTAATTTTTGTATTTTTAGTAGAGATGGGGTTTCCCTATATTGACCAGGCTGCTCTCAAACTCCTGACCTCAGGTGATCTGCCTGCCTCACCCTCCCAAAGTGCTGGGATTACAGGCGTGAACCTCCAAGCAGGGCCTAATAAAGCCTTTTGACCTAACTTCCAGTGTAGAGTACAGGGGTCAGGAAAACAAGTTCATTGACACTGTGAATAAACAATTAGGCAAATGTAGAATGTGGGACATTCTACAAGAAAACTGGCCTGTACTTCAAAGTCAATGTCGTGGGGAAAAGAAGTGGAGGAGCTTTACTAAGAGTCTAAAGCAACATAATAAACGCAATGCATGTGATTAATTAGATACTGCACAAAAAAATAAATCCAAAAAACTATGAGACATTTTTGAAACAATTGGAAAAACAGGAATATGGACTGGATATTAGGTTATATTAGAGAATTATTGTTAGTTTTCCTAGGGATAAATGTGGTATTGTGGTGATATTAACAGAGTGTCCTAATTTTTAGGAGCTGAAACGTTTAGGGGTGATGGGTTATGATATCTATCACTCACTTTCAAATGATCCATAAAAAAGCATAAGCCTCATACACCCACAGAGGGGGTGTCTGCCACATTTGCCATGAAGCAAATATGGCAAAATGGAAACAGCTGTTGAATCCTAGCTGGTGGGTGAACACTAGGAATCCTTCCATTATTCTGTATGTTGAAAACATTCATAGTAAAAAGCTAGGCTAAAAACGTTCTGCTGTGCAGTTGTGCTGTGCGACCTTGGGCAGTTTCCTTGCCTCCCAGGCCTTCATTTCATCACCTATGAAAAGGGTTAAAAATACCAACCCCGGTGGGGCGGTGGCTCACGCCTGTAATCTGAGCATTTTGGGAGGCCAAGGCGGGTGGATGGCTTGAGCCCAGGGGTTCAAGACCAGCCCGGGTAACATACCGAGAACCCATCTCTACAAAAAATTAAAAAATTAGCCTGGCGTAGTGGTGCCTGCCTTGAGTCCCAGCTACTCGGGAGGCTGAGGTGGGAGGATCGCTTGAGCTCGGATAGTTGAGGCTGCAGTGAGCTATCATGGAGCCACCAGACTGGGCAACAGAGCAAGACCCTGTCTCAAAACAAAAAACAAAAAACTCAAACAGCCTCACATGATCCAGGCGCCCAGAGGCTGTGGGTGCTGCAGCCTTAATTATTATTATGACCACCTTCGGCACGGCGTCTGGTACACAGTGAGTGCTGAGCTCCCCGAGCCGCGGTTTCTCCACCCTAATGGTGAACAGCCTTTTGGAAGTCGCGCTAACCTTGGCCTGAGACCTGCAAACTTGCCCAGGCTGGGGCGTGTGAACCGGCGAGCGCGCAGCGGAAACGGGGCGGGGCACCTGAGGCTGGGAATGCAGAGGAGCCTTCCGGGGGGCGGGGCGGGGCCTCCCGTGCAGACCAATGGTGGAGTAGATGCAGATGTCAAAACGCGCGCTCAAGTGGCTTCCGCCAGGAATCCCGACGCTTAGGGAGGCGGAGGGAGGATCGCTTGAGACCAGCCTGGGCAAACAAGCGAGACCCTCGTCTGTTTACTTAAATAAAACCAAAAAAACGAGCACCGAGGGAAAAAGGAGTGAATCCCGGGGCTAGCAGCAGCCTGCGGCGGGCGCTCTCCCGGGAGTGGCTGCACCGCCCGACCTCCCCGGAGGCGGAACCGCCCGCATTGCCGCGTGGCCCTGGGCGCCGCCACCTCCTCCGCAGCGGGGCAAAGTTGCCGGACCTGGGGGCAGGAGGGCCACGCCGAGATGACTCAGGTTTAGCGCGGGAGGGGAGGATGGCGACTTCACCCGGCCTTTAACAACACGTACGCATCTTTCGGCGTCTTCTACAATGGCTATGTTAATTACGTGGCCAGGAACTAAACTATCAATGAAGCCACCTCTGACTACTTCAGTTACAGTGAGTTTAACAGGAGCAAAAAAGCACGTGGCGCCCTAGGGCAACCGAAACGAGGGTTTTAGACGCTGATTATGGGAAATTGAAATCTGAGTTGAGTATGAGATGACACCAATAAATTATAATTTTGTTAGATAATAGCTTTATCAGCCATAAAGTAATCAATAAAAATACCAGTTTCCTGGAGATGGATGCTTTAGTGTGTTTGGGGTGAAAATGGCGATGAATGGCGAGTTGCTTTAAACAAATCATGGTACACCAAAGTTTTAGTTGTGGCTTTGTGTAAGGAATGTGATGGGCACTTATTCCTGCAACACGAGAATACTATGATTTACAAGTCCGTAGTACTTTTAAGAAATGAGAGAAACAGACCTAGGTGGGGAGGGTACCTGTCCCACCCCACCCTCTTTAAAGTATCTTATCTAGAAAAGGCTTTGTGAAAAAAAAAGTCCCGGGTCTCTCTCAATAACAGCCCTGAGCGCAGCTGTTGAAGCTTTCTCAGGTTAATGATTTCTTTCTTGGATCTTAAAGTTTCTTTCTCTTCCTTTATTTTTGGCATTTTGCCCGTTGCAGGGCCTGGCAAATCAGAAAGCCACATAGAAAATTAAATGAAAGCTATTGCTAAGTTCCAGTCTCTACACCAGTGGAGTTTTCAAACTCCTCTTCAGCATATTTGACGCCCAATGAGTAGTACATTAATTCCTAGTCCTAAAATCATTCTGTGAACTTTCTCCCAGGAATTTTTGCTCAGTTTGCAATTAAAACAACTTTTTTTCTTCTCTTTTTAATGGCAGAGGCGGGGTCTCACTATGTTGCCCAGGATGGTCTCCAGCTCCTGGCCTCAAACAATCCTCCTGCCTTGGCCTCCCAAAGTGCTGGGATTACAGGCGTGAGCCACCGCGCCCAGCCACAGTTTGCAATTCTTAAGGCAAGGGTGACAATAGGGGTCAGGGGTCTGACAGGAGACAGGATTTCTGTGGAAAACTGCACCAAGGGCCTTCTCGCCATGTCCCGTAGTTTGAAGGTTTACAAAGGACTGCACATTTTACATGAGTCATCTCAACGAACGCTCTCCTCACCGCATTAACAGTCCACGCGGTTACGAGTCCCATTTTACTCACGGGGACACCGAATCTGTAAGAAGCCTGGTCGCTTGTCCCAGCAAAACGAGCCACGGGGCTCAGCGGCCCTAACTTTTAGGCTGTAGGGTCCTCGCCGACCACCCCGCCAAAATGTCAGGCCTCGGGGCCCTTGCACCCCCACCGCAGGGACACGGATCGAAAGGGTCGCAGCAACGCCTCCCCCGCACCCAGGAGCGTTTTCCAGGCCTTTGCACCAACCTCGTTGGCTAAGCCCCCTGCCCGGCGGCGGCCCGGCTGGGAGGAGGTGCTTTCGGGAGGCGGGGCCGCGGCCCGGGGATCCTCTCGCGCCCGCGGGCTCCAATCGCTGCTCCTCACGCAATCCTAAACGGTTCCCGGGCGAACCGGGGCCCGCGCGCGCCAAGGCCGCCGAGACCCTCAGGGGCTGCGGCCCTGGTCCCGCGGGACCTGTGGGGGCCTGGGCGGCGGCGCCCCCGACCCAGCCAGCGGACGGGCCGGGGGGGGAACCGGGAGGTCCCGGGGGGCGTCCACGGGGGTGTCCCCGGGGGTCTCCGGAAGGCGCCGGCGGAGGCTCCCGCGCTGCGCTTGAAAATCGCGCGCGGCCCCGCGGCCAGCCTGGGTAGGGGCAAGGCGCAGCCAATGGGAAGGGTCGGAGGCATGGCACAGCCAATGGGAAGGGCCGGGGCACCAAAGCCAATGGGAAGGGCCGGGAGCGCGCGGCGCGGGAGATTTAAAGGCTGCTGGAGTGAGGGGTCGCCCGTGCACCCTGTCCCAGCCGTCCTGTCCTGGCTGCTCGCTCTGCTTCGCTGCGCCTCCACTATGCTCTCCCTCCGTGTCCCGCTCGCGCCCATCACGGACCCGCAGCAGCTGCAGCTCTCGCCGCTGAAGGGGCTCAGCTTGGTCGACAAGGAGAACACGGTGAGCCCGCGGGGAGGGCGCTGCGGGCAGGGGAGGGAGGCAGGGAAAGCGAAGCCGCTCCTCACTCACACGCGTCTCCCCGCAGCCGCCGGCCCTGAGCGGGACCCGCGTCCTGGCCAGCAAGACCGCGAGGAGGATCTTCCAGGAGCCCACGGAGCCGGTGAGTGGCGGGCGTGGGGCAGAGGGGCCAGGGACGGCCTTGGGCGTCTTGGCGCCAAAGCCGCATTGTTTCCTCAGCTGTTCACACTCCCGCCCCGGCTCCTTTCCCGCCTAGGCGGCCCCTCCCCAGGGCTGCCTCCCGCGCCCCTCGGCCCATTTCCCGGTTCGGGCGTGCGCTCCTCTGCTGCGACCCACGGAGTGCGACGGGACAGCCACGTTTTCACATCGGGCCCCGTGAAATTGCCGCCAATGGAAAGGACTTGGTCCAGAAAAACGTTAGTTTCATATGGTTCGCCCGGTACTTAAATGTTTTATTTTCTCCCCCAACAGAAAACTAAAGCAGCTGCCCCCGGCGTGGAGGATGAGCCGCTGCTGAGAGAAAACCCCCGCCGCTTTGTCATCTTCCCCATCGAGTACCATGATATCTGGCAGATGTATAAGAAGGCAGAGGCTTCCTTTTGGACCGCCGAGGAGGTAATCGGAGGACCCCAGAAGACCCCTGCAGGGGTGACCGTCACGCCTCAGACATAAATGCACTTGGAGGTTCCCGTTGGCAAGGGGGGCTAACTGTGGGGCATAGTAAGTGGTGCCAGCATACTTAAAGTTTGAGTGCTCAGTGTGAGTCCTGTAGGCTTTACTCTCTTCCTTTTATGCTAAAATTGTGACTTCCGAACCTCAGGTGGACCTCTCCAAGGACATTCAGCACTGGGAATCCCTGAAACCCGAGGAGAGATATTTTATATCCCATGTTCTGGCTTTCTTTGCAGCAAGCGATGGCATAGTAAATGAAAACTTGGTGAGTTTCCAAAACATCTTTCATTCATTTGACGTTGACGATCTGAGGTCGAACTAGTTCGCTTTCCTCGTCTTGTATGTTTTTCCATGCTGAGTGCATCTGTGTGTGTAAGCTGGGTTTTATATTACATGGCATTTCCTGTTTTGTAACACTTTGCAGTTCTTTCTTATGGTATTTTCCCGACTCTAGAGAAGCTGAGACAATATTAAGTGGTAGCAATGTGATGACTCTTTGTGGCCACCACATCTGCCCCCTCTTTTTTTTTTTTTTTTTGAGACAGAGTCTCACTCTGGCCCAGGCTGGAGTGCAGTGGTGTGATCTTGGCTCACTGCAACCTCCGCCTCCTGGGTTCAAGCGATTCCCCAACCTCAGCCTCATGAGTACCTGGGATTACAGACGTGCGCCACCATGCCTAGCTAATATCTGTATTTTTAGTAGAGACAGGGTTTTACCATGTTGGCCAGGCTGGTCTCGAACTGCTGACCTCAGGTGATCCACCCACCTTGGCCTCCCAAAGTGTTGGGATTACAGGCGTGAGCCACCACGCCCGGCTCTGCTCCCTCCTTTTTGTGGCTTTGCTGTTTTAATAATAATTTGGTTGTATCTCTTATTGCGAATGGATCTTTCTTGACATAAATTAATTAGGAAATCGAGCGCTCACAAATCCTATTTTATATGTATCTATTTCCTGATATGTAAGTTGAGCATATGACATAAAATATCAAAGAATTGTGACAAATTGGATGAAATATATATAGAAATAAACCTTATAATGGTACAAAGAGTGCGATGCTGCCAGTATCCGTTGACAGTTGCTGCTGTTGGTTTTTTCTCAAGCTTAACTTTGATGTGTTTTGCCACTAGGTGGAGCGATTTAGCCAAGAAGTTCAGATTACAGAAGCCCGCTGTTTCTATGGCTTCCAAATTGCCATGGAAAACATACATTCTGAAATGTATAGTCTTCTTATTGACACTTACATAAAAGATCCCAAAGAAAGGTGAGTATTCAAGTGGTATGCCAAGATTTTTAGGACTCACTAATTGTTGATTTATTACACATTTTTAGTTCACCTAGGGATAAAAATGACTCCAGAATGACTAAGACAGTCATAGGCATTCCCAGCACCCGTGGTCATGTCTGCTCTTAGCAAGGGGCCTAAATGCACTTTATTATTCACTTAGAGTTGTGAAGGTACTCCTTTTAAAGTTGGATGTCTACCAATGTAAAACCTTCTTTTGAAAAAATTCCTAGATGTTGGGTAAGACAAACTAAAACCTATGTCTGACCATCTTTGCTCATTTGGTAAAGTTGTTGAGAAGCTAGAATGTGGGGCTGCAGTGGGATGGACGGGGAGGACTTGCCTCCTAAGAAGCCTGCAGTATAGTATAGGCAAATAAGACTTAGTAGGAGTTACATAAGGCAGAGGCAGCAGTGAACCCTGAGACTGATTTAGGCATGCAGGAGTTTGGCTGAATAAAGGTAGCTTAAGGTCTGTTTTGTTTTGGAGATTGGAGGTGGGGGGATTAGAAATGGGCTGCTGGAGTAGTCTAGATACAAAGGTCAGCTTTAGGGTGGCGCGCGGTGGTTCTCGCCTGTAATCCCAGCACTTTGGGAGGCTGAAGCGGGCGGACAATGAGGTCAGGAGATCGAGACCATCCTGGCTAACACGGTGAAACCCCGTCTCTACTAAAAATAAAAAAAGTGGTGGCGGGCGCCTGTAGTCCCAGCTGCTTGGGAGGCTGAGACAGGAGAATGGCGTGAACCCGGGAGGCGGAGCTTGCGCTCCAGCCTGGGTGACAGAGCAAGACTCCGTCTCAAAAAGCAAAACCAAGCAAAAAAAACAAAGGTCAGCTTTGGGGACCAGAACCTTGTATGGAGTGGAAGTGGTGAAGCTGCAACCTAAAGTAGCCGTTGTAGACTTTGAAGTACATGAAGAGGAAAAGTGGTAACTTGAAAGGACTGAGGAAACATTGGGAGTAAAGAGATTTGAACATGTTTATAGGTGGAAATTGAGAAAAGAAGGCAAAGATTAGGGGTACGATCGGGGGCAAATGCCCAGAAGGGGAACAGGAAGGTCTGCTGGGGAAGCCTCAAAAACAAGGGAGAGGCAGACCCAGGTCTCAGAGAGAGGGACAGTGAGATGGAAAGAATGAACGACAGCTGGGCATGGTAGTCTGAGCTAGTAGTCCCAGCTACTTGGCAGGCTGAGGCAGAAGGATGGCTTGAGCCCTGGAGTTTGGTTTTACCGTGAGCTGTGATCATCTCGCTGCACTCTAGCCTGGGCAACAGAGTGAGACCCTCATCTCTTTAAAAAAAAAAAAAAAAAAAAAAAAAAAAAAGCTGCCCAATGTCTGGTGCCCTTGGCTTCAGAACACAAAGTCATCTGGGTAGGAACAGTCTGGGAAATGAGTAGCCTCTCAAGGTGGGCACCAGAATAAAGGGAGGCAGAGGAGGGTGGTAAGGGAGATCCAGTTAACTGTAGTACCCATGGATTTGCTTTCCTGACCTGGGATCGACAGTGTAGCACAGAGTCCTAGTAGGAAGCAATCTTAGTTTATTGGTTTAATTATTTTATGATATAGGTGTGGCAACTGAGGCCAAATAATGCACCTAATCATAGTCTGATAATAGCACAGCAGTTAGGATTTTATGGTTCTTCAAATTTAAATTCTATGATTCTTCAAATTGAACAATGATCTGGACTTGAAATAATTTTAAAGGCAACAAATGTCCCTGCTGTACTGGACTATGTTTTACTGTCTGTAGACCCTGAAGCTCAATATGAACTACAGAATACCCAAACTTGTATTAATGTAAATCAAGTGTTGAGGTTTTTAAAAGAACACTGGAGGGAAAAACTGACCAGTAAAAATAAAACATTTCGGTGTGAGTTCTTCCTTTAGGAAGAGGATTGGCAAATACTTGAATTTGGCCTTTGTCCCAGAGCTCTTATCTAGCAGTTGGTAATCGGAGGTCTTTTACTGTAATGCTTCAATTGCTGATACCGTATGTGCCTACTAGGGAATTTCTCTTCAATGCCATTGAAACGATGCCTTGTGTCAAGAAGAAGGCAGACTGGGCCTTGCGCTGGATTGGGGACAAAGAGGCTACCTATGGTAAGGAGACCCTTGCCCCTACTTAAACCTGAGCTTCATTTTCCAAGTAATGTTACTGGATTTTTGGCCCTTGAATACCAACTCACTAGAATCATGTTGGTGTTAACTCCTAAATAGGTGAACGTGTTGTAGCCTTTGCTGCAGTGGAAGGCATTTTCTTTTCCGGTTCTTTTGCGTCGATATTCTGGCTCAAGAAACGAGGACTGATGCCTGGCCTCACATTTTCTAATGAACTTATTAGCAGAGATGAGGTGAGTCTAAGTCAAATAATAGGGTGACCTAAACCCCAAACACAACTCGGGCATGCTCTTGTGTTCACTGACGGGGACCTGAGATGCTAGATGGCATATATCCACATTTAATGTGTGAGTTCAACCATACACATACTTGACAAAAGAAGGAAATACTTTCATTTACTGAAACTGTTTTACTTGCATTCTCAATATATTGTAATACATTTGTACATATGTATTCCCCTATAGGCTTTGAATGCATAAAACTACAAGTTCTTTGTTTTTTGAGGTGACGGAATCTTGCTCTGTCGTTCCAGGCTGGAGTGCAATGGCGTGATCTTGGCTCACTGCAACCTCTGCCTCCTAGGTTCAAGTGATTCTCCCGCCTCAGCCTCCCAAGTAGCTGGGATTGTAGGTGCCTGCCACCATGCCCAGCTAATTTTCGTCTTTTTATACAGACGGGGTTTCACCATGTTTGCCAGACTGGGGTTGAACTCCTGACCTCAGGTGATCAGGTGATCCACCCGCCTCGGCCTCCCAGAGTGCTGGGATTATAGGCATGAGCCACCATGCCCAGCCAAAACTACAAGTTATTGATGGGATTGGGATTTTAAGGGATGTTTTATTATTTTTGCCTGGTATTAATATGTTATCCCTTTTTCCGTAAAAATGTTCATAGTAGAGCCAGGAGCGGTGGCTCATGCCTGTAATCCCAGCACTTTGGTAGGCCGAGGCGGGTGGATCATGAGGTCAGGAGATTGAGACCATCCTGGCTAACACGGTGAAACCCCATCTCTACTAAAAATACAAAAAATTAGCCGGGTATGGTGGACGTGCCTATTGTCCCAGCTACTTGAGAGGCTGAGGTAGGAGAATCGCCTGAACCTGGGAGGTGGAGGTTGCAGTGAGTCAAGATCACACCACTGCACTCCAGCCTGGGTGACAGTCCCCCCGAAAAAGAATGTTCATAGTAGCCATTATGTTTCTCCTGTTTGATCTAGAAATTGCCCCTCTACTTCAATATTAATAAGCATTTCAATGAAATGAGTATACATTTTGGTCTAGTGTATGTCTTTGATTAAGTCACATTTGAAAAGCCAGGAGCATGAACTCCATCTTACTTGGAGCCCAGTGGGCAAATCAAATATGGTTACCTTGTAGGAGGGCCTTCCTTACTGGATTGGGAGATAAGCTGTGAAGCTTGATGTTTAATGCAGTAACTTGCAAACTTGATTTACTTGAAATTGCATACAAATTTCCTGAGCATCTAAAAACTAGCCTTATTACTGAGCTTTGCCTTTCCTGCTGGGAGTAGTGGCAAAATTAGCACTCATGGCTGTAGAAAGATCACTGAGTGAAGCTCTGACTCCTCCTTTGCCAACACACAGCAGAGCAAGAAATACACCTTGCCTGTCTTCATCTAGGTGGCAACTTTGAGGGTCTTGAATGGGACTGAGCTTGCCTTGGTAGTGACATCAGCAGAGAAGTCAGTAGTTGAAGTCATCTTCCCTTTGAGAGTTCAAGTGCTCTCAGTATGGCTGAGCATGTTGGATAAGGAGAATGCAGAAAAGGACAAAGTAATTTCATATTCCATGTTAATGACAGAAGTCTTCTGGCTTTAGTGATCTTGAACTTTTTTTTCTAGGGTTTACACTGTGATTTTGCTTGCCTGATGTTCAAACACCTGGTACACAAACCATCGGAGGAGAGAGTAAGAGAAATAATTATCAATGCTGTTCGGATAGAACAGGTAAAGTGGGTGATGAAATGGGTCACTCAAGCTTGCTAGAAAATGCCTGTGCTTTAGTTGTATTCAGAAGCTGTATTTTGGTTCCTAGGAGTTCCTCACTGAGGCCTTGCCTGTGAAGCTCATTGGGATGAATTGCACTCTAATGAAGCAATACATTGAGTTTGTGGCAGACAGACTTATGCTGGAACTGGGTTTTAGCAAGGTAAAGTATTGTTTACATAGCCTTTTGCTTGTTTTGAAGCTGGTGCTCTGTATTTATATCTTGATGTGAACCTTTTCAGGTTTTCAGAGTAGAGAACCCATTTGACTTTATGGAGAATATTTCACTGGAAGGAAAGACTAACTTCTTTGAGAAGAGAGTAGGCGAGTATCAGAGGATGGGAGTGATGTCAAGTCCAACAGAGAATTCTTTTACCTTGGATGCTGACTTCTAAATGAACTGAAGATGTGCCCTTACTTGGCTGATTTTTTTTTTCCATCTCATAAGAAAAATCAGCTGAAGTGTTACCAACTAGCCACACCATGAATTGTCCGTAATGTTCATTAACAGCATCTTTAAAACTGTGTAGCTACCTCACAACCAGTCCTGTCTGTTTATAGTGCTGGTAGTATCACCTTTTGCCAGAAGGCCTGGCTGGCTGTGACTTACCATAGCAGTGACAATGGCAGTCTTGGCTTTAAAGTGAGGGGTGACCCTTTAGTGAGCTTAGCACAGCGGGATTAAACAGTCCTTTAACCAGCACAGCCAGTTAAAAGATGCAGCCTCACTGCTTCAACGCAGATTTTAATGTTTACTTAAATATAAACCTGGCACTTTACAAACAAATAAACATTGTTTGTACTCACAAGGCGATAATAGCTTGATTTATTTGGTTTCTACACCAAATACATTCTCCTGACCACTAATGGGAGCCAATTCACAATTCACTAAGTGACTAAAGTAAGTTAAACTTGTGTAGACTAAGCATGTAATTTTTAAGTTTTATTTTAATGAATTAAAATATTTGTTAACCAACTTTAAAGTCAGTCCTGTGTATACCTAGATATTAGTCAGTTGGTGCCAGATAGAAGACAGGTTGTGTTTTTATCCTGTGGCTTGTGTAGTGTCCTGGGATTCTCTGCCCCCTCTGAGTAGAGTGTTGTGGGATAAAGGAATCTCTCAGGGCAAGGAGCTTCTTAAGTTAAATCACTAGAAATTTAGGGGTGATCTGGGCCTTCATATGTGTGAGAAGCCGTTTCATTTTATTTCTCACTGTATTTTCCTCAACGTCTGGTTGATGAGAAAAAATTCTTGAAGAGTTTTCATATGTGGGAGCTAAGGTAGTATTGTAAAATTTCAAGTCATCCTTAAACAAAATGATCCACCTAAGATCTTGCCCCTGTTAAGTGGTGAAATCAACTAGAGGTGGTTCCTACAAGTTGTTCATTCTAGTTTTGTTTGGTGTAAGTAGGTTGTGTGAGTTAATTCATTTATATTTACTATGTCTGTTAAATCAGAAATTTTTTATTATCTATGTTCTTCTAGATTTTACCTGTAGTTCATACTTCAGTCACCCAGTGTCTTATTCTGGCATTGTCTAAATCTGAGCATTGTCTAGGGGGATCTTAAACTTTAGTAGGAAACCATGAGCTGTTAATACAGTTTCCATTCAAATATTAATTTCAGAATGAAACATAATTTTTTTTTTTTTTTTTGAGATGGAGTCTCGCTCTGTTGCCCAGGCTGGAGTGCAGTGGCGCGATTTTGGCTCACTGTAACCTCCATCTCCTGGGTTCAAGCAATTCTCCTGTCTCAGCCTCCCTAGTAGCTGGGACTGCAGGTATGTGCTACCACACCTGGCTAATTTTTGTATTTTTAGTAGAGATGGAGTTTCACCATATTGGTCAGGCTGGTCTTGAACTCCTGACCTCAGGTGATCCACCCACCTCGGCCTCCCAAAGTGCTGGGATTGCAGGCGTGATAAACAAATATTCTTAATAGGGCTACTTTGAATTAATCTGCCTTTATGTTTGGGAGAAGAAAGCTGAGACATTGCATGAAAGATGATGAGAGATAAATGTTGATCTTTTGGCCCCATTTGTTAATTGTATTCAGTATTTGAACGTCGTCCTGTTTATTGTTAGTTTTCTTCATCATTTATTGTATAGACAATTTTTAAATCTCTGTAATATGATACATTTTCCTATCTTTTAAGTTATTGTTACCTAAAGTTAATCCAGATTATATGGTCCTTATATGTGTACAACATTAAAATGAAAGGCTTTGTCTTGCATTGTGAGGTACAGGCGGAAGTTGGAATCAGGTTTTAGGATTCTGTCTCTCATTAGCTGAATAATGTGAGGATTAACTTCTGCCAGCTCAGACCATTTCCTAATCAGTTGAAAGGGAAACAAGTATTTCAGTCTCAAAATTGAATAATGCACAAGTCTTAAGTGATTAAAATAAAACTGTTCTTATGTCAGTTTCTTGATTGGTAAAATTTGCATTTTAATTCAGGAAGAGAAATATTTTTTGGCCAGGCATGGCTGTAATCCCAGCACTTTGGGAGACCAAGGTAGGCAGATCACCTGAGCTCAGGAGTTCGAGATCAGCCTGGCCAACATGGTGACACCCCATCTCTACTAAAAATACAAAAATTAGCCTGGCATGGTGGCACACGCCTGTAATCCCAGCTACTCGTGAGGCTGAGGCAGGAGAATCACTTGAACCCGGGAGGCAGAGGTTGCAGTGAGCTGAGATTGCACCGCTGCACTCCAGCCTGGGCAGCAGAGTGAGACTGTCTGAAAAAAAAAGGTGTTTTTTGTAAAGGCTAACGAATTCATTTGCTTTCCACTGGTTCTGGGCAAGAGACTTGCCTTGTGCCTATTGGCACAAGGTGTATAGGAGACAGGTACACCCGAAAGGTGGTGCCCAAAAATACTAACTGCCATACTGCACGTGGGGTTTGTGAAGCCGGGGCTGAGTTAACTTCTCAACCGTGGGGGAGCCACTCCTGGGGCTCTTTTCCCGTTTGCAAAACAGGTGGGGCTAGAGGTCTTCCCAGCTGGAGTTTTGCTCTGCTGTCCCACATCTGACCTGTGTGGACTCCAGCACAGGTTTGGATTGGTCCCTGTGTCTATAAAGGCCCTTTCCTGACTCGGAATCCCACCCACTTTGATAAAGCCTTTTAGAATTCATGACACCCATCCCCAAACGAACCAATCATTCCTTGTACCTCACGCCACTGCCATTCAGTTCATTGAACAAACAGCAGCTCTCTTGTCAGGTGACGTTTTCTACCTGCATTTTAATTCAGGAAGATGGGGCGCTAAGCCAGAGGGGAGGCCCCTCCCTCTGGAGCTTGGGTTTACTCCTAGAGAGGAAAACTGATAGATGAGTAGATCTGAATTGTTGGGCAGTGGTGGGGGCAGCAGAGAATTCTAAGGTGGATGGGAGTGATTGGGAGAGGTCTCATGGGGGGAGATGATGTTTCCTTAGTGGAGGGGACTGGGACTAGTGTCTGAGGTTGTGCTGCTTCCGACTCCTGTGTTCTCATGAAGATTTCTTCCCGTGCTGCTCTGTAAGAGAAAGTTGTCTTTGAGGGCACAGATTTTTATCTGTCTTTATATTTATAAGCATAAGGCCTCCAAGGATCAGGTATTTAAGTGACTGGTACATGGGGAAATAAACTAATTGGAACTGAAGTATTTTGGGGTGGATGGTATCTTGGGTAAAAGTGTGATCTGTGTCCCAGAGGAACCTAGTAGAGAGCTTTGCCTTTACACCTAAAAGTGTTCAGTTAAGGTCATTTGATTTGTAATGTCAGGTTGGCGCTGGGCCTATTGCACAAGTTCGGGGCAGCCAGGCGTCAAGAAGATGACCAACTACTAGGACAGCCTCCCTGTGGGTGGCCTGCAGTCTGTTCTGCTCCCCCCGGCCCCATGCCAGCTGCCATGCTCTATAGAACATGTCTCCCATGCTGCCCGAGGAGGGCCTGCAGAGAGTTGAGTGGTCAGGCTGCTGAGTCAATTGCCCTGGGTACTCATTAGATACATCCTCCCCGGCCTCACCCCCAGACCTACTGAATCAGTCTGGGGGTAAACCAGGGACCCTGTAATCTTAATGGGAGATCTCAGACACTTGAGATCGGGTGGGATAGACTCCTGACATAAAGTTCAAACCAGTGGACGTCAGTCCTGGGTGTGAATTATAATCACCTGGGGGCTTTTAAAAGCTACTAAAGTCTGGATCTCACTTGGGGAAAAGGCAGCCCTGCTGAGCTTCAGCATGTTCCAGATGTGTTTTCTGGTGTGTTCTAGACATGCTGTGTAAGAGTTACACTTCATTGTGTGTGCACATTCGGGGCCCTGCCCAGCTGCAGTGGCCAGGCCTGGCTGCTAAAAGCAGACCTACCAAAACCTCCCTTCACCTGGTACTGCTGTGGCCTCTGACCTGAGGACTTTGTCATGCAAAGGAGGAACCAGATGGGTGTTCTGTCACCTGGCCAGGGAGCTAACTGGCTGTATTTTGAGGATCAGTGGCCCTGCCAGTGTCGGTCTGGAGATCCTGATAATGGTTTAACTCCTCTTAGCAAGACAGGCACAGGCCCAGCCCCTCATCCGTGAGTGGCTGCAGTTGGACTGCGTGGCCTGGCCTCTTCCAGCAGTCCCTGAGTATAGAGGGGCTACCCTCCTGGTGTCTGTCTGGACACAGAAGGGAACACATCAGTGGTGTCTCCCTGCCATTCCCTGGAGGGAATATGACATCAGGATTTTTTTTTTTTTTTTTTTTAATGATGAGAATAGCTGAACCCATTGCTGCTTAAGGTTCAGTAGTCATGTTCACCTTAGCCTTGGCTCTAGAGACTGGAGTGGCTCCAGCAAGGTGGTGGACTAAGGAACCGAACTCCTCTTGCTTCAAACACCTGCCCATGATAAATAGCACAGCAAAAAGTTAAATAGGTGGGCCGGGCATGGTGGCTCGCGCCTGTAATCCCAGCACTTTGGGAGGCTGAGGTGGGCGGATCACCTGAGGTCAGGAGTTTGAGACCAGCCTGGCCAACATGGTGAGACCCCATCTCTACTAAAAATACAAAATTTAGCCGGGTGTGGTGGCCCATGTCTGTAATCCCATTACTCCGGAGGCTGAGGCAGGAGAATCACTTGAACCTGGGAGGCAGAGGTTGTAGTGAGCTGAGATTGCACTCCAGCCTGGGCGACAAGAGTGAAACTCCATCTCAAAAAAAAAAAAAAAAAAAAAAGTTAAATAGATGATCACCTCCTGGGAAAGGAGAATGACCTCTTTTGGGAACAAAGAAAGTGACCATGGAGGCCCCGGAACTTGTAGCAGCTCTCCGAGTGGTTGTTAGTCCCTTAGAGAAATTAAATGGGCAGGGGCTGACGTGCAATTGGATTTGGAGGGAGAGGTTAATCTAAACCAGGGGAGGAGTTGGGACCAAAACCGTGGCATAAAGCTAGGGGCCCCAGTGACACGGGAACTAGACAAAAATCCCATTGGCACAGTGGGGAAGATAAGGGTTTTAATCCTTCTGGATTCTTAAAAACCTTCACATAAATTTGTGGTCTAGGAACTACTCAAAGATAAATTAATCCCCAGTATTGATCCCTAGCCTGGTTGCACAGGATTCCCACAGGTGGGGTTCACACTTCTTAATTAGAAACTCAGACAACACAACAGATAAAAGGAAAAAACACGGTATGGTGAAGAAATAGATTTTCGGAATCAGGTAGAATGGGATACAGCATAACTACTAGAGTTCAGGCTCTTAGAGCTATTTCAACACAGCTTAGTAAGATTAGACATAGCTGAAGAGTGGACTTGTGAGTTGGAAGGGATGTATCTAAGGGAATTATTCTAAAGAAGATGAAAGAAAGCATGGAGAGAGTGGACAGGCAGTGTTTGAGGAGGTAAAGACTGGTGACTTTCCAGAATGGACTCATCCTTGAGATCAGGAAGTCCCCAAGGAATCACACATGAGAAGCAAACATTCATTCCTAGTCTCATTTGAATGAAGCTGCAGAACATGAACAAAAAGAACAATCATTAAACGAATGTTTCAACGTAAGCCAAAAGATTATGAAATCATATCTTCAATGCTGAGGGAATCATTGGACAAAATTATTATTCAGAAAGAAGATACATTTTCATGCCAAGGTTTTACCATTCACATCCCCAAGCCAAAATAATTCCTAGCGAATTGAGCCAAAAGAGGATGGTGATGAGCAGAGAAATTGGTTGGTCCACAGTGAATCAATAGAATCAAAAGGAAGCTGGGCATCATGGTGCATGCCTGTGATCCCAGCTACTCACGAGGCTGAGGTGGGAGGATCACTTGAGTCCAGCCTGAGCAACAGTGAGACCGAACTCAAACAACAAATGGAACTAGAATAATGGACGCTGCAGAGGGATAAAGAATACCAAGGTCTTTATACTATTAGGCCTTGGAGGTATATGGTTTAAAGTTTAAGGATGACCACTGGAGGCATAGCACCAGAAGATTTAACTTCAACTTCCAAAGTAGGGGCCCTGGTGGGGGAGGGGAGGGGCATGCGTGCGGGTGTGGGATGTGTTGCAGAGGAGTTAAAGCTTGACGGGCTTAGAAGGTGGAAAGGGTCGAGATGCAGCAGAGAACAAGTCAATGGAAAGCACAAAATAGGATGGTAGAAATAAAAGCACAGTAGATGTAAATAAACTTAAGAGTTAAAACTCTTAAGGCTCAAATTCTAGCTATAAATGATTGCCAAACTAAACACTTAAGAGTGTAAACAATTACTATAGGAAAAAGACTTTAAAGCAAAAAGCCCATTAGAGATAGAAGTTATTGGCCTAAAGAATGATTGTTCCTCTGGGAAAACACGATGGTGATAACTGCACCAAGCAACATGGTCTCTGCAGTGTTTGGGTGTGACTTCATCCCTGCCTCCCCAGGGACTGATGAGTCCTGGGCTCAGGCTCAGAGTGATGAAGCGGGTTATTGTCTTGGTGCTGCCATATTCTCTTAGTCATGTGTTTTTTTTTTATTCATTGTCCTCTGGCCCTACACACAGTCCCTAGGTTTGCTTTTATGCCAATTGCAGAGAATCTCCATGGCTCTACTGGCAATTGCTTGAGAGCTCACATTCCTACCGGATGTGAGAAGATGTTCCATCTTCCTGTGTCCGGGCAGCACCACCAAAGTGCGGGGCTGGGGCAAGCCTGGATGGGGTAGGGTGTGGTCAAATGACTGCTCACAAGTGAATGGTTTGGATTATGCAACGTGGCCACACTGGAATCTCAATAAAGGGCAGAGGGGTTGAGGCCCAGATGATACCAGGTGAAAAGACAAGACAGGTTTGCAGCATGTGCTGCGATGGAGATGCTGGGGCCTCCTAGTCTGGGGCAGGCTGAGCCTTCCTGGGTGTGGGTGGGCCTCCACTGTGCAGGGTGCTGTCCTTCCAAGCTTTGGCAAGATGGAATCTGTGTTGGGTGTGGGTGTGGCCTTGAAAAGGCACGCTGTCATCTAGAGGCCACTGCTTGACCCCCTGTTGCCCTTTATCAGAGGTGCGGGTGGCTAGTGCCTGCAATGTCAACACTGGGAGGCCAAGGGGGGAATCCCTGGCTTGAGGCCAGGATTTCAAGACCAGCCTAGGCAATATAAGGAGACCCTATCTCTATAGAAAAATTTTTAAAAATTAGCCATGTGTGGTGGCATGCATCTGTAGTCCCGGCTACTCAAGAGGCTGAGGCAGAAGGATCACTGGAACCCAGGAGGTTGAGGCTGCAGTGAGCCATGCTTGCACCACTGCACTCTAGCCTGGGCAACAGAGCAAGACCCACTCTTAAAAACAAATACCCTGGCCATAGCCCCTGGGAGTCTAGTCTCCATGCAACCAGGACCCCATGAGCCACACTTTAAGGCTTTTACTTTGGGGGTGAGGGGTGGGTAGAAGGGAGGCCAAAGGTTGGGGCTGTTGAACCCATGAGGGTAGACCTGTCCAAGAGTGAGGCCCTGACTGAGGAAAGGAGAGCTGATCTACAGAGAGGCTGAAGCCTCATCATATTCATTTTCTGAGTCCAGTGAATTCTGAAGTCCACATCCCAGATGTTTCACAGAAGTAAATCAATACATTCCTGATAGGATAAGGTTGATTTTCCTGCCACGTGCAGTCAGTTCCACCCCAACAGAATTCACTTGATCTGCACAGCCACCGTGGGGCAGAGATGATTGCCCCCATTTTACAGATATGGCCGGGAGGCTCAGGGAGGCCATGTGCCTCACAGAGGACTGGTCTGCACAAAGACCAGTGGGTGACCAGAACTTGCACCTGTCTACATTCGTCCCCTCACTGCATGTGCCCCTCTTGATGGGAGAGCAGGCACCTGCCAGCCCCATGCTGGTCCGCCCAAGGAATGGCTCCTAAAACCACCAGCTGGCCAGTGAGTCATATGGAAGGGTTTGGTCATGCCTACACTCGTCCTGCCCTTCCTCCCTGGTCATTACACTGTGGTAGTGGGGGAGGGTGACCTCTGCTTTGCCCCTTGTCACCTGGGGCAAAGGGTGGGATCCTGTCCATATAGGACCAGGGGCTCTCTTACTGTCTGCACTTCACTAGTGGGGGCCACTTTCAGTTTGCTTCTACCTGGGACGCTCTGGGTACTATGCTAGAAAGGTAGCTTATGGCCACAAAGTCTAGGGACAGGTACTCACATGCCCAAATGGAGCCTCACGCTTAGGAATGGGGTGAGTGGGAAGCAGTAGCTTCCCTTGGAGGTGGAAAACGGGGAGATTTCAGTTTCCAGAAAGCCCTGGGGCAGCAGCTGCCTGGGTGAGGTCTTCCCTGAGCCTCTGAGTCTTCCCTCTCCTCTACTTCAGGGGGGTCTAGCCTCTCCTCCAGAAGGGGTGCCAGGACGAGATGGGAAGGAATTTGCTTTGGAAGGCTGGGAACAGGTCCTGCAGCTGCTCTGGCCTTCCTCTGGACTGATGTGGGTCCCAATGTTACTGAAGGGCACTTCCAGGTCCTGTTAGTGCAGGGGCCGCTGCAGCAAAGGGCTGACTTTAGGCTCCCTCTTTGTTTTGTTTTGTTTTTGAGATGGAGTCTTGCTGCGACCCCCAGGCTGGAGTGCAGTGACGTGATCTCGGCTCACTGCAACCTCTGCCTCCCAGGTTCAAGTGATTTTCATGCCTCAGCCTCCTGAGCAGCTGGAATTACAGGCTCCTGCCATCATGCCCGGCTAATTTTTTTTTTTTTTTTTGAGATGGAGTTTCTCCCTTGTTGCCCAGGTTGGAGTGCAATGGCGCAATCTCAGCTCACCACAATCTCTGCCTCCCGGGTTCAAGTGATTCTCCTGCCTCAGCCTCCTGAGTAGCTGGGATTACGGGCACATGCCACCATGCCCTGTTAATTTTGTATTTTTAGTAGAGACGGGGTTTCTGCATGTTGGTCAGGCTGGTCTCGAACTCCTGACCTCAGGTGATCCGCCTGCCTTGGCCTCCCAAAGTGCTGGGATTACAACCATTAGCCACTGTGCCTGGCCAATTTTTGTATTTTTTAGTAGAGACTGGGTTTCACCATGTTGGTTGGGCTGGTCTCGAACTCCTGACCTCAAGTGATCTGCCCATATTGGCCTCCCCGTGTTGGGATTACAGGTGTGAGCCACTGCACCCGGCCTTTCACCTCCCTTTTGAAAAACTGACTGCTCTTGGAGCCAGTTCTCACTGCTTATGAAACGGTTGGGGACATCACATCACTGCTCTCAGCCTCAGTTTCCACATCGTGAACTAGGATTTGTAATCCAGGCCCAACAGGCTTGTGAGAATTTAGATGAGTGAAGTGCTTTCATAAGCAACTTTTTCACGTGCCATTCAGTTTGCCCATCTAAAGGGTATGGCTCTTGGCCAGGCGTGGTGGCTCACGCCTGTAATCCCAACACTTTGGGAGGCCAAGGTGGGCGGATCATTTGAGGTCAGGAGTTTGAGACCAGCCTGGCCAACATGGTGAAACCCCATCTCTACTAAGAATACAAAAATTAGCCGGACGTGGTGATGGGTGCCTGTAATCCCAGCTACTTGGGAGACTGAGGCAGGAGAATTGCTTGAGCCCGGGAGGTGGCGGTTGTAGTGAGTAGAGGTTGCGCCATTGCACTCCAGCCTGGGTGACAGAGTGAGACTGACTCAAAAAAAATAAAGGGTGTGGTTCAGTGGTCTAGTATATCCACAGGTATGGGCAGTCATCTCCACAGTTGAACATCTTGCCCACCCCAAAAAGAAAGCTCGTGTCCCTTAGTCACTCCCTGTCTCCCGTCTGCCGCCTCAGCCCTGGGTAGCCACTGAGCCACTTTCTCTGGTTTGATCTGGCACTTCTAAAGTAGAAGTTATTATTGGCAAAGGCACTGGCTCATATTTCTAAGAGATCATTTAGAATGCCAGGGGCAGCAGAGGATGGGTCTTCCTTGCAGAGAGAAGTTTGATTTACATTTCAGAAGGATCTTTCCTGGCATTTTAGGCCACTTGGCATTAAAAAGAGACTTGTGGGGCATTGTCTGGAAGGGGACTTTTGCCACTGTGAGCTGGTGACAAGCTGACTAGAAGTGGGGGTGTCAAAGGCTGGAATCACCACATTGCTGGGGGCGGATGAGGGGACAGTTAGTGGATTTGGGGTCTGTTCTTTCTCATCTCTCTTGGTGACCCTTCCCCTCCATCAGGAAATGAGGTGCTGAGCCATCTCTATGGTCCCAGCCTTCGGTTTTGCTCTGTTTGGGGCGTTTCAGAGAGCTGGACTGTCCCAGGCCCCTTGGGAATTGGAAGCAAGTCCTAGAACTTTCTGGAACACAGAGAGTGGTCTGTTGGGCCTTCCTTTGCTTCCTCAGTTCCCACCCTCCTCCTCCACTCCTTTCTAGGACTTTCCTTCCTCCACCCCTGGATCCTCCAATGTTAACGGAGCAGGGGTCAGGAAATAGCCCGTGGGTGGGATCTGGTTCACCGCCTGGTTTTATACATACCAGGAGCTAGGAATATGTTTTAAAAATCAAAAGAATGGCTGGGCGTGGTGTCTCATGCCTGTAATCCCAGCACTTTGGGAGGCTGAGGCGGGTGGATCAAGAGGTCAGGAGATCGAGACCATCCTGGCTAACACAGAGAAAGCCCCTCTCTACTAAAAATACAGAAATTAGCTGGGCGTGGTGGCGGGCACCTGTAGTCCCAGCTACTTGGGAGGCTGAGGCAGGAAAGTGGCGTGAATCCGGGAGGCGGAGGTTGCAGTGAGCCGAGATTGCACCACTGCACTCCAGCCTGGGCGACAGAGCAAGACTCTGTCTCTAAAAAAGAAAAGAAAAAAAAATCAAAAGAACATTTCGTGTTGCATGAAGATTCTATGAAATTCAAATTTCAGGGCCCATAAATAGCTTCGTTGGGGCGCAGCCACACTTGTTTGTTTACGTATGGTCTGTGGCTGCCTTCACCATGGATAAGAGACTGGAATAGCTGCTGTGGTCTGTATTTTCTATCTTTACAGAAAATGCTTGATGAGCTCTGAGTAAGGCCTGACCATGTTCCTGAGAGCTCCGTAGTGGACCTGATGGGAAAGTAGTGGATGGCATTGGTGGTGGCTGAGCCAGCAGGGTGCCTGCTCAGAGAGCCGGTTATTAATGGAGTGCTAACCAGTCACTCTAGATGAGAAATACACAGATCACATTTAAACACAGGGAAAGCTGTTTACAGGAAAATGATAAAATAGCAGAACGTAAAGTTATGGGTATACTGTGCTTACGTTGTCATAAAAATGTGTACATATGGATAGAGAGGAAGGTGTCCCACGTGGAGAAATGAAAAGGTGCCTTAGGGGGCAGGTTGGGAGTAAGAGCAGTTTTTCTTTCTATTCTATTTTTCTGTTTAAATTTTCCTATAATGTTCTTATAATAAGTGTTGATGAGCACTCGCAGCCACCAGGGGAAGCAGCTACCCAGGCAGAAGGCTATTCTGGGTCTCAGGTGGGCTTTAGGGAGAGGGACCCTGAGCTCTGGACCAGGGTTAGGAGGAGGTGCCCCGGGCATGTGGAGGCTGGCAGCCCTCGCTCCTGTGAACTGGCGGCTGGGGCTGCATCTCGCCCACGTCGCTGTCATGTGCGGGGCCCACGTTGTGAGTTGTGTGTCTGCTCACTATTGTGCTGTAGCCTCTGGAAGTTGCTTAGGAGCTTGGGATTTCGTGGAGAGGTGGGAGTTAGTTGCTTCTGTCCAAAGAGGTCGGCCAATGGGGGCCATTCTGAGTTCAGAAACCGCTGGCTTGGAGCCCGATGGACCCAGCCAGGCCCAGCTCTGCTGTTGACCAGTTATGTGCTCTGGGACTCAGGTTAAGTCTGTGGGTGGCAAAACTGGCACCTCCCATCCCATCTTCCCTCCATCCCCTCCCCCCACCCCCATGTCTCACTCTGAGCCTTAGGGAGTTGGTGCCACCTAGCTACGCTCACTGACACGCATCTCATGCTGTGCTAGGATGTTGTCCCCATGTTAGTGTGCCCTCTCCAGGGAGACTGCCAGCCCTCGTGGGTGTGCATCTTCTGCTTCTGCATCCTTGGTCACTGCCAGCAGAGGTCTGGGCACATGGTGGTGGACAGTGGCTATTAACTGTGGTTGTGCTGGAATGGAGGAGGCCTGGTGTCTGGTCTTGGAGTCAAGAATGCATGTGCTTAAGGATTCCAAGATCACACGGAGGAGGGTATGATTAGCTCTGGGAAGCGGGGAGGCAGGAAGGAGGGCAAGAGACCTCGACCTGTTCTTGGGAAGGAAAGAGCAGGTGAGGGTGGGGTACTGTTCCAAGCACGGGAAACAGAGCCCCAGGAGGTGGCCATGGCCTGGGGCTGGGGCTGGGGCTGGGAGGCGGTTGCTCCAGCATGCAGTCACTGAGCCCTCCTGTATGCACTGCTGCAGGTGCTGGGAGACCGTGAAGTGCAAAGCAGATGGAGTCCAGGCCCTCGGGGAGACAGCACGCCAGTGAGGGAGATGGAGACCAATCACCCACCCAGTGTGCGGTAAGTCAGACGGTGACAAGCTCTGAAGACAAGGAAAGCAGGGAGGAAGGGGCGGGCTATGCCCCTTGCTCTTTCATGTGGGGAGCCAGAGGGAGCCAGAGGATGTGGGGATCGACCACGTGGTTAGGGGAGGAAAGCATGTTTCAGGCGGAGGGTGGGCAAGCGCAAAGGCCCTGTGGCAGGCGCGTCTGTGAGTGGTCAGAGCAGAGTGAGGGGTGGGAGATGGGGCTGGGTCAGTGGAGTGGGTGTGTACATGCAGGTCTGCAGACCCAGGTAAAGAGTCTGGATTTCATTTCTAAGGGGATGAGAAGCTCGGGAAGGTCTGACCAGCCTTACGTCTTGAAAGGGAATCCCCTGCTTCTGCGTGTCAGGTGTTACTCGGGGTGCGCCAGTGGAAGCGGGAGGCAGTTGCAGCTTTCAGGTGAGAAATGATGGCAACTCGCACGGTGGGGGAAGAGGGGCCACTGTGGAGGTGGCTTGCGGGGCCTGTCATCTGCTGTTTCCTAGCTCAGTGTACAGGGCCCCCACGCACCCCTGCCAGGTCGGAAATCCAGGTACTGCCAGCCTCTGCCGTTCTACGTGTGGCCAGGCGGGGGAGCTTCGCCCTCCCATGTCCCTCACCCCATGCCCCAGACAGCACGGTCCTGCGATCCCCCTCCCATTCCAGTGCTCAGTATAGCCGTATCCCTGCAGGCTCAGGCCCCCACCATGGCCAGATCCCCCACCCCACCTTCACCCTCCGCCAGTCCATTGCACACATAGCATCTGGAATGGTCTCGGGCAGCACCTCAGACGATGTGGCTGTGTTGCATGAGCCCCTCCCCTCACCGCAGCTCTCGGCCCTGCCTGAGCCCAGGTGCCCGCGGGCTCCCCGCTCACCTCTGCCTTGAACCTTCCTGAGTCTGAGCTTCTTTTTTGTTTTGTTTTGTTTGGTTTTGAGACAGAGTCTTGCTCTGTCACCCAGGCTGCAGTGCAGTGGCGCGATCTCGACTCACTACAAGCTCTGCCTCCTGGGTTCATGCCGTTCTCCGGCCTCAGCCTCCCGTGTAGCTGGGACTACAGGCGCCCACCACCTCGCCTGGCTAATTTTTTGTATTTTTAGTAGAGACAGAGTTTCACCGTGTTAGCCAGGATGGTCTTGATCTCCTGACCTCGTGATCTGCCTGCCTTGGCCTCCCAAAGGGCCGGGATTACAGGCGTGAGCCACCATGCCTGGCCTGAGCCTGAGCTTCTTAAACACCACATCCTCTAGCCTCCTGCCTTCACACAGGCTGTTCCCTTAGCCTGGACTTTGTCCCCACCCACCCGCTCCTGATCTTTCAGGTCTCAACTTACAGGTCACTTTCCCTGGGAACCTCCTCAGACCCAGTGAGGCCAGATTAGGGGCCTCCTCAGAGCCCTCATGGCCCCAAGTGTTTACCACTTCGCTTTTTCATACTATCCAAAGTGCACAGAATCGTACACTTTTCTGATGCCTTGTTCCAGCTGAGTGCCCTGAGGGCAGGGATGGGGTCCGTGTCCTCCGGTGTGCTCAGCCAGCACCTGGCCAGGCACTCTCAGTGTTGTTGAATGAATGAGCGAGTGAGTGACCCGCAGGGGAAGCTGCTGTGTCTGACACGGTAACGTGCAGGTTGCACTGGGGGGGCCTGGTTGAGATCATGACTGGAGTCCCTGGCCCCCAGAGTGGGAGTCATCAGTGGGGCTCGCTACCTCTGCACAATTTTTTTTTTTCTTTGAGACGGAGTCTTGCTCTGTCGCCAGGTGGTACAGTGGTACGATCTTGGCTCACTGCAACCTCCGCCTCCTGGGTTCAAGCAATTCTCCTGCCTCAGCCTCTCGAGTAGCTGGGACTACAGGTGTGCACCACCGTGTCCAGCTAATTTTTGTATTTGTAGTAGAGACGGGGTTTCACCATGTTGGCCAGGATGGTCTCGATCCCTTGATCTTGTGATCCGCCCGCCTTGGCCTCCCAAAGTGCTGGGATTACAGGCGTGAGCCACCACACCCGGCCCCTCTGCCCACTTTCTTCCCCTTCCTCCTCTCCCGTCTCCACCAAGGCTGTCTCTGGAGTGGCTGTGGATCTGACAGAATGCATGTCCGCTCTGCCATCACTATTCACGCACAGCGCCTGTTGGGGACTCTCCTGTAACCCAAGGGGGTAGCGGAAGGATGGAGCTTCAGGCCTTGAGGGCCAGGAAATGAATGTGGAAGACTGAATCCTCAGGGGACCCCAACTCTGGGCCGGGTCTGGGGCTCTGTTTTGAGGACGGGGAGTGGGAGGAGGTGGCAGCAGGAGCCGGCGTCTGAGGCATCTCCTCACACTCTTCCAAGGTCAGAGACGAGGTCTCAGATACGCTTGCTAATGCACGATTTATTTCTTTTTCAATTTCCTTTGGAACCTGTGCTGTGCAGATGTTCACATGATGTGGTGGGGAAGTGAGTTTTATAAAACTCTTGGCAGAGTACCATTCGGCATCCCTGTGGTTCTAGAGATTTCTGGGGCCTCGGGGCTGTAGCACCAGCTGCAGACAGCTGCCTGCCTTCTTACAGTGCTCAGCTTTTGGGTCCAGCAGCTTTCTCAGTCCCAAACACATGTGACCTCACGATTCTGGCCCTTCCATGATCCGCAACAAACTGTTCTGGTGTGTAGGTGGAATTCCTATTTTTAATAGCCAAGTTGTTGAGAAATTGTAGGGCTTCTACTTCCTTTTGAACGGAAGGGCTCCGGAGATATTTATATCTTTGCTTCTATAGAATCTAGGAGGTTGTCTTTACCCAGGGAGGGTCAGCATGTGGAGAGGGTCACCTGGGAGAGGCCCCGGTGTCAGCCTGCACTTGCCGTCAGTAAATGGTACGACATTGAGCACCAAGGAGCTCAGCCAGCCCCTCGAGGGAAGTCCTAGCTGCCCACTGGGGGAAGGGCGGGGAGGCATGAAAACAATGACCCCACTGGCTGGTGGGGGTGACCGTGTTATGCAAAGTGTACACCATGTAGCATGAGCACCGGGCCGGGAGCCCCCAAGGCTGCTGGGGAATCAGGGAGACACCAAAGAGGAGGTGGCCTTTCCCTTGAAGGGTAAGGGATCTGTAGGAGTCTGTGGGAGAGTGGAAGCTGCGGGAGGGAAAGGAGGGAGGGAAGGAGGCCTGGAGAGAGGAGGGAGGCTCTTGCATTCCAGGCAGGTATGGGAGCTCCTGGCAGAGTTTGCAGTACCCAGTGGCTCAGTGTGGTTGGAGTTGGCTGTGGGCCAGGTGGGTGGGTAGACAGGGGCCAGGTCTGGAGGGGTTTTTAGTGCTGTGCTGAGGGGTCTGAAGTCCATCCCGAAAGTTGTAACTGGGGAGTGGCACGGTGGTGAGTTAGAGCCACGTCATTCAAACTTTCTCAAATTCCCATACATAGAGACCTAGTGTGCACACTCGCAGCCCAGGCTTGTGAGCTGCAGTCGCCCTTGCCATGTGCAGCTCGTTCTGGCGTGTTCTGTTCTGCTTCTATTCTGGCTCATTTGTTCTATGAACAATGCTGTTTGCAATCCTCTACATTGGCTTCCTCTCTCCCTGAATATTTTTGATCTGCAGTTAGAACAACACTGGATTGGCAAGAGGGAGACTGAGGCGGGAACCCAGGCAGAGGCTGCTGTGAGTCCAGCTAGGATGAGACGTGGGTGCCAGACAGTGGGCCTGGGGCAGACCCCAGGGACTCCGCAGTGAAGACCCCACCTCAGTGGTCCTGGGCCCCAGGCCTCAAGAGACTTGGGGCAGCTCCCTAAGCAGCAAGAGGGGTCCTGTCATCGTGAGGCGTGTTGAGGATCCAGAAGCTGTGGTTTCATAACTCCGTCACTGTGTGGTGTCTGAAAGCCATTTCATTAAATGTCACATGGAATCAAAATAGAAATTACATCTCTGGGACAAAGCCCATTGAGCCAGGAGCCAGGGATTCTGAATTGGAACCAGAATAGCCTCCGAAGCTGGGACTGTGGATCCAAGGCTGCCCCCACCCCCTGGGTCTCGCTCACATCTGCACTCCCCAGAGGGGGCAGGTGGTCCTGGAGCCTAGCCTACCTGCCGAGAGTCAGAGGTGGCTGCAGGGGAACCATGGCAGCCCTCCTTCTCACACTCATCCTGGGCACCCTGCACCAGCAGAAGGGTTTACATGTACAATCACCCATCCCTAGCCCCTTCTGGGAGGGAAGCATATCTTACGGATGGCGACCTTGAGGCTCAGGGAGGTTAAGGTGCCAGCCTGAGATCACACAGCCAGTGAGAGGCAGAGACAGGGCTTAAACTCCAAACGATGGCTCCAGAGCCCCCTCTCTTTTCCATGCCCTGGGCTGCCTCTTTCCCCAGTGCACCTTGCTTTTTGGAACCAGATGACCAATGTGGAAAGACACGAACTGATTCAATCAGAGTGTATGGAGAAGGGACTTAGAGACCCTGGTATTTTTAAAGCTCCCTGGTAATTCTCATGTGCAGCTAGGGTGGGGCGCCTCTGCTCTGCGGAATAGGGAAGGGGTGTAAGTGGCCCTGTGTCTCCCCTCTGTCCCCACCTGCCACCTGCTGGTCCATCCATTCAGCCGTTGCACGGACAGGTTGCCTTCTGGGGGCTGCTAGCCCCCTTGCACTGGGCAACGCTGTGTCCCCTCTGTCCCTCCCCCCAGCGCATGCTCCTCGCTCTGCCCCTGCTGCAGGTGGGCCATGCTTGGAGGGCGCAGGAGAGCTGAGATGGGGTGGGGATGGATCAGGCCTTGAGAGGGTGCCTGGTAAGCCCCGGGAAGGGTAGGGAGGAGGAGGAGGGAGAGGAGAGGGCAGTGCAAGGGCAGCGACCCCCAGCCTTGCCCCCGTTTTGAGCACGGGGAAAGTGTACACAGGTAGTGAGGAAATGCCTGCGTTTGGGTGCGTGTTCATTTCTAATCCATTTTCACTTTTTGTGTATTCTTTCTATCTACTTTTTAAAGGTTTGTTTCTTTTCTAACTTCCTGTTTTAGATGTATACTTTAGTTTCTTTATTTATTTTTATTTATTTTTTTGAGATGGAGTCTCTGTTGACAGGCTGGAGCGCAGTGGCGTGATCTTGGCTCACTGCAACCTCTGCCTCCCGGGTTCAAGCGATTCTCCTGCCTCAGCCTCCTGAGTAACTGGGATTACAGGCGCGCACTACCACGCCCAGCTAATTTTTGCATTTTTAGTAGACATGGGGTTTCACCTTGTTGGCCAGGATGGACTTGATCTCTCGACCGCGTGATCTGCCCACCTCGGCCTCCCAAAGTGCTGGGATTACACGTGTGAGCCACTGGGCCCGGCTTAGTTTCTTTATTTAAAGATAAGGGTTTTTTTTTGTTTTGTTTTGTTTTTGAGACAGAATCTCACTCTGTTGCCCAGGCAGGAGTGCAGTGGCACAGTTGTAGCTCACTGCAACCTCAACCTCCTGGGCTCAAGTGATCCTCCCACCTCATCTGAGTATCAGGGACTACAGGCATGCACTACCACACCCAGCTAATTTTTGTATTTTTTTTGTAGAGACAGGGTTTCGCCCTGTTGCCCAGGCAACAAGCAAATCTGCCCACCTCAGCCTTCCAAAATGCTGGGATTACAGGCGTGAGCCACCACGCCCGGCTAGAGATAAGTTTCTCAAACTCCTGGGCTTAAGCCATCCACCCACCTTGGCCTTCCAAAATGTTGAGACTACAGGTGTGAGCCTTTGCATTCGCCTTGAATTCCTTTTTCAATAGTATGTTTCCTACTAAAAACACTTATGAAAAGTGTGTATTTTCTCTTACCCCTTCTCCTTTTTTGCCATCTAATTTTAGATTATATTTCTTAGTGTTTGTCTTTAAAATGTACTTATACCTCTATGCTATCTTTTTCTTATTTTTGCCCCCTCCCCCATAAGAAAGATAAAGAAATCAGAGACTTAGACCAGGTGTGGTGGTTCCCGCCTGTAATCCCAGCACTTTGGGAGGCTGAGGCGGGTGGATCACTCGAGGTCAGGAGTTTGAGACCAGCCTGGCCAACATGGTGAAACCCTGTCTCTAGTAAAAATACAAAGTTAGCCAGGCGTAGTGGCAGGCGCCTGTAATCCCAGCTACTCCAGAGGCTGAGGCAGGAGAATTGCTTGAACCTGGGAAGTGGAGGTTGCCATGAGCCAGGATCATGCCACTGCACTCCAGCCTGGGCAACAGAGTGAGACCCTGACTCAAAAAAAAAAAAAAAAAAAAAAAAAAAAAAGAAATCAGATACTAACAACTCTCTCCTTCTTTCTTTTCTTCCCAATTTTTGTTTAATGTATCATTTCTAAATTCATGGTTTATATTTATATATGTCCTTAATCCTCACTCACATTGCCCTACAGGTAGATTCATTGCTCACTGTCAGTTCTCTTGCTGAAGTTTTCCTATTTTTCTCTTGATTTGCTGAAATTCCTTCTCCAGTAGTTTAATCAAAAGGGACTAAATGAAAAAAAAATATTCAGTTATTGCAAGTTCAAAAAGGTTTCTAGTCTTTGTGTTTGATTGACAGCTTTCCAGAATATAAAATTCTTAGGCCACACTTTCTTTCCTTGAGAACTTCACAGATGTCACTTCTGTCTCTAGAGTTAAATGCCACTGTGGGAAAGTCTGAGTCTAACTTCTATTTTGTTACCCTTTATGAATTGATGTTTTCACTTGACTGTCCAAAGTCTTTTTTATTTAGCTGTTTCCCCCTTTCTTTTATATTTTTAGTCTAGTTACTTTCATAGAAATTACCTTGTTATTGACAGATTTTTGTCATTTTCCCCAAGACATGGTGTGCCCTTTCAGTTTGTAGATTTATCTTCTTTTACTTCAAGAAAATTTTCTTGAATGATATCTTTAAATATTTATGTTCCCCTATTTGAGTTTTCTATTCTGGGATATATGATGGGTCCTTTGTAGATCTTCCAAATCTGTAATTTTCTCTGTAATCTCTTTACACCGTTCATTTTCATTTCCTTTTGCTCACTTTCCTCAGTCTTGTTCTCAGTGTCTTGATTGTGTCTTGAGCAATATTTGATGCTCCTCTGCGCACCTTTCCATTTCATCATGACTTTGAAGATACGATGTTTTTCCTTCTTTCTCCAGCTCTGTCAGCTCCAGTTTCATGTTCCCCCTGAGCTCTCATATCTGTTTTGTGTGCTTGCTTTCTGGAGAGGATTGCTGTATTCATTTTTTTTTTTTTTTTCGAGATGGAGTCTTACTCTGTTGCTCAGGCTGGAGTGCAGTGGTGGGATCTCAGCTTGCTGCAACCTCTGCCTCCTGGGATCAAGCGATTCTCCTACCTCAGCCTCCCAGGTAGCTGGGATTACAGGCTTGCGCCACCATGCCCGGCTAATTTTGGTATTTTTAGTAGAGATGGTGTTTTGCCGTGTTGGCTAGGCTGGTCTCGAACTCCTGGCCTCAGGTGATCTGCCCGCCTCAGCCTCCCAAAGTGCTGGGATTGCAGGTGTGAGTCACTGCGCCCAGCCCTGCTTTATTAATTTTTGTTGTTGTTTAATTTTCAGCGAAAAGTTTGCTGGCAATTTTCATCTGTTCTATGACAACATTTTTACTAGTGAGTTTTCACTTGCCACTTGTTTTTCCTGTTCCTTTTCTCGTTTTTATTTTTTAATTCTTGCAGTGTCTTCCTGTAGATGCTGCGCTGTTTGCTTTTTTATTTCTCATCTTTGGGCAAGGTAAGTTTTTCTTCAACCATCTATTTGCCAGAGGTTTGTGTGGGAGAAGAAGCGAGGACTACACCCAGTGCCATGTGCAGTTGTAGGGCTGCTCATGTGCAGTCTGGTGATTCCTCTTTTTGCCTGCAAGTGTGGCTTGTCTGTGTGATTGTCTGTGTCTGATCTGCTGCTTCTGCTTCTTGGTTCCAAGCTTACCTGTATCTCACATGCCACTGTCATGAGATCACAGGCCCCACTCCTGCTCATGCAGATAAGGGACGTTGGTTGGTGGGCAGTGTGATCCCTTCTCACTGCTTCTTCCCAAACATCTGTGTGGTATTTCCTGCCTGGGCAACCCTCTGACTCGTTTCTAGTTTGGGTTTCATCTCTCATCTGTTTCCATTGGAAATGGAGTGTAGCTGGGCGCAGTGGCTCATGCCTGTAATCCCAGCACTTTTGGAGGACGAGGCGGGTGGATTGCTTGAGCCCAGGAGTTCGAGAGCAGTCTGGCCAAGAAGGTGAAACCCCATCTCTACTAAAAACACAAAATTAGCCGGGCGTGGTGGTGCAAGCCTGTAATCCCAGCACTTTGGGAGGTCGAGGCGGGTGGATCACGAGGTCAGGAGATCGAGACCATCCTGGCTAACACGGTGAAACCCCATCTCTACTAAAAATACAAAAAATTAGTCAGGCACGGTGGCAGGTGCTTATAATCCCAGCTACTGGGGAGGCTGAGGCAGGAGAATCGCTTGAATCTGGGAGGTGGAAGTTGCAGTGAGCCGAGATCACGCCACTGCACTCCAACCTGGCGACAGAGCGAGACTCTGCCTCAAAAAAAAAAAAAAAAAGATGGCGTTTGCATCCTGTTTCTCTTTCTCCTTGTTACTATGGGATGATTTTTTTTTTTCGACTTTATTGGTGTATAATTGACATACAATAAACTGCGCCTATTGAATGTGTTATTAGTAAGTTCTGACATATGTATACACCCATGCAGCTGTCACAACCATCAGCCACTAGACATCCTGTCACCCTCCACAGCTTCCTCATGCTGTTTCTTACCTCCACTCCCATTTTCAGACAAACTGACTGCTTTCCGTCGCCAGAGTTTACATTTTCTAGAATTTCATGTAAATAGAATCCTACAGTGTGTTGTGTTTTTTTTTTTTTTTTTTTGATGTGGTTTCTCTCACTTAGCATAGTTTTTTTTTCTTTTGAGAAAGAGTTTTGCTCTTGTTGCCTAGGCTAGAGTGCAATGGCGCGATCTCGGCTCACTGCAACCTCCACCTCCTGGGTTCAAGCGATTCTCCTGCCTCAGCCTCCCAAGTAGCTGGGATTACAGGTGCCTGCTACCACGCCCGACTAATTTTTTGTATTTTTAGTAGAGATGGGGTTTCACCATGTTGGCCAGGCTGGTCTCAAACCCCTGACCTCAGGTGATCCACCCGCCTTGGCCTACCATTGCTGGAATTACAGGCATGCGCCACCACGCCTGGCCTAGCATAGTTATTTTGAAGTCCATCAGTTGTATATAACAATGGTTCATTCCTTCTTATTGCTGTGTTGCATTTCATTGTATGGCTATGCCATATTTATTCATCCATTCACCTGGTGATGGACATTGGGGCTGTTTCCAGCTTTTGGCTATGATGAATCAAGTTGCTGCCAGTCTGCATGTAGATTTTTTTTTTTTTTTTTTTGTAGACAGAGTCTTGCTCTGTTGCCCAGACTGGAGTGCAGTGGTGCGATCTTGGCTCACTACAGCCTCTGCCTCCTTGGTTCAAGCGATTCTCCTGCTTCAGCCTCCCAAGTAGCTGGGACTACAGGTGCCCACCAACAGCCCAGCTAATTTTTTTTGTATTTGTAGTAGAGATGGGGTTTCACTATGTTGGCCAGGCTGGTCTTGAACTCCTGACCTCGTGATCTGCTTGCCTTGGCCTCCGAAAGTGCTGGGATCACAGGCGTGAGCCACCACACCTGGCCACATTGCTGTTGAGGAGGTGCATAGGAGCAGAATGACTGGGTCATATAGTAGGTTTCACTTTTTAAGAAGTGACCCAACTGCTCTTCAAAGTGACCATACCGCTTTACATGCCTCTGAGCACATAAGAGCAACACAAGAGTCCCAGTTGCTTCATACCCTTGCCAACACTTGGCATGGCCAATCTTTTACATTTTAGCCCTCCGAGTGGGTGTCTAGTGTATATCCTTGTGGTTTTCATGTACATTTCACCAATAACAACTGGCATGAGCCTTTTTAAATGTACTTATTTTTTATATGTACACCATCTTTGGTGAATTGTTCAAATCCTTTGCCCATTTATTTTTTATTTTTTATTTTATTTTTTTTTTGAGGCAGTGTCTTGCTCTGTCACTCAGGTTGGAGTACTGTGGCCCCATCTCGGCTCACTGCAAGCTCCGCCTCCCAGGTTCATGCTATTCTCCTGCCTCAGCCTCCCGAGTAGCTGGGACTACAGGCGCCCGCCACCACGCCCAGCTAATTTTTTGTATTTTTAGTAGAGACAAGCTTTCACCATGTTAGCCAGGATGGTCTCGATCTCCTGACCTCGTGATCCGCCTGCCTCGGCCTCCTAAAGTGCTGGGATTGCAGGTGTGAGCCACCATGCCCGGCCCCTTTGCCCATTTAAAAATATCGAGTTGTGTTATATATTAGGTTTAACAGCTCTTTATTCTAGTTACACGTCTTTTATCAGATATATGACTTGTAAATATTTTCTGTAGTCTGTGCCCTTCTTTTTCATTTTATTCAGTGTCTTTTGAAAAAGTAAAAGACTTAATTTTGGTGAAGTCCAATTTACTGTTGCTTTTTTTTCTTTTATAGTTTATGTTTTCTGTGTACTATTTTTTTTTTTTTTTAATTTTTTATTTTTTGAGTCTCGCTGTATCACCCAGGCCAGAGTGCAGTGGTGTGATCTTGGCTCATTGCAGCTTTGGCCTCCTGGGCTCAAGCAGTTCTCCCACCTCAGCCTCCCAAGTAGCTGGGATTACAGGCGCCCGCAAGCATGTGTGGTTAATTTTTGCATTTTTAGTAGATATGCAGTTTCACCATGTTGGCCAGGCTGGTCTCGAACTCTTCACCTCAGGTGATTTGCCTGCCTCGGCCTCCCAAAGTGCTGGGATTATAGGCAAGAGCCACCACACCTGGCCCCTGTGTACTATTCTTAAGAAATCTTTCCCTGTGGTGAAAAGGGAACTCTTGGACATGGTTGGTGGGGGTGTCGATTGGTACAGCCATTATGGAAAGCAGTATGGAGGTTTCTAAATAAATAAAAAATAGAACTACCATATGACTGACCAAAGGAAATTATATCACCACCTTGTAAAGATAGCTGCACTCCTGTGTTAATTGCAGCATTATTCACATTAGCCACGATATGGAAACAACCTAGGTGTTGATGAATGAAGGGATCAAAGGGCCGGGTGTGGTGGCTCATGCCTGTAATCCCAGCACTTTGGGAGGCCAAAGTAGGTGAATCACTTGAGGTCAGGAGTTTGAGACCAGCCTAGCCAACATTGTGAAATCCTGTCTCTACCAAAAATACAAAAATCAGCTGAGTGTGTGCTGGCGCGCACCTGTAGTCCCAGCTACTCGGGAGGCTGAGGAAGGAGAATCACTTGAATCTAGGAGGCGGAGGTTGCAGTGAGCCAAGATCATGCCACTGCACTCCAGCCTGGGTGACAGAGTGAGGCCCTGTCTCCAAAAAAAGATCTTTTTTGACTCTGCGATACAAAGATGTTTTCTTCTAGGTACTTCATAGTTTTTACATTTAGGTCTCTGCTGCCTTGTTAGTTAATTTTTGTGTATGGTATGAGGTTGGAGATTGGGGTTTATTTTTCTGTTCTCTTTGAGCCGGTTTCTGGGAGGAGAGAGAGGACCCACCAGCTCCTCTGCTGTGTCAAGCTATTATACAAGGCCCCATATAGGCCGAGGTTTCTGTTTTTTTCTTCTCTAGGAAAAAAAGAGGAAAAGCCATCAGCAATACCAAGGGAAACAGTAAGCTAAGATTGGCATAGTTCTCAGCAAGCCTCACAGCGATTCTCTGCTCCCTCCCTCACCCCTTGCCTACCTTTAATCCAAAAATGATTTTACCAGAATGTCCAACAAATAAGACAAGACCCAAAAGCACTGAGAACTTTTTCTTGCTGCCAAGTATAAAACACAGACCAGTATAGTGGCTTAAAAAAGCAAATTCCCAGGAAAATTTATAGAGATGGAAAATAGGACAGTAGAATAGCAGGGACTGGGGAGGGGAGAAGGGAGAGGTGCTGTTGAACAGGTAGAGTTTCTGTTTGGGCTGATGGAAAAGTTCTGGAAAAGAAATTGTTGATGGTTGCACAAGATTGTGAATATTCATAATACCATTGAATGGCACAGTTAAAAATGATTAAAATGGTACATTGGGTTACCTATGTTTTACCACAATTAAAGAGTATTTTTAAAAAAGCATATTCCCTCTGGGGTTAGTTAGCTGTAGTCAACACCTAAGTTCCCCAGTGATGAACTGAAGTATGGACCATCAGCATAAATGTGAATTAAAATTAAATATTGCCAGGCAGGCTGGGCGTGGTGGCTCACGCCTGTAATCCCAGCACTTTGGGAGGCCTAGGCGGGCAGATCGCTTGAGGTCAGGGGTTCTAGACCAGCCTGGCCAACATAGCGAGACCTCGCCTCTACTAAAATAAATACAAAAATTAGCTGGGTGTGGTGGCACACACCTGTAGTCCCAGCTACTTGGGAGGCTGAGGCAGGAGAATTGCTTGAACCTGGTGGGTGGTTGGGTGGGGGGTGGGCGCACAGAGGTTGCAGTGAGTCAAGATGGCATCATTGCACTCCAGCCTGGGTGACAGAGCGAGACTCCATCTCAAAAAAAAAAAAAAAAAATTATCAGGCAGTATGAGGTTGCATGGTCAATATCCTAACAGTCACAAAGCAAGCAAGTGATCTTGAGGGGGAAAGGGAGGAGGTGGGAAGAAAGGAGGAGGACCAAGTTCCGCTGAGTGGCTAATAAATATTATTTTGGTTAAGTCCCTGTCTCCACAGAGTAAGTCCTGATTCTTTTTTTTTTTTTTTTTTTTTGAGACTGTGTTTCACTCTTGTTGCCCAGGCTGGAGTGCAGTGGCGCGATCTCGGCTCACTGCAACCTCTGCCTCCCGGGTTCAAGTGATTCTCCTGCCTCAGCCTTCCCAAGTAGCTGGGATTACAGGCATGCGCCACCATGCCTGGCTAATTTTGTATTTTTAGTAGAGACGTGGTTTCTCCATGTTGGCCAGGCTGGTCTTGAACTCCCGACCTCAGGTGATCCGCCTGCCTCGGCCTCCCAAAGTGCTGGGATTACAGGCATGAGCCACTGTGCCCGGGCTGTAAGTTCCTGATTCTTAAGCCTAACATAGTTAAATTGCTCTGTAAAAAAAAAAACAGTGGCTTTATATTCAAGACCATGTTGCTTCCAACTGAATTGGCCACTGACACTGGGATACTGAGCAGTGAACAGACCACAAGGAAGACATCACTCTCGGATCCTGTTTGAAACCAACAGCTACAGCAAAACACTAGTCTTGATTCAGGGCCTAATGGGGTTTCTTTAATTAGCAAGTTTACATTCATGGAGTCTTGTGAAAATGGTTAGATAAATTGCAGAGAAATAAATAAGTATTTTGTACATCTGAGTATTATTGTTAATTTCCACCTGGCTACATGAGGCTCCCTCCTCTGGGTTTTCTCTCTATGCCCTTTTGCTGTGGACAGAAGGTACCTTGCTCATTCATCCATCCAGCCGGTGAGCCAGGGGGCAGCCCGGAGGGAGGAGTGGAGGGGATGTGGGCCTGGAATTAGACTGAGCTTGGTGTGTCCCCAGCTCAGGCCGCACTGCCAGGCCCTGGTTTCGTTACTATGAAATGAGGGGTGGGGTGGGTATCTGGTCTCCCACTCCCCATTACTGAGGGGTTCCCGGGCTCTCCTCCACCCTCTGATTCCTCCCCCTCTTCTGTTCCAGTCCAGAATGCCTCCTTTCTGCCTAAACGCCTCTGATCTTCATTTGATCATCAGCAGCTGCAGACCCATGAGCCACTGGGCCTGACCTGGGAGACACTGGCCCTCCACTTCCAGTGCTCTCCAGCTGGATTTCCTCCAGAACAGTGGCAAAGAGTTCGCCCAGAGCTGCGTCCCCTCCCTGGGAAGCAGCGCTGAGTCAGGGTTACCTGGCTCCACTGTGCCCCTAGCGAGGTGAAAGTTCGCACAATGACATGGGCTCTCTGTTGAGGATAAGGAGGCTACAGCCCAAGGAGCTTGTGCACCGCAGGCAGAGCCACTCAGGTCATCTTCCAGAGCGGGATGTCTGACTCCAGAGCCCGCCAGCCCACACTGCTCTCCTGAGGACTGGGTTTCTCTGGCCTGAGTCTGCCTGAGTCTACAGGAAGAACCCTGCTGGCACCCCAGTAAGCCCCTCTAGACCTTGGAGCTCTAACTGCTCTCAGAGCTCACTTTTCAGTTAGCCTGTAAGGCAGGGGTGTCCAATCTTTTGGCTTCCCTTGGCCACATTGGAAGGAGAATTGGCTTGTGTCACACATAAAATACACTAACACTAACGATAGCTGATGAGCTAAAAACAATTAAAAATCACAAACTCATAATGTTTTAAGAAAGTTTATAAATTTGTGTTGGGCCACATTCAAAGCCGTTCTGGGCTACGGGTTGGACAAGCTTGCTATAATGGATCAGAGATATGTACAGTCTTAAAGAAGAAACAGCTCCCAGGCCTGTAAGACCTATCAGGGCACTCACTGAATGCTGTGAGCAGGGGAAGGGGCAGTCCTGGGCAGTGGGGTCCTCTCTGGGGGTCCAGCTGTGTCTCCAGTCGTCTGGGGAGCTGGGAACAGCACACCAGGGTTCTTGCCTCCTGGGAAAGTTCTCACAGAAAGAGAGAACAGAGGTGCAAAAGCTAGGCCATGTTCATTATTCTTTCATTCCCTACTTATTGAGCTTTGACAATGTGTGAGGGACTGCTTGATTGATTGACTGATTGATTGGGACAGGGTCTCTGTCACCTAGGCTGGAGTGCAGTGGTGCAACCTCAGCTCCCTGTAACTTCCGCCTCCTGGGCTCAAGCCATCCTCCTACCTCAGCCTCCTGAGTAGCTGGGATTACAGGCCCACGCCACCACACCCGGCTACTTTTTGTATTTTTTGGTAGAGACAGGGTTTCGCTATGCTGCCAGGCTGGTCTTGAACAACCAGGCTCGAGTGATCCTTCTGCCTCCCCTTGGGCTCCCAAAGTGATGGGATTATAGGCTTCAGCCACAGTGCCCAGCCAGAGGAACGTTTCAGATGCTGGAATCAATGGTAGTGTGTTGGAGGAAGGGAGTTTCTGAGCTCAGCCCATTTCTTTTTTTTTTTTTTTTTTTTTTTGAGATGGAGTCTCGCTCTGTCGCCCAGGCCGGACTGCGGACTGCAGTGGCGCAATCTCGGCTCACTGCAAGCTCCGCTTCCCAGGTTCACGCCATTCTCCTGCCTCGGCCTCCCGAGTAGCTGGGACTACAGGCGCCCGCCACCGCGCCCGGCTAATTTTTTGTATTTTTAGTAGAGACGGGGTTTCACCATGTTGGCCAGACTGGTCTTGAACTCCTGACCTCAGGTGATCTGCCTGCCTCTGCTTCTCAAAGTGCTGGGATTACAGGAGTCAGCCACTGCAACTGGCCCTAATAGACATTTTTTTAAACTAAATTATTACACTACAGAAAAATGCACACATCATAAGAGCACAGCTCGATGCCTTTTCTCAAAGTGTATGCACTTGTGAAGTCAGCCTCCAGATGGAGAAAGAGAACATCATTAGCACCCAGGAAACCCCTCTTGGCTCCTCCCAGTCCTGACCACACTAAGGCGCCTCCATCTCCACTTCCATCCCCAGAGATGGCCGCTGCTCGGTGTGGTACTTTATGCAGACAGGATCAAGGATGGTACACTTTTTGGTGCCCTTTTTTGGCTTGACTCAACATTATGCTTGTGAGACTGTGTTGCAGGTAGCTGTAATCTTTTTTGTTGCTGTAGAGAGTATTCCATTGTTTGACTATACTACAGTTTGTTCATTCTACCCCTGATTGGCATTTGTGCATTTCATTTTTAAAATTATGAATAACTCTATTAGAGGCAACTAATGGCTCAGTTTTGCTCCTTGCTCTGCAAACCAACCCTGCCCATAGGAACTGAACTTGTAAAGGGGCAGGTGACGTATTTTAGTGAGAACCTTCCATGGCGTAACCTAGTAGAATGCCTAATGTTGGAACCTCGGGCATCACAGCTGGCCTATTTATTTTAAATAAATGAGTTCATGAATAAATGAAGGAATAAAGGAATGAATGAGAGGAGGGGTAAGTGACTAAATGAATGCATTTCTGGGAAGAGCATTATTGGGTACTCACCTGTGTCAAACACCTCTGGTCATCTTCATAAATGCTGCCATATGTAATCCTTGCCACAACCCTTTGAGATGGGATGGCTACCTTGATTTTACGGATGAAAAAAATAACAAGGCTCAGAGAATCCAGGTCATTTAACTCTTCTGAGCTCTCCATTTTCCCATGTACGAAATGGGTGTCAGTAGAGCTCCGCAGATTGTTGAGTGGGTGAGGGGGTGATACAAAGCGGTCAGCAGTTCTGGCACAGGAAAGCGCTCGCGAACTTCCTGCGCATCATTATTCTGGCTTGTGCTCATGTAGCCTGTAAGTGGCCTGGCCAGGATTTGAACCTACAGCCTTCCATCATCCCCCTGCACAACTCCTGCCACCCCATGCTGCCTGCCTCTGGGAGATTAGGTGAGCAAAGGGGTCTTGGCCATGTCTTTCCATCTGAGGCACTCAGTACAGAGGGTGAGGGGTCCCTGAGCCACCTCTGCTGCCTGCCCTAACTCCGGGCTGTGATGAAGCAGCTCTGTTGGATGAAGCAGCCCTGGCTCCGATGCTCTTCCTCCCCTCACCTTCCTTACCCAAAGGATGAGGTTGGAATACAATTGCAGTGTCTGTGCTCACTAATTTCATTTTCTGTGTCTGGAGTAATAGGGGCCCTCAAACTTATTATGCTTATTTGAATTTCAATAATAAGCAGCCAAGCGGGAGACTGGCATGGGGGCCGGGGCCGTGCTCTGAGGAAGGCCTGGCTGCCCCAGCTGGGGAACAGCTGGGTGCTTCCGAGGAGTGGCCTTCTCTCCCGGGAGCTCGGGGTTGGTCAGCTGGTCAGCTATGACCAGGCAGAAGCTGACACTGACCTGACCCAACCTGGGCAGGCCTAGGAGAGCTCGTCCCCAGACCTTCACCTTGGAGAACCAAGTAGTAGTGAGAACAGTGCCGCGGGGCTGGCCCAGATCATCGGTCCTTTGGACGTCTTCTTCCATAAATGAGTCATTTATATCACACTCTCTTGTCAAGAGGTGGAAGTCAGTTTCCAATGGGGACCAAATTGGCCCTAATTTTTGTTCACCTCTGGTACTGAGAGGTAAGGTGGGGGTGGGTGACATTTTCAAAGGGGCTGTATCCCTAAATGAGATAAGACCACTCCCTTGTGGGTGGAGACACCCTTAGCCCAAAGGCTTGAGTAGTTGAAGAGCTGTAAACAGTGGCTACCAGGTGCCCCAGGTACCCAGACGATGAGCAAAGCCCCAGAGGGATCCGAGGAGGTGACACCAGCATTTTCCCCTGACTGGTTCTCGCCCTCAGCCTGGGAATGTCGCTGAGTCTTTGGTTCTTCCAGAGACCTGTCTTTTGGCTGCCAGCCTTTGCATAGTGTCCACTCCTGTATCTAATTCTCAGGAGACTGAGGTCTGGCCTAGGCGGGTCTCTCCTCCGACTCAGTTCCATGCACTGAATTTGACCCCTGGGCCCAGATCAGACACAGGGTCTTTCCACGAGGCCCTCACAGAAGGTGGAGCTCTGAGCGGTGTTTTTCAAACAGGATTTTAATGGTGCAGCAAGAAAAGAAAGACTCCAGGATGACTGAGGTTTAGGCGTCACTGGGTTGAAACGGTTAAAGAGGCTTCCTTCCTGCAGGGCTGCTCAGAGCCTTTATTGGCCGCTGTATTGTGTGTTCACACACACAGAGATGGAGACTGGAGCTTTTCCCCAACACTCAGATCTTTGTTTCCCAGAAGCCTCTCCAGGGAGAAGAGCCCAGCGTTTCAGAAACGCTGGCTTGAAGGAGCCCTGGGAGCCTGCCCCCCAGTTTCTCTGTAGCCTCACGATTGTGCTTTCTGCTGGTGAGGGAGGTGGCTGGAGGTGGGAAGCGCCCAGGAGGCCCGGCTCTCCTTGAGGACACAGCTCTGCTCTTACCCTTTGTGCTTAGTGCATCCCCAGGGCCCTCGGGGGAAAGTCCAGCCCCCTCTCCCTGCCCCTCCAGGCCCTCTGTGATGAGTTTCTTCCCTGCTCTTGTGTGATTTCCTGTGTGCGCCTACATCCCAGGCAAACCAGGGGGTTCCTGCTCTTATGGGCTGCCGTCTTCTGCTCATGCTGGGCTCAGCCTAGATACCCTCCCCTACGCCTTGCACATAGTTCGGGTTTCACCTGAGCTGCACCCCTTTCCAGGAAGCCTTCCTGATTGTCCTGTGCTAGCTTTTCATTTCACTGCTCCCCAGCATTTTGTATCAAATCCAAATGCCTTCTGAGCTGACAGCATCTCACTCCCTGACAAGATGTGGGCCCCTGGGGAGCGGTGCCAAAGTCTGGTTAATCCCAGGGTCCCTGCTGCCTGCACGGAGTGGTGCTGAGTGGAGACTCCAGGAAACCCAAGAGCTTCACCTCGGGCTTGCCCATCGGGCCCTGCAGCTTTGAGCAAATCGACCGAAGGTGCCTACTGTGTGGAACCCAGCAAGGGGAGCCATGCAGACCAGGGAGAGGAGGCTGGCATGGGCAGGGGCTCCTCCCTAGAGGCTGCTTGGATTTAAGGCGGTTCCCTCATGCCCAGCTCCTCTCCTTCCTTCCCATATTCACCATAGAGGTTTGGGTCCCCTCTCCCCTCTGCCTCTGCCCCAGGACCACCCGTGCAGACCACCCCCGCCTGCCAGACCAGTCTCAGGGCATCTGATGGCTTCCCTGCCTGCTCCGCCCACATCTCAGGCCAAACCCCTGGACGTCAGGACACTGCACCATGCAGCCCACTGTATTTTCAGTCTTTCCTGGAGCCCTGCCCCCGCCAGGTGAGCTGGCTGCTTTCTTGGGAAGCCAGGACCTTCCTGGCCACCTCTGTCTGCCCTGTTGCCTGCGCCCCTGCAGTGCTCCCACCAGGCTTTCTGAAGCTGGCCTGGCCCTGAGACCCCCAGCCCTGCCTCTCTGTGGAATTGTTTCCTAGCTGGTCGCTCCGTCCTTCCGAGCCTCCCTCTTTGGGGCTGCAGAAAGCGTGGTCTGAGCTACACAGCACTGAGCTCCACCCTGTCCCAGGCTGGTAGTTCTTTTTTTGTTTTGTTTTTTGACACAGGGTCTCGCTCTGTGGCCCAGGCTGGAGTGTGCGTGATCTCAGCTCACTGCAACCTCCCAGACTCAAGCAATCCTCCCACCTCAGCCTCCCAAGTAGCTGGGACCACAGACATGCACCACCATGCCTGACTAAATGTTTGCATTTTTGGTAGAGACAGGGTTTCCTCGTGTTGCCCAGGCTGGTCTTGAACTCCTGAGCTCAAGTGATCCACTTGTCTCGACCTCTCAAAGTGCTGCAATTACAGGCATGAGCCACTGCGCCTGGCCTGGCGGTTCTTTATTAGCACAGGTCCAAGACTTTGACTTCCTTATTGCAGGGCAGATATGGATGTGTGTGTCATGACCTCCACCACCCGCGTGCACGAGGGGCACAGCCTCTTGCAGGTGTGTCACGTGGCAACCTGGACCAGGGATCTCCCCAGCCCAGTGAGGGGCCAGCCTCATCTCCATTCTACAGATGAGAAAAATACATACACTATTTAAAAACACTTCTATCCAACACAGCCACACACACACATTCATATGCATACTCACACATGCTCACTCATGCACTCACACATACACTCACACTCATGCACACACACACATTCACACACACACACACACATTCACATGCATGCTTTAACTCGAGGGAAATGAACTCACAGGACTCTAATTTCCTGATGCCATAGGAAGAACAACGGGCATTCCTGTCATGTTTTTCATGGGAAGCTGATTCAGAGAGGCTAAGGGGCATCCCTAACGTCACACAGCTAAGAGGCAAGGCTGAGGTTTGCACTTCCACTGCTCTGACTTGGAAGCCCAGTGAGGCGCTCAAATTAAAATTAGAAACCTTTTCCTGTTGTCCAGGCAGAAAACCGGGAGAGGGGAGAGAACAGCCACTAGGGCGAGGACAGAGCGCAGCCACTGGGCAGCCGGGAAACCGAGGCTTGCGCCTGGCTGCAGACTTCCCTCTTCAGGCCCTTCTGGCACCATCTGCTCCAGAACCCACAGCTCCCATCCGCCGCTGCCTGGGATGAATGGTGCCCTGTCAACAGTGATACACCTGCTGTTTAGTGGGAAGAGAGGTGCCAAGAGTGCACGGGATGCCCGGGTGCACAGAGGGGAGGAGACAGGGCACAGCCGAGCTGCCAGGCCAGGCACAACTTCTTGATGAATAGAGAGGTGTGGAGCCGCCCGTCGTTCATGTCGATTCTCTCAGTCAATCAAAACGCTGCCACAGCAGGCTTTGGGATGCGGCGTCTCGATGTGTGTGGGCGTGTGCAGGGCGGTTGCTGATATTAGTCATGAGCGCTGGCCCAGGAATCAGAGACGGGGATGAGTCTCAGCTCTGCCATTTCTTGGCTGTGTGACGTCTGGGCCTTGATTTCTCCATATGGAGATAGAGAACCCCTTCCTTCTCTGTCCCCAGAAAAAGTGCCGGCCACACTCTCCTTGGCCTGTCAACAGCGATGCACCCGCTGTTTAGTGGGAAACCATCTTCCTTCATGAGGTCAAAGCCCTCACTTTTTTCTGGGAGGGATGACTGTGCACCGTGAGTTAGCCTTAGAGTCAGGCCCAGGAAGACATCAGCCACCTGCACCCCCCCGCCGCCCCCCACCCCCCTGCCGAGGCCTGGGGAGTCACAGCTCTTCCTGATCTTGCTGTGTGGCCTCGGGCAGGGCGTTTGCCCTCTCTGGGCCTCAGGCACTCCATCTTGACAATAAGGCCATTGCACTTGCTATTCACATTGGGCCACCTGTGCCAGCCATCCATGACAGGGGTTCTTTAGGTAGAGACAAATGGCCTGCAGGGGCGGGGACCCCCGGGGCATGGCCGTCCACTGCAGGTCCCAGGAGGAGCCCCAGCCTGGCTGGCTGCTTCCAAGAATAGAGTAGACAGAGTCTGCACGGGGCTGCCAGTGGGCCACTCCTGCACGCAGGGCCCCGGGCCCTGAGCTCATCAGTGAAGCAGGTAATTATGTGTGTGCTTTGTTCCTGCACAAAGGCACTCTCAGAGAACTTCCAAGAGGCTCTGCTTCCTTGCTGATTTGATTTTTTCAGAACTGGAGTGTGAAAGTCAAGCTGAACCTGCTTAATTGTGCCTGCGAAGGCTATTCAGAGAGACTGCTCTTGGAAAGAAATCAGGACAATTAGCTCTTGGCTGCAGGGAGAGGGGGAGCGAGCGCTTGATGGTGAATGTCAGCCTGTTCCTGGGAGAACCAAAGGGCAGAGCTGGGCAGAGTGGGGAAAAGACGGGCGGGGGGGTGGGGGGGCATCTGTAGCTGTCTCTGGGGCTGGGGCCAAGCCCACCACCTGCAGGGGGCACCAAGCTCCACATGTGGGTGTGGGGCAGCCAGGCTGGGAGCAGAGGCCAGGTCCGACAGCAAGCTCAGGGCCACTCCCCTCAGTCCAGTGAGGGTTGGTTGTGTGATCTTGGGCAAGTCACATGGCCCTCTCGGCCTCAGTTTCCCCGGGTCTGCAAAATGAGTGCTGTGCAGAATGAGCAGATGGAGCCCACTCATCCCGGGCAGTGGCGGGTGGGAACTATGGGGTCCACAGCAGATGGTGCCAGAAAGGCCTGAAGAGGGAAGTCTGCAGCCAGGCGCGAGCCTCGGTTCCCCGGCTGCCCAGTGGCCGCGCTCTGTCCCTGCCCTAGTGGCTGTTCTCTCCCCTCTCCTGGTTTTCTGCCTGGACAACAGGAAAAGGTTTCTAATTTTAATTTGAGCACCTCATTGGGCTTCCAAGTCAGAGTAGTGGAAGTGCAAACCTCAGCCTTGCCTCTTGGCTGTGTGACGTTGGGGATGCCCCTTAGCCTCTCTGAATCAGCTTCCCATGAAAAAGATGACAGGAATGCCCGTTGTTCTTCCTATGGCATCAGGAAATTAGAGTCCTGTGAGTTCATTTCCCTCGAGCTAAAGCATGCATGTGAATGTGTGCGTGTGTGTGTGTGTGTGCATGAGTGTGAGTGTGAATATGTGTGTGTGCATGAGTGAACGTGTGTGTGAGTGTGCATATGAGTGTGTGTGTGTGGCTGTGTTGGATAGAAGTGTTTTTAAATAGTGTATGTATTTTTCAACCTTTTTTGAATGGAGCCCAGGGTGTATTTCCCAAATTCTTTTTACATTATTTTAAAGAGAGGCAGCAGAGTGTTATGACAGAGAACCAGCTATGGAGCTGGCCTGAGTCTGCATCTGGGCTCCACCTCACCAGCTGTGTGTGAAACCACTTTGTTCCTGTTTTCTTATTTGTAAGTAGAGATCATATCATCTATCCACATCTCTGCCTAGGTGTGTGGACGGCTTAATACACTTGGAAGCCTCAGAACAAGGACTGGCAGTAAGTGCTCAATACATTTTATCATCATTGTTATTTTTGACGCTGAGGGTCACTGTAACGACCAATGAACCAGCCAGTGAAGTGGGATGAATCCATTCAGGAGCACACAGGGCTCGGGTGCACTCAGTGCTCACGGGCGAAGTGAGCAGGCTGGCATCTGTTTGGATTGGTCTCTGCTTGAACCCTGTTAGTTGTTAAACAGTTTGAATGCCATCCCAGGGTAGAAGAGACAGAAACTTAAGGGCTACTTACAGATGCAGGGACTAGGGGAGGGATGTGGGTGTGGCCAGAGAATCCAACCCTGGGGACCACCCATTTCCTATCTGGGCGGCCAGGGCCCTGCAGGAGGTGCCCCCGTCACTTACAAGCCAGGGCCCCCACTGCCCCTCCCTGGTCCTGCAGTCCATCTGGGATGTGAGGCTACTCAACCAAGCTCAGTTTTTGCAGCCAGGCGCACGGGGGAAGGCTGCCACTGGCTGCCATCACCGACTGCGAGGGGTTCCTCATTCTCAGCTGGCTTTACCCTTTGCTGCTCCTTGAATAAAGTGTTTTGAATTCTGCCGCACAGAGGGGACCCCGCTTTACTCTTTTGGTTTCCTTTTGCCCGAACACAGCTCACTACAGCCTCAACCTCTTGGGCTCAAGCCATCCTCCCACCTTAGCCTCCTGAGTAGCTGGGACCACAGGTGCACATCACCACACCTAGCTGATTTTTTATATTTTGTAGAGACGTGGTTTCACCATGTTGCCCAGGCTGTTCTCAAACTCCTGAGCTCAAGCAATCCGGCTGCCTCGACCTCCCAAAGTGTTGGGATTCCAGGCATGAGCCACTGTGCCCGGCCTCTTTTGGTTACCTTCATCGGAACACTTGCAGGGCCTTTGAGAGACCCCATCAAACACGTTTCCCTTTGGGCACCTACACTGAATCCTCTGGGATGAAATTTCAGCCAGGAGAGGGACTGAAGTAGAGTCACATGTGGGGACCTCCCATTAGTGGGCTCCGTAGCTGACGGTCCCAGGACAGGGGCCCTGTGTGGAAAGAAGGGCAGACCTAAGGGAAGCCAACAGGGGTGAGGACCACGGCGCAGGGGCCACATTTAACCGGCTGGGGACCAACTGTTTCTAAGGCTTCCGCCGCTCAGCTGGGCAAAAGGGAGATAAATATTGTAAAGTTTACGGGAAATAACAGTTTTAAACAAGCTCTGGAAGTGTAATGTGCCCACAGGCATTCATCATCATCACCGCTCTCATCCTCTCCTGGGTGACCAGGGCGATGAATGACCCAAAACACCACACACGAGGAAAGGCAAAGAGATCAGAGACTGGTTCACCCAGAGAGACCGGGATGCTGCCTTCCAAAATGGAAGAGCTGTGCTGGAAAAGCTGCATTTGACTCACTGGAATAAGTGCAGGGGTCCAGGGCCTGCTGATTGCTTCCTGGTCCCTGTGCACATGCCCCGTGGTGACTCCGTACAGTGCTTCACAGATCTTTTGCTGAGGAGCTGGGGATGGGCAGGGAAGGAAGCCTGGACTGGGTGCCTAGAAGCTCTGGGCAGCAGCCGCATCAGAGGCTTTTGAAGGCAGGAAGGGCAGCCAGCGGCCCGGAGGGGAGCACAGCAGCTGCTGGTGACAGCTTGCTGGGTCGTCACAGGGGCTCTGGACGGTCCTTCTGCCCCGAGGTTTGGCTTAGCTTGGTGAGGGCAGCGTGGAGGACACCGTTCCATCTTAATGCCTTTCCAATAAAGCCTTGAAGACGACAGGCCCCATTTCCTGAGCAGAGCTGAACAGTTACTTTACACTTCATCTAATTGATTAAAATGACTCCTCTAAATTAACCAGGCCTTCCAGAGCTGAGTGCGGGAGAGTGAAGTCCAGAGACCAGAGCCGGCTGCAGGGGCAGGCCGGGGGCCCACAGCCCTTCTCCCGGGCCCTGCTGTCCACCAGCCCTGCTCGCACCCCAGGTTCCTGGTGGCCGATGCGCTTAGGTCAGCCGACTGGCTTCTGTGCTCTGCCCCTGAACACCAAGCTGCCCTGAACAGAGCCTGGTCTCTCAGGGTGAGGGTGGGTCAGGGATACCGCGTGTGCTCCCTGCTGTCTGCGTCCGTGTCTGGCAAATTGGTGAGGGGTCAGGCATCCCAGGTCTCCTTTTATCTTCCACACTGCCCCTGGGGGTAGAGAATTATGGTCCCATTTCACAGCTGAAGAAACTGAGGCCCGTCTGCGATGCGTAGCTAGCAGGTGCAGAGGCAGGGATCAAGGCTCAGCCTGTTGCCTGCAAAGCCCTCGCCCTGTTCCCTATGGCGCACCAGCTGCTTGGATGCTCCCACGCAGCAGTGCCTTGTCATCACATTCTATTTGCTGAGCGGCGATGGAACAGGCCCTGCGTCCCCGCCTGTGTCCTAAGCACTCCACAAGCATGAGCGTGTCTAGATGGTGATGGTTTGCTCATGGTCTCTCTCTCAGAGCTTTTACCCTGGCGGGGTTGGGAGCGTGGCAATGGGTCACCACTGACCCTGTTAGGAAACAAGTGTGTCTGTACGTGCCACTTATGATGGGGACAGGCCGTGGTCACTTTGCTGGGGCCAGTGTCAGCAGGATGGCAGATGCTTTGAGAACACGGCTAAGAACTCTGCCTTCTGGAGCAGGATGTCAAATGCTGTTTGATTCAGGCATGTGACACCTGTCAAGAGCCCTGGCACAGCTGCTCTCGAGACACGCCTCGACTGCCACTCTCCCACCCCTGCGTGGCACCCTCCTGACTGTTTTATCTGCCTTGGTTTTTCTGGGTCTGGTGTAGCACCTGCCCCATAAGAAGCGCTCAGTAAATGATTGTTGATAAAAGATTGAACCAATCAAGGAATGATGAGCCAGTGAAGGGCAAATGACTGGAAGCAAAAGGCCCTCTTGATGGAATTGGGAAGAAGCTGATCCGAGGGCCCAGGACAGCCTTCTCTTGAATGCCCTGCTGCTGAGGTCTCACTGCTCGGCTTGGACTCGCCTCTCGCCCTGCCTGGCTGCAGAGGACAAACAGTGGGGTGGTGGGTGTGTGTCCGTGCCTGTGCGTAGGATGTGGTAGCTGGTGAGTGTCAGGGCTCTGCACGCTGCGCCCTGCCTTGCTTCTTTCTCTCCTCTCAGGCTGTGTGTAGTCCTGGGCCAGGTTTTTTCAGCGGGCGTGGTGGTGGGAAGGTCCTCTGTCCCTTGCTCATCCTGTGTCCTGGCTCTTCCTCCTTGTGTCTTCTCTCTGGGCCAGGAGGAAGTGGAGAGGTGGGATCAGGGCCGATGTCCCCAGCCTGGGTGGCAGTGTACTGGACCATGGGTTCCCACCCAGAACTCTTCATGGCAGAGACCTATGGCCTGCCTGTCCTCATCTGAAGATAACTTGGCCGTTCTGATTTCTCTTCCCACACAAGGCCATGGTGGCTGCCTCTGAGATTTAATAAGCCCTTAGGTCAAATGTCTGCTTGGCCAGAGGAATTGTCTCCCGGGCTTTCTTGGAGACAGCTCTAAAGCATGCAAACTATAGTGTCAGGAGGAAAAGCTCTTCCTCTACCTACTTTGTTCTGTGTTTGGGGGTCTGAGAAATTTAACAGTCAACAGATCAACAGTAGAAAAGACAAAGGCTTTTCTGTTTTTTTTTTTTTTTTGCCTTAAGCAAAAATCCTGCTAGGTTGGTTTAGCCAGAGCCCCCTCATTCCTGGTGTTTCCCCTTAGTAGTTTTTCCTCCACTGATCCCCACCCTGCTCCGGCTATTAATTCCTACTTTTCCTTGCTGTATATGTGGCTGAGCCCAACCTCTCTCCCCAACTGCAGAATCGCATCACAGTGGGTCCTATACCTAAGGCGATAGTTCCTTCCCCCCACCCCTGACACCCCCAATAAAATGTGCCTTCTTACCATCATTAACAAGCATCATTGAATAATTTTGATTTAATAGCGGGTTCGAGAGATCTCCTCCATCTTCATCCTGGCAGGGCTTCCCCTCCACCCCAGAAAGGAATTTATGGCAGTTTCGCTCTGGGCCTCCTTCCTGGGAGTGAAGCTGCCTCTTCTTGAAGAGGGGGTTTATGGCAGCCTCACTCCCAGAAGTTTCTGCTTTTAGTCAGATAAGGGAAACTCCAAAAATGCTTCTTTCTGGATCTGTTGAATCTCAAATGTCTTCAGTTTAAAATAATCTTGATACCAACTCTGGGGGTTGGGGTGGGTCTCACACCACTCTCCTATGCATCCCTACCTGCTAAAAAGATGTGCCGGCTCTGGCCTGGCCGGCTCCTCCACCTTCCAGCCACCTGTCCTGTTTATTCATTTCTTCCCTCTCTTTTCTCCTTTTCTTTTCCATTTATCCAGTCATTCCTTCCTTCTACCCACCCACCAACCTGATCACCCACTCATTCTTCTCTCCTTCAATCCAACCTTTCCTCAGTACCCAACCTGTGCAACTGTACCATGGACTCCTTCAGGCAGTGGCTCCCAACTCCCATCACAGAGCAAATGCTCAACACACACCCGTGTTTCATCTGTTATTCAACAAACACTGATCACTTGCTTCTCTTAATTATTATTATAATATTTATTTATTTATTTAGAGACAGGGTCTTGCTCTGTCACCCAGGCTGGAGTGCAGTGGTACAATCACAGCTCACTGCAGCCTCCACTTCCCAGGCTCAAGCCATCCTTCCACCTCAGCCTTCCAAGTAGCTGGGACTACAGGCACATGTCACCATGCCCAGCTACTTTTTGTATTTTTTTTTTTTTTTGTAGAGATGGGGTCTCACAGTGTTGCCCAGGCTAGTTTTGAACTCCCGGGCTCAATCCTCCTGCCTCAGCCTCCCACAGTGCTGGGATTACAGGTGTGCGCCACTGTGCCCAGCTGCTTCTCTTTGTAAGTTCCCAAGTTGAAGCACCCCCTTCAGGTGTAGTTTTAGACGTGCAACATGAGGGGAAATCTTAGGTTAATTGCTGGGTCCAGAATTGCTCTGAAAGACAAAGACTGTCTTTGTTCTAGAAAAGTGCTCATAGGCGCTGTGAAGGCCTTGATGTCCTCTGGTGCCAACGCAACAGAGAAGCCAGCAAAATGCTCTGCATGGGACAGGTTCTGGTTTTTGCTACAGAGACTGTAAGAGATGCAAAGCCAGGACGGTGAGGGTGAGCTGGGGTTGGGGAGGCGCAGGGGGGCTCCCCAGCAGAGGGAGGGCATTTGAAGACGGCGGCTGCTCCTTGGAAGCTGGCAGGCACGGCCACAGAATATGCGCCCCTTTCCTGGCCCCCTCGAGGTCTGCACAGCCCTGAGTGCTCATGCCATGAAAATGAGTGTCTCTGAGTTTGGAGAGCTGGCCTCCGCACTGGGCTTCCTGAGGACGGGAGCAGGAGCAGGAGGCTGAGGCCAGGGGGGATGGCAGCCCCCGGGGATCTGAGGAAGTCTGGGAGCTGGCTTTGAACTTCTGCCCACGCTGGAACTTGGGGAGAAGAGGGAGATGTGAGTCAGGTTTTCCTAGTTCCTGAGGGCCTGGGAGGCCTTGGCTGGCATCCCGTTTACATAGCGAGTGGCCCCACCTGATGGTTCTGATCCAGATTCTGGTACCCGAGTGAGCTAGGCCACGGGAGCAGCTGATGCCCCTGCTGTCCCTGAAGGCAGCATGGGAGGCCCCCGGGACTGGGGCTCAGGCTTTCCAGAGAGAAGGAGGTGCCTTTCCCTGCCAACTTCCTAGCTTTAAGTCACGCTCCGGACATCCAGAGTGAGCACCTGCACCTGCCAGAACCCCTTGAGCCGCCTCTACCTTCCAGGATGACCCATTCCCAGTTTTCCCAATTACCTTTCATATTTCCTCTTTGGAAATGGAATTTGATTTTGAGGCTGAGCAGGTGGCTGGAGACATAGAACATAAATATATCATGACTTGGGAGTTGACTTGCTTATCATGGAAATAAATGTCCTCCCTCCTCAAGAAGCGGTCACTTGGCCAGGTCACTTTGATCTTGCCCCGTGGTGAAATCAGACGGTCCCTGGCTCGTGGGCGCTGGAACCAGGGGGGAATTTCAGGGTGAGTCATGAATGCTAGGGGGCAGGGGTGAATGGGCTGTAATGTCAGCTTTGTTTTCCTGTCAGGCGAGAGAGAGAGAGAGGAGGGGAACAAGAGAGAATGATGCCAAGGAGGCGCCTGGGCAGCTGATGAGCTCAGCCCCAGGGTGACTGCGGTCATTTGGGTCGGCAGTGGGGACAGACATCAGCCCCAGCTGGGTCATGGGTCATTTACGGCCTGGGTCTCCCCCTCTCCTCCCTCCTCCTTCTCTCCAACCTGCTTTCTTGCTGCTGGAAGGGGGTGTGCAGGCTCCCGTGTGCCTGGCACAGCAGGGGCAGCACAGGAGACTCCATGGGGCCTGTGTCCCGCACCCCCACGCCCCCGCCCCCAGCCACAGCCCTTTGAGAGCACAGCGGAATGAACGCCTGATTAGGAATCAGATGCCAGAAAGAAGCTGTGTCTGTTCCAAAATCAAGAGACCAGGAGAAGTGACGTCCTTTAAAAGGAGAGAGCTAAGTGACAGAGAGGGGGCTTGTCCCCAGCCCAGGCACCTCGGGGCTGCAAGCTCCTTTGAGATGCGGGGCTCAGGCCTCATCAGGGGAAACGTGGGCATCTAGATGACCCTCCACACTGAGCAGACCCAGCACAGGCTGCGCCACTCATCATTATAGGCTGCGCCACTCATTATAGGCTGCGGGGCCTGCACAGACCCCAGGCATCGAGCCTGCGATGGGGCAACGTGTGGTGTGGAGGCCATACCCCTCCTCTGCTGGCTGGCAGCTTGGCCCAGCCTCCTCACTGGTGAACAGTCAGCTCTGCCCCCTGGGCTGTCAGGAGGATTAAATGAGATAAGACAAACACAGAGCAACTCCTTGCTAACAGCCATGCAGTACCAAGCAAGGCACAGCAAAGGGAAAGAGAAATCCAGTGGCACCAGTGGGCTGAGAAACTGTCGGGTTTGGCTGCTGCTGTTGTCTGCATCTCCCGCCTTCCTCCTGAGCCGTGCTTCCAGGGCAGCCCCGGCCCTTCATGTCAGCTGGTGACATTTCTGCAATTGTTCCTAAAGAGGGGCCTGTGGGTCGAGTGAGCTAAGCAGGGCTTGGCAAGGTGGTGTCCCCCGGTCAGTGCCAGAGTCTCCCTAATGTGGCCTGTGAGACAGAGCTGATGCTGAACAAAGGAACAGGGTGATCTGGGAGCAGCAGCAGCCGCTGTCCTGAGCATCTGGGTCAGGACGACACGGATGCCACCCCAGGACCCCTGGCATAGGGAGCCGAGCAGGGCAGCCGGGCAGAGGCAGGAATGAATCCTACTCAGCTGCAGAATAGTCACAGACACCTCTCCACCAGCAACGTCCCTGAAACAGTCTTTCTTATTAAAAAATATTGAGTGTCAGTTATGTGTCAGGCACTGTTCTGGACACGAGGTCTCAGGAACAAACAAAATATACAGAAACTTGGCCCTTGTGTTGCTCAGGATGAAGAGGAGAAGACAGGAGCTGTGAGGTGTCCCCACCTGTCCAGAGGCTGGGAAAACTTAGGAGACGGTGCTGCTTGTTTAGAAAACCGGGCAGAGGAGCCCTGCTAGTCCAGGCCGGGCCAGCGCCCAAGGATGAGGGGAAGCACAGCTCCTTTGGGGTCTGCGTGCATTTGAGCATGAGTGCATTAACAGGGGGAACGTCTGTGTTTACAGGGCATGCGTTTGGGAGCCAGACAGACCTGGGCTGAGTCCTGCCCTACATACTAACTAGCCTGCTGTGTCGCCTTGCAAGGGGTGAGATTTCTCTGCTCTAAGTCATGGGTGCTGAGGCCCACCTGTCTGGCGAGGGTCTGGGGGAGGTCGGATGAGATGAAGGAGGCTGGGGCTGGCACCGTGGTGGTCCCTGGGCTGTGCCTGTTTCCCTCCCACTTCTGCTGCCTCCATCTGACCCTGCTCCGGAGGGACCAGGGGAGGGGCGGACGGAGGACACTGCTTCTGCAGCGCTCCTTGTCTCCGTCAGTGATTTATAGGAAGCTGGCTCAACCGAGAGCTGAGGGAAGACGGTGAAGGCCCTTTTGTTTTTAGTTCAATTTTGTGAGCAGAATGCTCCTGGGGCCAATAGATTTTTCCAGTAATGAAATTGTGAAAATAATTGAATTATGCCTTTCCAGCTTCAAAGACAACCTGTGCCCTTTCCCCAGCCCTCCGCATGGCATTAGAGAACATTCGCCTCCTGCTGGGTCGGCCCCTTCGCCTCTTCCTTCTGTCTGTCGGTGCAGCCTCTGAATAGAATCCTGGCGAAGGGAGGGGCTGGGTGTGTTGTTGCTGCACCCAGGACTGCCCACATCAGTTGCAAAATGCAATGTGGGGCCCTTTGTTGAAAAACAATGAAGAATTTCAAGATGGTGGCAGCAGAGCCTGAAACCGAGCTCAGGGCCCATCTGAGCAGGGGCCCGGTGTGACCACACGGATCCCATACCGGTGATGCCAACCCCCTGAGTCCCGGGGAACAGTGGCAAATCAGCACTCAGGAAATATCTGTTGAATGGAAAATCCAGTTTCCTTCGCCGTCTTCCTTGTCTGTCCTCTCCTGCCGCCTCCATTCAACTTTCTCCCTTCTTCTCACAGCACTCGGCAGTGTGGACTCTGGCTGCCTGGGTTCAAATGAGCTCACCACCTCCTAGTTGTAAGCTCTTCGACAAGTGACTTAAACACTCTGTGCCCAGTTTTCCGCATCTGCAAAATGGGGAGATAAATAGCCCCTACCTCCTAGGATCATCATGAGAATGAGGTGTGCGAAGCTTGGCCGGCATGGGTTCCATAGCAGGCACTCAGGGGTGTCGGCCACGAAGATTATTCTTTCTCTTCTCTCTTTGCCGTCTTATTTCATCTCTCTCCGTTATTTGGTTCCCCTGTCCTTAGTCCCCTTTCTCCCCCAATGGCATCCCAAGATGCACAATAGTGGCAAGTGCCCAGCCTGTTTCCACAGCCTGATCCCCACCACTGCGTTGGCCAGTCACCCAAGAAGCAGCTGGACCCATCATCTGGCTCTAGGGATGACCCAGTTCCAGCACCCCCGCAAACCTCCGTCTGTCCCCCTACCTCCCTCAGCAGAGGCCCAGCCCAATGCAGGCCCGTGGCTGGATGGGAGTAGCTCTTCCCACCACCCCTGGGCAGGGCTCTGCGGAGCTTGGGAGCCTCACCTGGAATCGGCCCTCATGCCTCAGTAGAGAAGGAGAGCGAGGAGAGAGGTGATGGGGCTCCGCGGGCACCCCCGATGCACAGTCTCCTTCTGGGCTTCTGATGGCCACAAGGCCAGAAGACCTGCCCAGAAGAATTCAGTATAACCCAGTTCAGTGAAATTGGAGAGAACGAGGGCCTGCGTCTTCCGGGCAGAAGGCAGGGTTCCTGCCCTCTGGAGCCCTTGGCCTGGCGCGGGCTGATTAGGACCTAGATCTGCCTGGGTGGCTGGGTGGCCGAGTGGCGATTGGGCTGGTTCTGTACCGGGTGTGCTCCGTGGGGGGCGTGATCTGGCAAAGCCTTGGAGGTGGGACTGTGGAGGCACCATTGATTGAACTGTGTCCCCTGCAATTCACATGTTGAGGCCCAAACCCCCAGTGTGGCTGCATTTGGAGTAGGGCAGTAATTATGGTTAAATGAGGTCGTATGGGCGGGTGCTGATCCACTAGGATTAGGATCCTTATAAGAACCTGCCACCTTCTCTCTGCCACGTGAGGACATGGGGAGGAGGCGGCTGCCTCCCACCCAGGAGGAGCCCTTACTGGACACTGGGCCCTGGCTGCACCTTGACCTTGGACTTCTAGTCCCCAGAACTGTGAGAAGTAGATTTCTGCTGATTACGCTTTCCTGTCTGCGGCCTGAGCTAAGACAGCAGCGCTTGGGGAGAAGCAGAATTTGAGGAGCTCCTCAGTGGCAGGCTGCCCTGGCCCTGCTGTCAGCAGAGGGGAATGGCCATCCATGCTGGCCCCTCACCAGCCGGGCCTTCAGTGAGCTCCCCGGGTAGGTGAAGCTCTCCCAGCTCTGTGTCCCCCGCCAAAGCAGGCCCACAAGCGAGCGCCTATGGGGTGGAGTGAGAGTGAGGAAGAAACATTACCCGAGGGGTCACTCTCTTCAGAAGACCTCAATGACTGTAGACTACTGAATTATTTCCTTAAAAAAAAAAAAAAAAGGCTAGGTATGGTGGCTCAGGCCTATAATCCCAGCACTTTGGGAGGACAAAGGACCACCTGAAGCCAGGAGTTCCAGACTAGCCTGGGCAACACAGCAAGACCCCATCTCTACAAAAAATTTAAAACTTAGCCAGGCGTGGTGGCACATGCCTGTAATTTCAGGTATTTGGGAGGCAGAGGCAGGAGGATCACCTGAGCCCAGGAGCTAGAGGCTGCAGTGAGCTATGATTGCACCACTGCTTTCCAGCCTGGGTGACAGAGTGAGACTCAAAAATGGTTAAAAAAAAAAAAAGAAAAAATGTTGATAGCTACTATAAAGTTTCTCTTATGCAGTACCTCCTCATTTTACAGGAAATTTGGAGATAGGGAAAATAGAAAGAAGAGGAAAAGATGCCCAAATATACCCAGAAAGTCCCTGCTAACATGCTGCTGTCGTCCTTCTATTCCTTAATCTAGGCATGTGGGCTTTTTTCTTATTTAAAAATGTTGATTTAGATATAATTACATGCAGAAAAGTGCACAAATCTGAAGTCTGCAGTTTGAGAAGTTTTAGACATGTGCATACTCTGCACCGACCACCTCTGCTAGGATATAGAGCATGGCCAGTGCCCAGAGGGCACCGCAGGCCCTGCCTAGCCACACTCACACTCTCTTCAGTAACCCCTCATTCTGATTCTATTGCCATAGAATAGTTTGGTCTTTCTTAAACCTCATATAAACGAACCATGTTGTATGTGGTCTTTGTGTCTGGCTGTTTTTTCCCCTATTTTAAAAATTGTGTTAAAATACACATAAACTTTATCATCTTGACCATTTTTAAGTGTACAGTTCAACGTTATTAAATACATTCATAATGTTGTATAACCATCACTGCCATCCGTCTGTAGAACTCTTTTCATCTTGGAAAACTAAACTCCATACTCATTAAACACTAACTCTGTATTCCCTCCTCCCCGCAGCCCCTGGTAAACACCATCCTACCTTCTGTTCATATGAATTAAAAAAAAATTTTATTTTAGTTTTTGAGACAGAGTCTCGCTATGTACCCCAGGCGGGAGTGCAGTGGCGCAATCTCGGCTTACGGCAACCTCCGCCTCCCCGGTTCAAGTGATTCTCCCCATCAGCCCTCTGAGTAGCTGGGATTACAGGCACACACCACCACGCTCAGCTAATTTTTTTTTTTTGATATTTTTTAATAGAGACAGGGTTTCACCATGTTGACCAGGCTGGTCTCAAACACCTGACCTCAAGTGATCCACCTGCCTCAGCCTCCCAAAGTGCTGGGATTACAGGCATGAGCCATTGTGCCTGGCTGTGTTTCCTATGAATTTGACCATTCTAGGTACCTCCTATGGGTGGATTCATACAGTACTTGCCTTTTTGTGTCTAGCTTATTTCACTTAGCATAATGTCTTCAGAGTTCATCCATATCTGTAGCATGTCTGAATTTCTTTCCTTTTCTTAGGCTGAATAATATTTCATTATGGATATCATGGCATGTTGCTCATCCATTAATCAATCAGTGGACACTGGGTAGCATCTGCCCAAGTTTTAGACATTGGGAATAATGCTGCTGTGAACATGTGTGCACAAAATAACTCTTCAAGACCCTGTTTTCAGTTTTTTTGGGCATATACCCAGAAGTGGAATTCCTGATCATATGGTAATTCTACTTCTAATTTTTTTTCTTTTTTTAGATGGAGTTTTGCTCTTGTTGCCCAGGCTGGAGTGCAATGGCGCAATCTTGACTCACTGCAACCTCCGCCTCCCGGGTTCAAGTGATTCTCCTGCCTCAGCCTCCCAAGTCGCTGGGATTACAGACATACGCCACCATGCCCGGCTAATTTTGTATTTTTAGTAGAGACGGGGTTTCTCCATGTTGGTCAGGCTGGTCTCGAACTCCCAACCTCAGGTGATCTGCCCGCCTCGGCCTCCCAAAGTGCTGGGATTACAGGCGTGAGCCATCGTCTACTTCTAATTTTTTAAAGGAACCACCACACTGTTTTCCACAGTGGCTGCATCATTTTACATTTTGTATCTGGTTTCTTTTGCTTAATATTGGTCAGGGAGATTCATCAATGTGTACAGCACAAGTTTGTTTCTTTATAATTGCTGTGTTAAGGATTCCATTGTATGAACAAAACACAATCTATTAATTCCCCTATTGATGGACATTTGGATTGTTGCCCACTGTGGCTATTATGAATAATGCTGTCATTAACCGTCTTGTACACATTTTCTGGTGGTCATAGGCACCTGTTTCTCCTGTGGGTATATTTGGGAATGGAATTGCTGGGTCATAGGGTAGGCAATTGTTTCACTTTAGTAGATATTAGGTGTAAATTTTGATGTCTTTAAAATAGTACTGATTGAGCCGGGTACAGTGGCTCATGCCGGTAATCCCAGCATTTTGGGAGGCCGAGGCGGGTGGATCACCTGAGGTCAGGAGTTTGAGACCAGCCTGACCAACACAGTGAAACCCCATCTTTACTAAAAATACAAAAATTAGCTGGGCGTGATGGTGGGCATCTGTAATCCCAGCTACTCTGGAGGTTGAGGTAGGAGAATCGCTTGAACCCGGGAGTTGAAGGTTGCGGTGAACCAAGATCGCACCATTGCACTCCAGCCTGGGCGACAGAGCGAGATTTCGCTTCAATAAAATAAAATAAAATAATAGAATAAAATAGAATAAAAAAAAATATGGTACTGATCATCACATAAAGTTTTGAGGTCTGCCTTTTTCACTTAACATTAAATCATTACTATTTTTAAGTTAGAACTTTTATTTTGAGATAATGATAGATTCCCATGTAGTTGTATGGAGTAACACAGAGAGATTCAGTGCACCTTGTACCCTTTTCTCCTGTGGTAACATCTTGTGAACCTAAAGGCAATATCATAATAACTATATTGATGTTGATTCAATGTCCTCAGATCTCCCTAGCTTCCTTTGCATCCATTCGTGTGTGTGTGTTCCTCTAGTTCTACACACTTTTATCACCTGCACATATTTGTGGGTCCACCACCACAGTTCCAATGCTACAAGGATCCCTCCTGTTTGCTTCTTTCCTTTTCCTTCCTTCCTTCCTTCCTTCCTTCCTTCCTTCCTTCCTTCCTCTCTCCCTCCCTCCCTCCCTCTCTCTCTCTTTCTTTCTTTCTAGCTGAGATTACAGGCATGCGCCATCACGTCTGTTTAATTTTTGTATTTTTACTGGAGATGAGGCTTCACTATGTTGACCAGGCTGGTCTCGAACTTCTGACTTAAGGTGATCCACCCGCCTCAGCCTCACAAAGTGCTGGGATTACAGGCATGAGCCACTGCGCTCAAGCTTTTTTTTTTTTTTTCTTTAGACGGAGTCTCGCTCTGTCACCCAGGCTGGAGTGCAGTGGCGCGATCTCGGCTCACTGCAAGCTCCGCCTCCCAGGTTCACGCCATTCTCCTGCCTCAGCCTCCTGAGCAGCTGGGACTACAGGTGCCCACCAACACGCCCGGCTAATTTTTTTTTTCGTATTCGTAGTAGAGACGGGGTTTCACCGTGTTAGCCAGGATGGTCTCAATCTCCTGACCTCGTGATCTGCCTGCCTCGGCCTCCCAAAGTCCTGGGATTACAGGCGTGAGCCACCGTGCAGGCTTTTTTTTTTTTTTTTTAATGTGAAGTCTCACTGTGTTGCCCAGACTGGAGTGCAATGGCACCATCTCAGCTCACTGCAACCTCCACCTCCTGGGTTCAAGCAATTCTCCCGCCTCAGCCTCCCAAGTAGCTGGGACTACAGGCACCTGCCACCATGCCTGGCTAATTTTTGTATTTTTAGTAGAGACAGAGTTTCACCATGTCGACCAGACTGGTCTCGAACTCCTGACCTCAGGTAATCCACCTGTCTCGGCCTCCCAAAGTGCTGGAATTACAGGCATGAGCCACTGTGCCTGGCCACCCCTCCTGTTTGTTTCTAACACAATCATCTACCCCCAGCCTCTGGCAACCACCAATCTGTTCTCCATCTTTATACCTTTGTCACCATAAGAATGGTCTGTACATGGAATCAAGCAACTAGTAACCTTTTGGGATTGGCTTTTTGCAGTCGGCATAGTTCTCTGGAGAGTCATCCAGGTTGCTGTGTGCTGTGATTTGAATGTTGGTGCCCTCCTAAATTCATATGTTGGAATCTCACACCCAATATAATAGTTTTAAGAGGTGGGACCTTTGGGAAGTGATTAAGTCACGAGGGCTGTGACCTCATGAGTAGGATTAATGCCCTTATAAGAGAGGTGAAGGGAGTGCCACTGCCCCTTTAACCACGTGAGGACACAGCAACAAACTGCCGTCTATGAATCAGAGAGCCCTCAACAGACACCGATTCTGCTGGCACCTTGATCTTGGACTTCCCAGCCTCCAGAGCTGTGAGCAATAAGTTTCTGCTCTTTATAAATTATGCAGTCTAGGGTATTTTGTTATAGCAGCTGGAACAGACTAAGACACTGTGTACCGATGATTTATTCTTTTCGTTACTGAGTGGTGTTTCTGGATTTGGACATACCGCAGTATGTCTGGCATTCATCCTTTTTTTGTTTGTTTGTTTTGAGACAGAGTCTCACTCTGTCACCAAGGCTGCAGTGTAGTGGCGCGATCTCAGCTCACCGCAACCTCCACCTCCTGGGTTCAGCTATTCTCATGCCTCAGCCTCCCAAGTAGCTGGGATTACAGCCACATGCCACCACGCCCGGCTAATTTTTGTATTTTTAGTAGAGACAGGGTTTCACCACGTTGGCCAGGCTGGTCTCAAACTCCCGACCTAGGGCATCCACCCGCCTCGGCCTCCCAAAGTGCTGGGATTACAGATGTGAGCCACCACACCTGGCCTGACATTCACCCTTAAAAGGACATTTGAGTGCTACCAGTATTTGCCTGCTTTAGTAAAGCTGCTATGGAGACTAGTGTATAGATTCTTTTGTGAACTTACATTCACACAAAAATGCAGTTGCTGGGTTGTGTGGTATTTGCCTCATAACTTCAGATGCTTCTTGACTCACAACATGGTTACTTCCCGACGAACCCATTGTAAATTGGCAGCGTGGCTGAGTGGGAGCTGCATCTCTCTGCCTCTGTCCAGCACTGTGAGGGAAGTACAGTTTCTATTGAATGTGTATCACTTTCACACCATCATAAAGTCAAAAAATCCTGAGTTGAACCATCATAAGCCAGGGATTGTCAGTATTTTTAGAGGAGCTCAGGGTCATAGGTTACTCTGCCAGTTACATATTCTGATGCAAACGTTTTCTGAAGCCTTTATTATTATGACATTCTGGGGACCTCCATACCCCTTATTTTTGGGGATTAGAGCTTCCCTCTGTCTAATCCAGCTCTAGAGCCACCTCCTCGGGAAGCCCTCCACCCAGAGCCACCTCTCTGTGAGAGCGGCCCCACCAATGACTTTCCTGTGGGATGATGGAGCCCTCATGCTGAGCAGAGGTTAATGCCATCCCACGGCTCCCTTCCCCCAGAGGAGGTCTGGGTCTCAGCTGAGGCTTACAGCCTAACACATCTGGCTCCGGACATACTGGGAGCTCTTTACCTGAGGGTGTCCCTGTCATGTAGACAGAGGCTTTTGAGAAAATAAACAGTCCTGAGAGAACCTCTTCGTCCTGGGGGAAGCTGGCTTGGTCTGGTGAAGACTTGTTCACTTGCTTCCAGCAGAAAATAACTTCGCTGTGAGCCTGGAGGTTATTATAACTAAATCATTCTGTGAACTACACAGACAGGCTGGGCATGGCCATTGTATTTCCGTCACCCTGGAGAGAAATCTGTGACCAAATGGTTAAAAAAAATTCCAAGTCATTCATTATTCACCCTCGCTGCATAATGCATGAAGGCTGCGGGCCAGGCCCATTTATGTTTTCAACATTGGCATCAAATGTCAGCCACTGCCTCAGAGAGGCCCACGAGGGCCTTGGCACTCGTGGTTGGCCCCTTCTCCCCTCTGGATGAACCTCAGGCCTCCAGGGCTCCTGCCTCCTGCTCACTAGGCTCTCAGCCTGGATGGTCCTTCTTTCTCTTCTTCTATGAAGCCCTCTCCATCCTTTAGGGCTTAGAAATCATCTCCTCCCTGTCACCTGCCAGGGCAGGAAGTCATCCTCCCTCTCTGTTCCCCCTGTAACACTTTATTTTTATTTATTTATTTATTTATTTTTTTGAGATGAGACGGAGTCTCACTCTGTCGCTAGGCTGGAGTGCAGTGGCATGATTATGGCTCACTGCAACCTCTGCCTCCCAGGTTCAAGCGATTCTTGTGCCTCTGCCTCCCGAGTAGTTAGGACTGCAGGCACGCACCACCATGTCTGGCTGATTTTTGTATTTTTAGTAGAGATGGGGTTTCAACATGTTGGCCAGGCTGGTCTTGAACTTCTGACCTCAGGTCATCTACCTGCCTCAGCCTCCCAAAGTGCTGGGATTACAGGTGTGAGCCACCGCACCCAGCCCCCTGTGGCACTTTAGAGTATTGATAACCACCACCACTGTGATCATAACTAGTATGATTTATATAGTTTGTATTCTCTGCTGGACACTTAACTCACACTATCTCATTTAATTCTCATAATAGCCAGTGAGGCAGATATTCTATTTCTCAATTTTAAGATGAGGAAACAGGCTTAGAGTGGTTAATTAATTTGCCCAAAGACATGCAGCTAGCAAGAGGCAGCATATTGCAATTTGCCTGCAGGATGGTAGCAATTGTCATCCCTTTTCTTCTCAATCATTCTCACCAGAAATGTATTAGTTTTTGCAGCCTTTTCAAGGAACCAACTTTAGGTTTCGTTGATTGTCTCTGTTTCTTAGTTCATTACATGTGTATTTTTATTTCTAGTCCTGCTTGCTTAGGATTTATTTTGCTGTTCCTTTTGTAATTTCTTGAGATAGATCTTAGTGCATTTGTTTTTAATCATTCCTCCTTTCTCCAGTTCAGGCTGGTCTTGAACTCCTGGGCTCAGGCAAGCATTTCAGGCTAGAAATTTCCCTCTGAGTACTGCTTTGGTTGCATCCCTGCACATACAAGTTTTGATTGTAGGAGTTTATTATTCCATTGAAAATATTTTCCGATTTTCCTGGTGATGTCCAGGTGGGATTGTGCTCAATCTGACAGACTGCACAGCTCTCTCTCTCTCTCTCTTTTTTTTTTTTTTTTTTTTTTTTTTTAAGACAGGGTCTCAGCTCTGTCACTCAGGCTGGAGTGCAGTGTTGCGATCATGGCTCACTGCAGCCTTGACCTCCAGGGCTCAAGGGATCCTCTCACCTCAGCCTCCCGAGTAGCTGGGACTACAGGAGTGAGCCACCACATGCAGCTAATTTAAAAAAAAAATTGTAGAGATAAAGTCTCACTATGTTGCCCAGGCTGGTCTTGAACTCGTAGGTTCAAGCAATCCTCATTCCTCAGCCTCCCAAAGTGCTGGGATTATAGGTGTGAGCCACTGTGCCTGGCTCTTTTTATGATACTCTTTTCTGACATTGAGCAAATCATTTTCATGTCTGTCCCTCCCCCAGGATCAGTTTGAGACCAGCCTGGCCGACATGGTGAAACACTGTCTCTACTAAAAATACAGAGACTGGCTGGGTGTGGTGGTACATGTCTGTAATCCCAGCTACTTGGGAGGCTGAGGCAGGAGAATTGCTTAAACCCGGGAGGCGGAGGTTGCAGTGAGCTGAGATAGTTCCACTGCACTCCAGCCTAGCAGCCTGGACGACAGAGGAAGACTCTGTCTCAAAACAAACAAACAAACAAACAAAAAAAAACCCAAAAAAAATCCCACAAAAAACAAAACTATGAACTAGGTGGTCTAGAAACAATTATTTCTCACAGGTCGTTTTAAGCCACTGAGTTTGTGGTAATTTGTCACAGCAGCCCTAAAAAATAAATATACACAGTTTTAATTGAAGTTGGGCTAAGAAGCTGGACGCTAGTCCCAGCTACTCAGGAAGTGGAGGTGAGGGGATCGCTTCAGCCCAAGGAGTTCGAGGCTAGCCTGAGCAACATAGCAAGGCCTCATCTCTAAAAAATAAAAATTAAAAATTGGGTTAAGAATTTAGCAGCTAGTCCTTAATAGGATGAGCCATGAGGACCGGCAGCTACATATCAGTGGTTTGAAGCAAATGGTTGCCAAGTCGCTCCTCTCCCTCCCAGGTCATCACCGTGACATCCTTTTGTCCAGTGTCCTTCCCTCCAGGGTAGCTCAGGTTAGGGGAAACAGCCAACACATCCATGCAAGGAAATAAATGGCCACTCAAACGCAGACTCTTTTAAAAGTGGGAGAGTGGCTGGGTGTAATGGTTCATACCTGTGATCCCAACACTTTGAGAGGCCGAGGTGGGAGGACTGCTTGAGCCCAGGAGTTGGAGACCAGTCTGAGCAACATTAGGAAGACCCTGTCTCTACAAAAATTACAAAAATGAGCCAGGTATGGTGGCGCGTACCCAGCTACTTGGGAGGCTAAGGCGGGAGGATGGCTTGAGCCCTGGAATTCGAGACTGCAGCGAACTATGATGGCACCACTGCACTCCAGCCTGGGCCACAGAGCAAGACTCTGTCTCTAAAACAAAACAAAATAAATAGAAGGAGGAGAGGCGTGAGCATTGAGAGCATGGCCAAAGAGCGGCAGCACTGGCTACCCAGCACTTACTAGCCACATCTGGGCCTAAGGATTTTATGTCCCTCAGGACTCACGGGGCTGATGTGCCATCTGACCCCTCTGAGACCTGTGGGACTGGGCTCCGAGCCTCTGGGACACTGGAGGGGTGGAGGCAGGTGTCTGGGCAACATCCAATAAGAAGCCTGTGACAGAGTCAACAGTGGCAAGAGCCCTTTGGGCCAGCCCGGCTCATCCCCTCCTGGCTGCCTGCCCCTCCATGGCAAGGTCATTTTCCTTGATTCCGATCACAGCAGACCTCTGTTGCTCTGTGGCTGATTCATTCAGAGAAGCAGGGTTCTGGCTGGGTATGGTGGCTTATGCCTGTAATCCCAGCATTTTGGGAGGCCAAGGTGGGCAGATCACTTGAGGTCAGGAGCTCGAGACCAGCCTGGCCAAAATGGCAAATCCCTGTCTCTACTAAAAATAAAAAAATTAGCTGGGCATGATGGCACGTCCCTGGAGGCTGCAGTGAGCTGAGATTGCGCCACCGCACTCCAGCCTGGGTGACGGAGTGAGACTCTGTTTCAAAAAAAAAAAAAGGCCAGGTGCGGTGGCTCACGCCTGTAATCCCAGCACTTTGGGAGGCCGAGGCGGGCGGATCATGACGTCAGGAGATCGAGACCATCCTGCCCAACATGGTGAAACCCTGTCTCTACTAAAAATACAAAAACAAAATCAGCCAGGCGTGATGGCAGGCGCCTGTAGTCCCAGCTACTGGGGAGGCTGAGGCAGGAGAATGGCGTGAACCCAGGAGGTGGAGCTTACAGTGAGCCAAGATCGCACCACTGCACTACAGCCTGGGTGACAGAGCGAGACTCCATCTAAAAAAAAAAAAAAAAAAAAAAAAAAAAAGCAAAAAAGCAGGGCAGCAGGGTTCCTAGCCCCGGCTCCACTGCCTTTTCTGGCTTGGGGAGACAAAGCTTGGTAACATCAGGACTGCAAACATCCTGCCATTAGATCTTGGACCAGCACCGGCCTGGTAGTTTGCTGTTTCATCAGGGGGCTTGCAGTTCATAAGCAATCCCTTCTTTTCTTTTCTCCCAAAGCTGGGAAATCAAAACAAAACTTCCTTCCCTTCCGATATTCCTCTTTACTAAAAATTTGCGTAGCCAACTCTCCTGGGAGTGGGGGGACCAACTTGGCTCAGGTTGGCTGGGATGGTCCTGTTTTTAGCATTGAAAACCACAAAAGCAATGAAAGTCTCACGTTGTGGGAGGCCCTGAGTCCTGGGCAAACTGGGACTGTTGGTCCAAACCGTCCCTTCCAGAAGAGGCCCACATGGCAGGCCCTTTGAGGCCTGGGGCAGGCGGGACAGAGGCAGCACCCGCCTGGCATGGGGCTGAGGCCTCCTTGCAGCTGCCTCCCGGCCCCTTGTTCTCCTTCATGGCTCCATGCACAGCTGAGGGGAGACATGAGGTCTCTCGGTCTCCATGGGTTTGGGGCAGGCCCAGAATGGCCCTGAATCCAGTAACACCAACTGTCCCTGGAAGTGTCACCACCCTGGTCTGGGAGGAGCTCCATGAACATCTCAACCATCCACTTCTTGTGCAGATGGGGAAACTGAGTCAGAAAGGGAGGAGACTGCCTTAAGAAAGATTCTTGCAACTTGACTTTGATCCTGTAGAGTGTTTGTGGGTTTAGAAGAGCACAGGTCTGAAGATGGAAGACTTGGGTTTCAGACCCGTCTCTGCCCTGTGCACCAGCATGCCCAGAGCAGCACTAACCCAAAGCCAATCTGACAAATGAACAAGTCATTCTATTTACTGGTTTCTTTGATCTATTTATAAAAATGAATATTTATAGCAAATCCTGTAGGATGCGGTAGATTTGGAAGATTTCTGTGATGTTTTGTTTGACTAATGCTTATTTTCCCTTTTGTATCAGTATTTTAACAAATGCTTTGGATTTCCTCCACGCAGAGGAGAATCAGTATGCAGCTGTTAATTTTGGCTGCTGACTCCAGGACAAGAGACAGAGAGAGAGCGTGAAAGCGAGACAGAGCGTGAGAGTGAGAGAGAGAGAGAGAGGCAGGAGAGGCTGAGCGTGGGAGGGAGACAGACGGCATCGATTCATTAATATATTCAAAACTATATTCAAAAACTATTCATTTAAAAATTCTGGAATATATTGACTACATACTTTAAAAGACTTTTTTATAATGGGAAACTTTGAACATAGGCAAAAATAGAATAATAGAAAAGCCCAGCGTGCGACATCAGTGTCAACAGAGGTCCATATGTGGCCAGTCTTGTCTCAGCCTTTTCCCCACCCATTCACTCCTCTCCCAAATCCGGATGGTTTTAAGGTGATTTTAGCCATCGAATTCCATATGACTCTGTTCTCAAGTGTACTGGATACATTCTTGAAAATACTCTTGAACATATTCTTGAGGATGAGAAATTCTTACAAATGTATATTTTTTGTGCCCCTGTGTCTCCCCTTCCTTGCCTTTCAAACTCCTCTCTCTGTCCCTTTGTCTCCTTTCCCCCACCCTTCACCTCCCCTCTCTGTTCTCCCCAGTCTCCCCTAAACTCCAAATCTCTACTCTGACCCTCAGTCTCATCTTCTGGGTGACCGAAGATGGGGCAGTGCAGCCCCTGCTGAGCTGACCCTCCTTTCTGTCCTTCCTCGTGCCGAGGTTCTCTCTCCTTGACTGTTTCTCCTAGCTGAAGCAGTAGGCTGCTGGACAGAGGCAGGTCCAGCATACTTTGAATGTTGTTATGAAGTCCAGTGGAGAAGAGCTAGCCTAAATTCGGCAGAAATCTTCAATATCTTTAAAAAAGAAATCCCTCCATTATGGATCACTGTAAACTTGTATCAGTTGTTATAATCAATGAACACATTGACTGAATTGGCCTTTTGATATATTGACTTAGAGCTGTGTGATTTTGGATGAGCCATTTTACCTTTTAGAGCCCCAGTTTCCATCTCTGTGAAGTGGGGAAGTGTGGACCATAGCAGTGGTTTTCTTTTTTCTGAGGCAATTCTCCTGCCTCAGCATCCCGAGTAGCTGGGATTACAGGCGCGCACCGCCATGCCCAGCTAATTTTTTTTTTTTTTGTATTTTTAGTAGAGACGGAGTTTCACCGTGTTGGCCAGGATGGTCTCGATTTCCTGACCTCGTGATCCACCCACCTCGGCCTCCCAAAGTGCTGGGATTACAGGCGTGAGCCACCGTGCCCGGCCAGCAGTGGTTTTCAAACTGGTTTCGGAAGCAGATTCATTCTTTTCCTAGCCAAAGCCTGGTGAACCGTAGTGTGTACAACAGTTAAAAGCAGAGACCTGCAGGTCCACAGGAGCAGACGCTGAGACCAGCCTGCCTGGGGTCAATGCCCTCTAACCCCTCTGTGCCTCTGCTGTTCATCTGCTGAATGGGTCTCATAGTTGAGCAGTGGTCGAGAGATTTCCTGGCATCAAATACATGGAAGGGACTTAGCGTAGGTCCTGCTTAGCACATAGTAAGTGCTCAGCGAACTTACTTACCACTTATTACTTACCACCCCTGCCTGAAGCAGGGTGGGGCCAAGGGATTGGCTGGACCTCAGCCACTACCCCTCCCCTCACATGGAGCCAGGCCCCACCTCCACAGATTGGGGGCTTGGGGACACGTCTTCTGTGCTCCATGCTCTCAGGTCCCAGTGAGGCTGAGCGCTGAACCATCCAAGTTGGCAGGGCCAGGACAAGGACCCAGGAGCTCTGGTGCCCAGGAGTCCCCCGAAGGGGGGCTCAGAGGAGGTGCGTGCGGGGCTGGTGCCGGTGCCCCCGAGGCCCACGTGCAGCCCCGCTCTGTGGGGCCTTTGCCCAGCCTCCTGGTCCTTGCCAGCGCTGCATGGCGTTTCCTGCCGGAGTGCTGGTCACTGAGGGCTCTCAGACAAGGAATGACCCAGGGGCTGGGCCCAGCCTCTCCCTTGTTCCCTGATGCTGCTGGGGCCGCTCCTCTCTACCCAGCAGAAGGGTCCCGCAGGAAGATCAGCTCTGAGGTTAATTGTCCTTCTGGATAGCTGCAGCCCAGTTGTCATGGAAACCGGTCACGCAGGGCTCGGTAGCAGGACCCTCCTTCCTACCTCTGCCACGGTGCCGCAGGCTCAGAGGGGGCGTGGGAGCTGCATCAGGTGATGGTAAGATACTACAGCCATTCTCCAACTGCAGGCACCTGGAAGGAGAAGGTGGCCCGGGGCCAACTGTGCAGTGAGAGAGGCTTTTTCTGCGTCTCCCCGCAGCTGTCTTGTTTTCAGCAGTGGCCCTGGGGGAGATGTGGACGCTCTGAGGCCTGGGGCTGGCTCTGTGTGTCCAGGTCTGTGTGGGGGTCACTGAGAGAAGGGAAAGGCAGGGGATCTGGCCCCATGTGGATCTTGGTGGCCCTGGCACTTTTTTACTCTGAGCCCAGCCTTCCTTGTGTGTAAAACAGGGATTGTGGTGCCTACCTCTTGGGCTTGCCCTGCAGATGGGCCGGGCTGAGCCACACCACAGCGGCTGGGCAGGTTCAGGCCCCTTCTCACCTCTGCTGTCCTCCAGCACCATGATTCGGTTGGGAACAGAGGAAGGCGAGGAGAGCCATCCGCTTCCTGCTTCTGCAGCATTCGGCCATTTGCCCAATGCTCCCTGATGCCACGGTTCTCAAAGTGTGGTCCCTGTCCCTGGCCTGGGAGCATCAGCTTCCTGTGGGGACTCTAGAAATGCAAGTTCTCCGGCCCCACACTAGACTGACTGAATCAGAAACTCGGGGCGGTGGGGTCTAGCGATCTGTGCGTTAACACATACTCTAGGGGGTTCCGATGCCCCTCGAGTTTGAGACCCTCTGGTCTAATGATTTATGGGTGAGACACTCTGCGCCTGCTTCCCTGAGGACCCCGAGCTGCAGCCCCAGGGCTTCCCCCTCCCACTTTGGGTGAGTATGAGCAGGGCCCAGGTGGCTGGGGTGCAGTGGGCAGCCCGGTGGTCCTGCCTGGGGTCTGGTGCTCCCTCGGTGTCTGTCAGCTCGGGCTGCTCTAGCAGAAGGCCACAGAATGGGGGCTCACACCGCAGGAATATATAGTCTCATGGTTCTGGTGTCTGGAAGTCTAAAATGAAGGCGTTGGTAGACTCAGTTTCTAGTGGGGCCTCTCTTCCTGGCCAGCAGGTGGCCGCCTTCTTGCTGTGTCCTCACATGGACTTTCTCTGTCCATGCATCCCTGGAGTCTCGCCCTCATCTGGTGGTCCTTTGTAAGGACACCAGTCCTACTGGATTAGGGTCCCACCCTTAGGACCTCATTTCACATGAATCACCTCCTTAAAGACCTCATCTCCAAATACGTCCTGTTGAGGAGTTGGGCTTCAGCATATGGATTTGGGGGGACACTCAGTTTCCTTGGGCCTCTCAGCTCCTGAGGGGGTCATCATGAGCCACCTTCCTGCTTGAGGGGGATAAAGGGCAGCTGGGACCCAGGGCCTGGGGCCTTGGGCCGAGGCATGGGGGGCATTTGTGGGCCGGTGTTTGAAATGCTCCACCAGCACTGCAAACACACCAGACCCCTGAAGAGAGGGTCAGGCGCTCAGCTAGGAAGAGGGCGCTGCGGAGAGAGTGGTGTGTGTCTTCCTGTGTCCTCCTAGGAGCTTCTGTCTGAGAAGTCAGAAGTCATGAGTTCCCAGTCCTGGCCGCATTTGGAGGCTGGATCATTGGAGGGAGGCGCCGGCGCCCCATGTAGCTGATGTTGGTGGAGCATTGGCTGAGGGCCCAGAGAGCCATGCTGCTGCCTCCCACACATCAATCACTCAGGCCACACAGTCACTGGTGAAAGAGGGCACACAGGTAATCCTCCAGTTCTTGAATGGGGAATGGAGGCACAGGAGGGCTAAGCGAGGGCCCATGGCCTCAAGATTCAAACACAGGCACTGTCTGGCCCCAGAACACACGCCCTTCCCACCTGGCCGAGGAGGTGCTCACAAGGGGCACTCCAGGTGGATGCAGAGTGGGCCAGCCCCCTCCCTTCCTGCGGGCAGTGGCCCCTGCTCTTCAGGGGAGTCAGATGCATTGATTCTGGAGGCTGAAGCCAGGTGGAAGTGATCTAGAGGGGAGATGAATGTGAGGCGCTGCCCCGGAGGAGACAGGAATGGCTCATCAGCCACGAGCCAGTGCCATTTAGAAACTGGCAGCCAAAGTGACGAGGCCACACAGGGCAGGAGGAGCAAGAGCACACGCTTGGAGGTGATGGTATTCCAGCAGTGGCATCAGCTCAGCCTGGGCCAGGCCAATGAGCCCACCAGCAGCCTGCCCCTTGCTGGGGTGGAAGCCTGAAAGCAGACCACAGTGGCTGCTTTCTTTGGTCTGGGGGAGCTCAGGCCAGGGGCTGGTTAGAGTCCCCAGCACAGCCCCATCCTCCATCCCACAGTGGGCAGCAGTGTGAAACTGGGCAGGGGACTTCAACTCTCCTAGTCTAGTTTTTTCATTCATGTCAAGGGAACACCACTACTGACCTCACAGGGTGAGGGTTAAGTCAGATGATGTGCTTAAAAGTCTTACATGAGGCATGGTGACACTAGATGGGCCAGGGCTTCCTGAAGGCAGGGTCAACTCTGATTCATCTTGACATCTCCAGTTCCTGGCCCAGAGCCTGGCACATAGTGGGCACTTGAGAAGTGTCTGTTCCCTTCCCTCGAGAGGGTCTTCAAGTGGTGAATGGAGATGATGGTGATAGTGATAATGGTGGTGATGGTGGTAGTGATGGTGATGATGGTGGTGATGGTACTGATGATGGTGGAGATGATGGTGATGATGGTGGTGATGGTGGTGATGGTGGTATTGGTGGTGATGGTGGTGGTGATGGTTATGATGGTGGTGGTGATGGTACTGATGATGGTGGAGATGATAGTGATGGTGATGATGATGGTGATGGTGGTGATGGTGGTATTGGTGGTGATGGTGGTGGTGATGGTTATGATGGTGGTGGTGGTGGTACTGATGATGGTGGAGATGATAGTGATGGTGATGATGGTGGTGATGGTGGTGGTGGTGGTGATGGTGGTGGTGGTGGTGGAGGTGATGGTGGGGTTGGTGGTGATGAGTGTGATGATGTGATGGTGGTGGTGATGATGGTGGTGAGGATGGTGTTGGTGGTGATGAGTGTGATGATGTGGTGATGGTGATGGTGGTGGTGATGGTGGTGATGGGGGGGTTGGTGGTGATGAGTGTGATGATGATGATGTGATGATGGTGGTGATGGTGATGGTGGTGGCGATGGTGGGGTTGGTGGTGATAAGTGTGATAATAATGACGGTGGTAATGATGGTGTTGATGGTGGTGGTGAGGATGGTGGTGGTGATGATGGTGATGATCATGGTGATGGTGGTGATGTTGGCGATGATGGTGGTAATGATGGTGGCAATGGTGGTGGTGATGGTGGGGTTGGTGGTGATGAGTGTGATGATAATGGTGGTGATGATGGTGATGGCAGAGATGGTTACAATGCTGAGAGTGATGATCTTGGCGGTGATGGTGGTGATGTTGGCGATGATGGTGGTAATGATGGTGGCAATGGTGGTGGTGATGGTGGGGTTGGTGGTGATGAGTGTGATGATAATGGTGGTGATGATGGTGATGGCAGAGATGGTTACAATGCTGAGAGTGATGATGGTGATGGTGACGATGGTGATATAAGTCCCCATGCGCACTTCCTCTTCTCTAGCTCTGTCTCTCACCTGCTCTTGCCTGAGCTCCACTGTGGCCACCCACCTGTGACCTGTGGATGGAAAGTAATTCTAATTATGACATTTTCCTACAAAGAACAAACCACTGGGCTTCTCTGGAGCACAAAGGCATGGCGAGATGAGCAGTTTGCCCCACAGGACGCTGGCATTGCCCTCTGAACTTTTTCCCAGATGTGCTGAGGACAAGGAAGTCAGGAGTGTGGCTTGTTTTCCATCTGCTCAACACTGCTCGTGCCTGGAGCCCCCCAGCTGTGCCTATCAGCCCCTAGGGGTTGGCTGTCAGGGGAGCAGAGAGACTCTTGGGGCAGCGTGGCCTTGGTCACAGCAGAATGCTGGGTTCTGACATTTATGAGCCATGTGACCTTGGCATGCTCCTTGACCTCTCTAAACCTTGCATGACACTTAGGAAGGTTAATAAGATCACGTCTGTGAGAGGTCTTAGTGCCACAGTAGATCAGTGTCAGTGAGGGTAGGGACTTAGCTCTGTGGCTTGGGAGGCGCAGGTGGCAGTGAGTAGCCAGTGGGTGAGACCCAGAGAGGCTGTGCCTGTGAGCGGCTGGGCAGAGTGGGAATGGGTGCTGTCAGCTGGGTGCACAGGCAGAGGAGGTACCGCTGCCCACAAAGGGAAGTCTCTGAGTTGGAGCGGAGCAGGGGCGGGAGAGAAGGCAATTGGGGCCTTCCTGGGTTTGGGAGGCTCAGCACCAGGAGCAGCCCACAGCCAGGGCTCAGGACCCAGGGGCTCACCCAGCCCTCCTGACCAGGCTAACCTGCGGGGTCTGGAGGGAACACGGGCAGCCACGGCCATGCGCACTGGGAATAAGTGAGAGGCTCCCGCTATCTCAGACCTGGCGTGGGAGCTGTGGGCCTTTCCAGGGCCCGGCTGCTGCGGAGGTAGGAGTTTGGTGTTGGCAGCAGGAGCAGCAAGGACACACTTTAGGACCTACAGCGTGGAGGCAGGAGGACAGGGAAATGGCCTCGAATGAGTCCGTGACCCCTTGAGGAATCTGCACACGACTCCTGGCTGTCTTGTCACTTGATGTAAGGCCTCAAGCGGCATCTCCTGAGGATTTCATGGAGGCCAGAGGGGACTCACCCAGAGGTGGAGGGATGCAAGCTCAGAGGCCAGGGTGGGCGGGGGCTGGAGCTGCTCTGTGACAGCCCAGAGCTCCCGGAGCCGCAGCCACCGTCCCAAGAGAGCTCAAAAGAGGAGGGGGTGGGAAGGGGGAGGTAAAAGCTGTTCAGCCAAGGCTTTCTCAGCCTGGGGACTGACCTGGGTTTGTCCTATTCTGTGAACCAACCCAAACATGTAAATGTCCTGGCACTGAGCAAAGCCTTCCCCAGGGGCGTTTTCCCTGAAGGACTTCTCAGAGCCTTTAATGGGCCAGGGAATCTTGTCACGCTCAGGTGATGGTAGAGGAGGAAAGGACTTCTCCAACCGTGGTGACTCTAGAACCTCTCCCTACAGCAGCTCGGGGAGCTCCAGCTCTGGAGAACACACTTTGGGAAGCCTTCCCACGCAGGACAGAGGTCTCTCTGCCGGGCTGCGAGCCCTGCCCACTTGTGACCAGGGTTTTCAATCCCCTGGTGTGAGAGCAGTCTCAGGTAGCCCAAGCCTAAGTGGAAAAGGGGCCGGGAGAGGCGGCTGGGCACCCCCTCGCTGGGGCTGGTCTCCTGGGTCCCTGTTTCCTGTCTCAGGAACTGGGAGGAACCCACTTCCACCACCCAGCAGGGGAAGACTGAAAGTATTAGGGGGCCTGTCTGGGGTCAGTCCCACTGTGGACTTGGGCACTGCCACTCCACCCCCCCCTGCTGCCACAGGCAGTACCCAAAGGTGGTGCATTCGGACCCTGAACCCCCAGCTTCATGGGTTCTAGGACCCTCCTCTCCATGGCTCAGCTTCCAACTGATGACCCCTCTCCAGAGCCAGCCTCTGTCCTCCAGCAGGAGGTAGCTTTGGCCTCTCTTGGTCTCTGACCCGCATGTCCCTTCTGCGCTGCAGTCTCCTGGGCTCAGGGTCCTCCTTCAGACTCCTCCAGGGAGGCCACACCCTCACACAGACCTGCCCTGGGCTCCCTTCTCTGCTCTGAGCAGCCCCTAGTCTTACAGGAGCTCTGCAGAGGCCCTTCCGCTGCAGAAGAGCTTAGGTGACAAGCCAGAAGCCTCAGGTGGCCTCCTTGTTTTGCCAGCCCTCCCCCGTCGGTTCCTTGCTTTTTCTACCCAGCTTGGATCTCGGGGGGCTGGCCTGGATGGATTTTGTCAATGACTCACTTGCCCTTTAATGATCATTGCATTTGGGAAGCCCTGGCCAGAGATGCAAGTGTAGCAGGAGAGGTTGGAATGTTCCTGTGCCTCCTCCCGGAGCTGCTGCTGTGGGGCAGGGAGACTTCTCCCTTCTGGTGGCCTCCTCTCCTCCAGCCCCTCCTTCTCACGAGGCTCTGTGAGACTGTTTTGGGCCTGGAGGCGGCAACAGCTTTCCACGGGGCTGGGTGCCGGGTGCCTCAGTGTCCCCCACTGTCCCTCCATTCTGCCCACTCCTCTGCAAACAGCCTCTGCATCACGTGTTCTTCAAGATGCCAGCCGAGCGCGCCTGCAGGAGCCTGTCCTGCTCAGGGGCGGAGGGCTCTGCTCGTGTGGGCACAGCTCTGAGGCGGTCCTTGTAGCAAACATCGCTGACTGCCTACCACACGCCCGGGGACCTCCTGGGCACCTGTCAGTCATGAACGTAACAGGTTCAGGTTACCCAAGTCCCATGCCCTAACTGGGCAGTTGCACCATGGGCAGCAACAGACCCTGGGCTTCAGGATGTCCCAGCAGAGCCGCAGCAGCCACAGAGCAACCCCTCTTCACCCTGGGGATGGGGCTGGGCCTCTGAGAGCAAGCATGAGATTGCAGAGCCAAAACCCAAGCTGTCAAAACGACCAGCAAGAAAGACAGTTTGGATTAATTGGCACAGGGAGGTCCCTAGACATTTAGATTATGGCTGCTCCTGGGCTGGAGCGTGGAACCCAGAGACATTTCACAAATTAACATAAATCCTGTGAACCCTCTGTCCATTTCAACGCTTAATGCCAAACATAAACAAATGAAAGTCATTTCAGAAGCTGGAGGAGTTTGAATAATTCAGTCCCATCATCATTTACTCCAAAACGCCTCATTTCATCTTATGAGTCATCGTTGAAAGGAAAAGAAGATTTTACTTGGTATTAGAACCGGGAGAGCTGGAAAAGCTTCGAAGAGGAAGGAGGCTGCCAGCTTCCTGGGTGCACAAGGCCGTGGCCAGCTTCCGGGCTCAGTCGTGGACAAAGGCCTCCTGGGACAGAGAAGTGGCCTCTAAGCAAAGGCGGTGGTGTGACGCTAGCAGGCCTGTGTCCACCTCCTGGTCAGGCTGCTGACTGGCGGGGCTCTGGGGGTAAGGCCTTGGTCCTGCCGTGCCTCCTCCTGGCTCATCTGTGACACAGAAATGACAGTTCCTACTCCCCAGCTTGTGCGGGCCCAAATGGGATGGGGTGTGTGTGTGAGGACTGGGGCCTAGGCCTGTGCAGGGCAGGTTGTGTTACTAACGTCCCCCCGTGGCTCCTGGGCTAACGGTGCACTTCTCCGTCCTGCTTCACTGCCTTATGGCACGTGTCCATTTCCCCAACCACCGGTGGGCCCCGGGTGGCTTGGCCGGCCTGGTGTCCCGTGCCCAGCATGGGCTCTGGCCCAAGTTAGCACTTGCTGCCTAAGTGCCTCTGCCTTTTACTCACCTCCATCTGGAGCGGGCTCAGTGGGGTTCCTGCTGGGGCTCTACGGGGGCATCCAGACTTTGCCCTCTGACCAGCCCCACTGTCCTGTCCTTCCCTCCCCTGCGTCCTCATCTGTCACTCCTTGGTCACAGCCGCCCCCTGACTTTCCTCCCTGCCTCCTTGGCATGGTGGGAAACATGCGAGTTCCATTTCTGAGGCTGCCTTGTGCCTGATCTTGGGCAAGTTGCTTGCTAGACCTCTCGGCGTCTCCGTTCTCAGCGGTGCGGGTAACCTGGCCCTGTGCTACTGTGTGTGGGTTTACAGCCAAGGCCTGTGAGGCACGTGACCACCAAAACCCTCACGAGGCCATGTGGTCGTGGCTACGGGTTTAATCTAAAATTCATTCTGATCCCTTGGCCTTGGAAAAGGCACTTAGCAGGGTGGTGAGGGCCACAGGTGTGGTCTGAGCTCCTGGGGAGCTACCGAGGGCAACAGGCATGTTCTGGAAGACCCACCGTCTGAGGGGTCATGTGACAGGTGGGCTAGGTGGGCACAGAATGGGAAGAGAGGCAGTGAGGCAGCCTCTCTGCAGAGGAGGGGCTTCACAGAGGAGGCAGCGGCTCAGGTGGTCCCAGGAGGATGGGTGGGGTTCGGAGGCAGAGGGCTGGACTTGGAAGGAAGGAAGAGCGGACACAGGGCCTCTGAGCGGACAGTGCTGGCGGAGCCCTGGGGAGCACCGAGTCCCCGCCGTGATGGGTCCCTGAAGCACCGGAGCCAGCAGCAGGAGCATGCGGGGGAGACCTTGGCCCAGCCCTGCAGTCAGGCAGTAGGTGAGCCCTGAAGGGTGAGGTTGCTTCAGCTGGATGAGAGGGTGTGGGAGAGAGGAGCATCCCAGGCAAAGTGAGCCGCGTTTACCTGGAGACCAAGGGTGGGAAGCGAGGGAGAAGAGGTCGCGGTGAGCCTCGGGTGGACCCATGTGGCAGACCTGTGAGTTGGTCCCCGACAGCCTCCTGCCTTTCTCCCTGACTGCCCAGCAGCAGTGTTCTTGGGCCTCAGGGACGTGTCGTGACTGGCTGAAGGCTGTCACGGTGGTCCTGTGTAGGACTGGTTGCCACAGGTAAGTAGTGACCTGGCCTGGCCGATGCTGTGTTAGGATAAACGTGCTAAGGAGGCTCTGGAAAAGAATTTTCCTGCTTGGACAAGACAGAGACTCACACGAGGAAATTCCTTTTGTTCCTACCCTCACTTCCAGTGTTGAACACAGTCATGCTAGAAATGGTGCCTGGTGCAGCTGCAGCCGTCTTGCTACCAGCAGGGCAAGGCAGAGCCGGCCGCCCAGGGACCTGCCACTGTGGGGTGGCCGAAGCAGCCCTGGCACCACACAGCTGTTATATGCTGTGGTCAGAAGTCCTTATTAGGTGAGCAATTAATCAGATGTGTGGCTTCTCACCCTGTATTTCCTCTGGCAAGACCCTGCGGCACTGCAGACCCCTGTCCTCATATGAGGCCTAAGCAGTGAGGAGCTTCAGACCCGTGTGAAGACAGAAGGCGCGGGGAGCAAAGGTGGCCAGAGAGGGGTGGGGTGGGCCACGAGCCCCCACCAACTGCAGGCCCACGGCTCAGCAGCAATCTGAGGTCTCCCAGGCAGCCTTCTTGCCTTCCTTCCATGGCTCCTTGGAAAGAGCTGGGTTTCATCTCGGGACACAGTGGCATTAGGGATCGGCAGAGACCAGCAGGAGCCCTGGGTCCAGACTGTGGCTGTTTCTGTGGTGACCAGCAGCCGGCACTGCCTGGCAGTGCCTGGGAGTGGACGTTGAGGACACTGTGCCCAGGAGGTCAGTCTGCCCACCCAGGCTGTGTCCTGGTTGCTGGGTGGGGGTGTGAAGAGTCCAGGACCAGCCGTTGTCCCACCCAGCAAAACCCTCTGTGTGTGGATCCCATGGGGGGCCGGGCTCCGGGGATGGACAGCCAGCAGCCCTGGCCTGAGCAGCCATCCGGAGGAGGGAGCAGACAAGAAACAGGCAGTGACCGCACAGGGCGATGGGGCTGGGCAGGGAGGAGGCGGGTTCGCTGTGGCCAGATGCCAAGCCAGAGCCGGGAGGCCAGAGGGAGGGCCGCAGCCGGGACAGGAGTGACTGATGCCAGGGCCTCAGAGTGAAGACAGGGCTGGGGTCCCCTGCCCCCTGATGGGAAGGAGACTGCGTGGCTGGGGTCCCTGGGAGCGCATCCCTTTTGAGACCACACTCCTCAGCAGCACCTCCCTCTCTCAAGCACCAACACTGGCCTTTTGGCTGCCTGAGAAGGGGCTCTGGGGTCCAGGGGAGCCAGCTCAGCTCACCCCAGTGAGCTTCCCACACTCAGACAAGGCCCTACTCCAGGGCAGCTTGGCCCGTGCCTCTGCCCCTACCCCTGCCATGGCGTCTCTCCAGGCCCTAGGTCTGTACTCACATAACCCAGTCCTGCATTGTGCTGACTCAGCCTCTGAGCCTCAACAATCCCTCCTTCGAGTGGGGACAACATCCCTGCCTCCGAGGGCTGGTGTGCGGATCGAGGGAAGTCACAGGTAGTCACAGCTCTGTGAAGGGTAACGCGAGCGCCTAGGCTGGGAGGCTGGGTCTGCAGCTGCCGGCTCCACGGGCTGTCTCCACCTCTCCCTGCCTGGCTCTCCTGGCTCTTCGTTTCGTCATGTTCCTTCTGCCCAACCAGTCCTAGGGGGACAGGGAGACTCCTGGGCACAGGGGCTGCTCAAACTGCCCTGGGACAGATGGCCTCCTGCCCTGCCCCAGGCAGCACTGGGAAGCAGAAGGGCTGGGGGAACTCCAGCAAGGCCTGGGGGGCATTGAGCAAAGCCTGGAGAGAGCACACTTGTGGATGGGTGCACCTGTGGGTGGCCATACCTGCGGGGCGGGCACACCTGCAGGCTAGGAGTAGGGGGGCTGGGCGGTGGGCCCAGGGGAGGGTGTTACTGAGTTACGTGGCCCCCAGTGCTCCTGGTCCTTTCAACCTTTAAGTTGAAGATAAAGTCACTTTTGCAATACTAAAGACCAACAGATTCTAATATTCACTCCCATGCAGGAACTAAGTGCCTGTTACCTGCTGTCCTGCTTGTCCCATCTTAGGGTTTCCCAGGGCCCAGCAGAGCCTTTGCCATACCTTCTCTAAGGCCCAGGCTCTGGGAGGAAGGTCACTCAGACTTTCAGCACTGCTGCTGGTGGATGGGGCCCCTCTCAGAGGCCCTGGATCCTGCTGGGCCTGTCTGCCTGTCTGACCATGGAAACCTCCAATGGGGCAGGGTCCAGGTTTCCCTCCCTACAAGCACGCTCCTAAGCACGTCCGCTCTGTCGTTGTAGGTGTAGAACTCAACAATCACACCCTGCAAAGGCGGAGGAAACCCTCTTCCCTCCCCAGGCCCATTCTGTGTCTCAGGCCCTGCCTCTCCCCTGTATGTACCGCATACATCCCTTTCGGGGCTATGCACAGGCTTCAGGGGAGCCCCACCCATGGGGTGCATCTTCAGCAGGACAATCATCAGAGAATGTTGTGGTCCAGGATAGGGCAGTCCTCCACTTCTGGTCCTCCAGAAGTGGACTAACTAACATCTCCTCCAAAGTCATTCTTCTTCCATGTTTACGGTGACCTCTGTGTTCTAATCCTGGGAGAAGCCCTAAGCTGAGCTCACGGGAGCTGGGAGACCCTGCTGCCAAGCTGAGTCTCACCATCTTTGGCCCATTTTTTTTTTTTTTTTAGACAGGGTCTCGTGCTGTTGCCCAGCCTGGAGTGCAGTGGTGCGCTCTTGGCTCACTGCAGCCTCACCTTCTCTGGCTCAAGCAATCCTCCAGCTTCAGCTTTCCAAGTAGCTGAGGATACAGACGTGCATCACTATGCCTGGCTAATTTTTTGTATTTTTTTTTGTAGAGATGGGGTTTTGCATGTTGGCCAGGCTGGTCTTGAACTCCTGAGTGTAAGAGTTGAAGAAAGAAGAAAGAAACACGAAAAGTGGCTCAACAGTCCAAGACAGGTTTATTTTGGAGAATAAACCTGAGAGGGGCTTCTGGCCGATTGCTGTCAGGAGCACTCTCTCTTACAGACTAAGGGTATTTAAGGGTTTAGGGAGGGAGAGCTTATCGCAGGTTGGGAATGTTTCTGGTCAGAGGAGTGTTTGATTTCGGGGTAGGAATGTTTCTGGTTGGAGGGCGCTTTATCTCAGGGTTGGAATGTTTCTGATTGGAGGTGTCATTTGTGGTTTATGGTCATGCTGACAGCCATTAGGCTGATTTTTTGGGGGCTGGATTTAGGCGGTTTTTAATCAAGGGGAACTTAAAATGCTGCTGTTTGTCCAAAATGTTGATGCTCCTGCTTTGTCAATCCAGACCCTATAGTTATAAAAGGATGAGGGGCGACGTGCTCTTTCTGGCTACTTCCTGCTGAGAGAGGGTTGTCGTTATGGGACACTGAACATGGTGCTGGAGTGGAAGAGGTCGATTTGTTCTGGGTAGCACACTCTGCCTCAGAGGCCCAGAGGCAGCGCCCACTGAAACATCTAATTTTCAGCTCACAGGGCTTCAAGAAAGCACAGCTTAGGTTTTAGTGATCTCCAGCTAGAAAAAAAAAAGGGGGGGGGGAAGGAAAAGAAAAAGGAAAAATTGAAAACATTATTTTGGAGACTTGTAGCCAGAAAAATTAGAATTTAATCCAAACTGTAGAAAACAATAAAAATTGAAAAACCTCAGACAAGACTAGAATTTAACAACAGGTGTGCTACAGTTTTTGAAACACAATTCTCTCTCTCCAGTTTTCCATTTATATTAAAAGACAAATCATGGGGCCAGGTGTGGTGGCTCACACCTGTAATCCCAGCACTTTGGGAGGCCGAGGTGGGCGGATCACAAGGTCAGGAGATCAAGACCATCCTGGCTAACACAGTGAAACCCCGTCTCTACTAAAAATACAAAAATTAGCTGGGTGTGGTGGCGGGCGCCTGAAGTCCCAGCTACTCGGGAGGCTGAGGCGGGAGAATGGCGTGAACCCAGAAGGTGGAGCTTGCAGTGAACTGAGATCGTGCCACTGCACTCCAGTCTGGGTGACAGAGTGAGACTCAGTCTCAAAAAAAAAAAAAAAAAAAAAAAAAAAAAACAAATCATGGTATGACTAGTTTGCTTTGCCAGATTTTTTTTTAGGTAAAGTTTCACTCTTGTTGCCCAGGCTGGAGTGCAATGGTGCAATCTCAGCTCACTGCAACCTCCACCTCCTGAGTTCAAGCGATTCTCCAGCCTTACTTCCTGAGTAGCTGGGATTACAGGCATGTGCCACCATGCCCAGCTAATTTTTGTATTTTTAGTGGAGATGGGGTCTCACCATGTTGGCCAGGCTGATCTCCAACTCCTGACCTCAGGTGATCCACCCATGTCAGCCTCCCAAAGTGCTGGGATTACAGAAGTGAACCACCGCACCCAGCTGTGGCCAGATTATTTGTATAAGGTGCAGCAAGAATAATTATTTTTACATAGGCCTTTTAAGTTGGCTTCAAAAAAACTCTGTTTCATGGAAGGAATTTGAGATAAGACCTTTTTAAAGCCAATCCCAGCCATGGAAGTGCACCATCAAATACCTGTGAGTTGGGTGAATTCTTCCACTCTTGAGGCTCCAAGATAACCTGGGGTTCCTGGCCTGTGAGAAAGTGACATTCCTTTACTTACCTCAGGTCAGAAACCTGCACAGGGACTGCGCGCACAAAATATGAGGCCCACAGGGACCGCGCGCGCAAAATATGAGGCCCACAGGGACCGCGCGCGCAAAATATGAGGCCCACAGGCACCGCGCACACAAAATATGAGGCCCACAGGGACTGCGCGCACAAATTATGAGTCCCACAGGGACCGCGCGCGCAAAATATGAGGCCCACAGGGACCGCGCGCGCAAAATATGAGGCCCACAGGGACCGCGCGCGCAAAATATGAGGCCCACAGGCACCGCGCACACAAAATATGAGGCCCACAGGGACTGCGCGCACAAATTATGAGTCCCACGGGGACCGCGCACACAAAATATGAGGCCCGCCATCTAAGGGCTCTACTGGCTTCACAAGTCAAGTTTGATTCCTTAAAGGAGAGCACACCATTCCAGTCAAAGCCTTGCTAAAACAACCAGTTCTTCCAATTGTGTCCTGCCATAAAAGAAAACAGACTTTTGGTCGGGTGCCATGGCTCACACCTGTAATCCCAGCACTTTGGGAGCCCGAGGCGGGCAGATCACCTGATGTCAGGAGTTCAAGACCAGCCTAGCCAATGTGGCGAAACCCTGTCTGTACTAAAAAACACAAAAGTTAGCTGGGCATGGTGGTGCATGCCTGTAATCCCAGCTACTCGGGAGGCTGAGGCAGGGAGAATTGCTTGAACCTGGGAGGTGGAGGTTGCAGTGAGCCGAGATTGCACCACTGCTCTCCAGCCTGGGGAACAGAGCAAGATTCCATCTCAAAAAAAAAAAAAAGAAAGAAAGAAAGAAAGAAAACAGACTTGTATTGCACCTTTGCAAATAACCATACTGCCATAATTTAAGGATACTCACAGGTAGTTTCCAGACTCGGGAGAAAACCAGGCAGAGAGAAATAAGCATGCCTCAAATTTTGTTCATGGGAGCACACCAAACTGTCAAAAGCTGTTGATAGCTCAAAAGAAAAGCCTCTTTGACTCTGAAAAGCAAACAAAGGACCAACAATATTCCGAGCAAAACATCAAAAAGATCACTCCAGTCTGTTAGTTCAGTTCACGCAGTCAGTTCCTGTCCTGCCTGATATCAATGAACATTCCAGCTCTTCAAGAGTCCTGAACGTCCTTCCTCTATTCTGATGTCACAATCTGCAAAGTTATCAGAAACCTGCATTCAAGAGCACCTGTCAGAACTTTATAGCTGATCATAAAACCACCTTCTAAAGAGGACCAAAACAAGACAACAATTGTTCATGGATGACAAAAAGTTTTAGGGTGGCCGCAGTTAAAGACACAATTGATGAGGAAATCTGTTACCTACGTGGCACACAACAATTTTAACATAACAATTATAATTATTACTGATAATGTACACTAAAACATATCAGGATTGTAGGAGTCTCCCACAACCTTGGAACACATACCAAAAACATATCTACACAAATATAGCCCAAAGAAAGCCAAGCACCATTTCGTATTTGACAATATTTTCTGTATAATTTTTATACCAAATAAGCCAAATTTCACCTTTACATTAGTGTACTATGAATGTTAAACCGAATTAATAAATCCTTATAGACATATTTACTCAATTTTAATATTTGACCACAAGGTAAGATTTTTATAGACTTTTTATAGCCCTTTACAATTTTTGTTAAAGAGCAGGTTAGTGCTCTAAGAGAAACCCACTGTGCTTTTATTTTAATAAAATTTAATTTACAGAAAAACTGGAGGATACCCCTTTTAGCCAATATGTTTACACACAGAACTGCCTCTAAAATCAGCCTTTCACAACTAGCCCAAACCTTCATTTTTATTTTATCCAACTGAAAAAAAAATCCTTTAACCTTTCAAACTTGGCAAAAATCCACATTCTCATGCCTCCCTGCAATCTTTCTACCAAAACTATATTTTACTTTTCCTACATACCTTGCATGTAAGGACAGTGGCTTGGAATGTTGGAACCTTTCCTTGGAATGTTCTGGGTTTCAGCACCAAATGTAAGACTTGAAGAAGGAAGAAAGAAACATGAAAAGCGGCTCAACAGTCAAAGACAGATTTATTTTGGAGAATAAACCTGAGAGGAGCTTCTGGCCGATTTCTCTCAGGGGCACTCTCTCTTATAGACTAAGGGTATTTACGGGTTTAGGGAGGGAGAGCTTATCACAGGTTCAGAATGTTTCTGGTTGGAGGAGAGTTTTATTTTGGGGTGAGAAGGTTTCTGGTCGGCAGGGAAGTTATCTCAGGTTGGCATGTTTCTGGTTGGAGACAGGTTTATCTCAGGGTTGGAATGTGTCTGGTTGGAGGTGTCATTTGTAGTTTATGATCATGCTGACATTAGCCATTAGGCTGCTGTTTTTGGGGTGGATTTAGGTGGTTTTTAATCAAGAGGAACTTAAAATGGCAGTGTTTGTCCAAGATGGTGATGCTCCTGCTCTGTGACTGAGCTCAAGCGATTTGCCTGCCTCGGCCTCCCAAAGTGCTGGGATTACAGGCGAGAGGCACTGTTCCCAGCCGTTGGCCCGTTTTCTAAAGCCACGTCTTCCTCTGCGATCATCCAGAACAACACAGATTCTCCACCTCCTCTTTTTCTAAGCTCTTGCTGCAAATGCTGGAGAAAGAACAGTGAGCGTTCAGGCTGCAGCTTGGCCAAAAGGCCAGCGAGGGAGAAGTAATTACCTCGGCAATGACAGGTGTTCCATCCTTTCTTCTCCCCTGGAAATATCAGCCATCCATCAGCCAGGGCCAAACACCCACCCACATCTGGCTCGGAAAGCAGTAATGTACCAGGAAGCAGCTGTTTTCGAGAGAAGCCAGCCCTCTGTCAGTTTACTAGCTTATTCTCTCACTCATTCAACATTCCTGTGTTTATCATACCATCCCAGGGGTGGTGTGGCTTAAGGATGGGTCTCGGGCTGGCCTGGCTGCTCCTGTTTCCCGACTGCCACCCACTAGCTGTGTGACCTCAAGCAAGCTGCTTAACCTCCCATGCCTTGGTTTCCTCAACCATTAAGTGGGAGGTAACAATAGTGGCACCTACGCATAGATTGTTCTTGGGGGGTAAATGAATTAATACATGTGAGGGTTGGCCAGGCACAGTGGCTCACGCCTGTAATCCCAGCACTTTGGGAAGCTGAGGCGGACAGATCACAAGGTCAGGAGTTCGAGCCCAGCCTGGCCAATAAGGTGAAACCCCATCTCTCTACTAAAAATACAAAACTTAGCCAGGCGTGGTGGTGCAAGCCTGTAATTGCAGCTACTCGGGAGGCTGAGGCAGAAGAATAACTTGAACCCGGGAGGCGGAGGTTGCAGTGAGCAGAGATTGTGCCATCGCACTCCAGCCTGGGTGACAGAGTGAGACTCTGTCTCACAAAAATAAATACATACATACATACATACATACATGTGACGGTCTCCCAGACATGCACTCCGGCTCCACCTTGACCAAGGGGATGGGGCTCACGGTTAAGTCAAACTCTCAGGCTCTTTCTCCAGAGAATTTGAACTCTGAGCCTTGGGCTGATGACACAAAGACTCAAATGGTGGCTGCGCCTTTCTCCCCCAAGTGCACCCCCAGAGACTGCTGGTGCTTCCTGCTAGCTGGATCCCCAGAGCTGCTTGGTCCCTGTTCTAGGTGAGGCCATTCAGCAGTCCTTGTGATTTTCTGAGCATACTTTAGCCTTCTAGCACACTCCTCTCTTCCCCTAAAATTAGCCAAGAGTGGGTTTCTGTTGCTTGCATCCCAACTACCATCATTGGGACAGAGCCCCTGTGCTTGAGACAAGCAGAAGATAGACTTCTTTCACCTGGGGCCTGGCTTCGTCCAACAGCAGAGCCCAACCTCCAGGGCAGACTGACCCGTGATGGGCATGGGAGCCCAGAAAAAGGCCCCATCCAGCCTGTGGGATCAGAGGAGCCTTCTTGGAGGAGGTGATGCTGGGCGAGTGTTAAAGGATACCTAGGCATCAGCTAGGTGAAGAGAGCAGGGAAGGAGACTCCAGGGAGAGGAATGTGTGAGAAAATGGGGAGGAGAGGGAGGAACGGTTGGTGGGCAGCTGCCACTCTGTCCACTGGCAGAGAAGCAGCCAAGTCTCTGATGGAGCCCACCGGAGCAGCCTACCTGGCTTCTGTGGTCACTGGCTGTGACCCCGCCAGCCCTGCTCAGCGCTGTGCCCAGCCCTGGGTGCAGGGAGGTGCGGTTTGCTCTCAGAGGAGCAGCTAGCTGGGAGCATCCGAGGCCATTAGGGACAGGACGCTAATGCATCGGCGCCCCATTGATTCTGCCTGGCTTTTGTGAACACGTCTGCGCTGACTAATTTGTTTAATTACTCATTGCCGCATCTGTTCTCAATTGCCCTATGCAGATACTTAGTCTGTGGCTGGGAGCCAAGCCTCAGGGTCCCTTTTCCTCTTCCAAGATGGGTGGCACTGAACGCCGAGGCCACGGCCCGTCCTGATGTGGTCAGAGATGTCGTCATGTGCCACTAACAGGCGTCGCCAAGACCAGCCAGGTGCAGACCTTGGGTGGGTCCTATGGGGTCCTACAGGAAGCATAGGCATGGTCCCTGGTGGTCCCCAGGAGCACGGCTCTAACACAGCCGAGGCATAGTGTGAGCAAAGTCAGACGCAGTGGTTACAAGCAACCCCACGTGGTCTGCTTCGAATCCAGCAAACTTTTGTTTTCAGTGCCCAGCTCCCTAAGCCTTCTTTGTCCTTACCGTCTCTTCAGAATCTGTCTGCTTCACCCTGAATCTTGTCTATTGTCCTGGCTAGTTCAGCTGGAGGCCAGGGGTCGGAGACTTAGAGAAATGAGGAGGGGGCGTGGAGCAGGGGCTGAGGCCTGAGCGGTGAGTGGGGCTCGGTATTGACGATCAGCGAACAGTCTCCTGGGGAGTCAGCTTGAATGGGGCCTGTGATATCTGCGGCCAGTGCCCTCGGTATGTCCCACTCAGCATCCTCCCCAGGTCAGAACACATTTTGGGGCAGAACCGAGTTTTCTCTTCACTTTCAGACTCAAGTCCAGCTTATTGGGGCTTATGAAGACTTCCACCTCATACAGGATGAATGATTCTCTTCTCCATTCCCTCTGCTGCTCGTGGACACTCGGAGGTGGGGGAAGGCTCTGTTCTTTTACTTTTCTGGTTCTAGTTTCTCAGGGAATGAGGCAGGAGGAGAGACATGGAAAGGGAGAGAGATACCTTCCGTTTCAAGGAATATGCAGTTTGGATGTCTGAAAAAGATTTATGGCAGAGATGCTGGATGGAAAACAAACACACAGTTTGAGAGGGTCCTTTTTATTTTTATTTTATTTTATTTATTTATTTTTTTGAGATGGAGTCTTGCTGTGTCACCCAGGCTGGAGTGCAATGGTGCAATCTCCGCTCACTGCAACCTCTGCCTCCTGGTTTCAAGTGATTCTCCTGCCTCAGCCTCTGGAGTAGCTGGGACTACAGGCACCTGCCACCACCCCTGGATAATTTTTGTATTTTTAGTGGAGACGAGGTTTTCACCACGTTGACCAGGCTGGTCTCGAACTCCTGACCTCATATGATCCTCCCGCCTTGGCTTCCCAAAGTTCTGGGATTACAGGCATGAGCCACTGCGCCTGGCCAAGAGGGTGTCTGGGAGGCCGAAGCGGGAGGATCATGAGGTCAGGAGATCGAGACCATCCTGGCTAACATGGTGAAACCCTGTCTGTACTAAAAATACAAAAAATTAGCCAGGCATGGTGGTGGGCACCTGTAGTTCCAGCTACTCAGGAGGCTGAGGCAGGAGAATGGCGTGAATCTGGGAGGCGGAGCTTGCAGTGAGCTGAGATCGCACCACTGTACTCCAGCCTGGGCAACAGAGCAAGACTCCGTCTCAAAAAAAAAAAAAAAAAGTTAAACACATGTCTAACCTATGACCCAGAAATTTCAGTTCTGGGTATTTATGCACAAGAAATGAAAAGGTATCTATCTGCATAAAAAGACTTGAATAAGATTTTTCATAATAGTTGTATTCACCATAACTAAAAATATAAGCCACCTAAACATCTATTATGTGAAAGAGTACCCATGGAATGTATAGCTTGGATACTACTCAGCAATAAGAGAAGTATGAACAAGAGGTAGAATGCAGTTCAGAGACAAACACATGAAAAACACAAAAGAGAGGCAAAAAAAGGTGGCAGTGGAAGGAGGAATTCTGACACATGCTTAACCGGAGTTCCAGAAGAAGATAAGACAGTGAAGGGGACATGTGATAGTCAAAGGCAGGCCCCAATCCTCAGATCAGGAACCATAACAATTCTCAGAGAGAATAAATGAACAGAAATCCATATTTAGATCCATCAGAGTGAAACTGCAGAACACCAAAGACCACAAGAAGATTTTAAAAGCAGCAAGTACAAGAGAGATTACCCTCAGAACACCAACAACAGATTGACAGTTGACTTCACAACAGCAATAATGGAAGACACAGAGCTGGATACACAAAGGAAATTGACTACAATCTAGAATCCAAAAGATTCTTGAAGGATGAGGGCAAAATAAAGCCATTTTCGGATACACAAAAGCTGAGAGCAGCTATTGCAAAGAGACTCTCACTAAAGGGCCTCCACACCAATGCACTTCAGGAAGAAGGAAAGAGGTTTCGGACGGAAGGTCTGTGTGCAGAGGGAATGGCTGTCTCAGAGGCGACTCAAACTCAGTATGTCCAGAAAGGACTCACAATCTGCTCTCCCAGCCCAGCGCCTCCTGGGACTTTGGCCTCTGTGGATGATGACCACAGTCACTTGGGCCAGAAACATAGACATCATCTTGATACCCCTTCTCCCTCACCTCCCCCATATCCAGTCACCTCCAGTCCTGTCATCTTTGCCTCCTAATCTCTTTCATCTCTGCCCTTTTCTCTCCATCTCCATGGCCACCCAGCTGCCACTGCATTTTGCTCACCACCTGCAATTGGCCTTCCAGCCCCTGAACCCCTCTGATCTGCTCAGCCCGCTCTCCACACCGAACCCGAGGCTCTCTCTTTGAATGGCAATCTGATAGTCTCCCCCCTGTTTAAAACATGAAATGGTATCCTACTACCCTGGGGATAAAAACAAGACAAAAACGTTTAAGAGGTTAGAGAGGTCTTCATGATTCAGTCCCCACCCACCTCTCAGACTCACCTCCCGCCCCAGCCTCTCTGGACTCTTTTGGCCCCTCATGGGTGCCATCATTTTGCCCACATAGGCTCTTGTCTGTGCTGTTTTCACTATAGAGTGGGTCCTTCCCTTCTTTCTTTGTCTAATTCATGACACTCATCGTTTAGTGCATTTGGCACTTCCTCCAGGAAGCCTGCCTTGACCTCCCTGACTATATCAGCTCTCCCCCATTAAATGTTCCCCTCGTGCCATGGTCCCCTCATCTGTGACATTGATCACATGAGCAATTTCACATTTATTCATGTAGTTAGTTATAGTCTGGATCCTCCTTTGGATTTTAAGTTCCTATAGGTAAAAGCCTTCCTCTCCTTTGGCCACCGAGATATCTCCAGGACTACCATGGACATGCAGTAAACATTCACCAGTTGTTGAATTTATGAGTGGGTGAGTGGTGCCTGCCACCCTAGAATTTCCCTTATTTGAAATTCTAGAATAAGCAGATTCACTTCTTTTTCACATCCATGTGAATTTTTGTTCTTGTATAAATGAATAGTAAGTAAGAGCCATAAGAAATAATTGGAGAAAGAAGGAATTGGGAATTGGGAAGAGAAAAGAGAGAAAAACAATAGAGGCAGAGCAGGGGCTTTTTGCAGTGATGCTTGGGGAGAAGAAGGAAGCCGAAGGGACAGCAAGTGGGTAGATGGCAGGTGACTGGCCCCAGGTTATCCAGAGCAGAGCTGAGACCACCCAGTCCTAAGGGGAAGGGGCTGGGAAGGAAGCCACTCAGCTCTGCCAAGCAGATTAAATACAGATCAACAAGAGCCTTTCCCATTTTGAAAATGTACATTGCTCTGTGTTGCTGGGACTGCAGTGAGACCCAGGAGGCAGGAATAAACAATTCTGAGTCATAAAATCATTAAGGCATCAAACATTTGGATCGATGAGCAGACACAAAAGAATATGCTTCCTATACACATGTTAAAAGCCTAACTCTTGACAAGGATCTCACCGAATCTCTTGGGCAGAAGGATTCTGTAATGGAAAGTAATTGCACGCCACTCATCTTTGTTAATTTAAGATGAGTAAAGGGTTATTGATTCACTCTTTGTTTCATGAGCTGTTTTCATATTGAATTTCAGTGAACAAAAATATTTTTAATAAGGATTTCATGGGCTTATTTGGCATCTTTCTCTCCCAAGCTGCAGAGCTATAGATCCAACTGCCAGCTGGACAAACCCAACTCATCTCCAGCCATGGCCCCTCCTGATGTGAGCCTATCTCAGGTTCTGGTACCACAATCCACCCAGTGCCAAGCCAGACACTCACGTATCACCCTGGATGCCCTCCGCAGCCCCTCACCCATCCAACAGATGCCCCGTCCCTGTGCCTGCTAACTCCCTCCCACCTCTCCAGCTCAAGGCCTCCCTCCCACGTGCTGGATCCTGCCTGTTCAGACCTGTCCTGTCTCCTGGTGGCCAAACTGGCCTCCCCAGTCAGTCCCTGCTGCAGAAAGTGGTTTCTTTCTTTCTTTCTTTCTTTCTTTCTTTTTTTTTTTTTTTTGAGATGAAGTCTTATTCCATCGACCAGGGCCTGGAGTGCAATGGTGCAATCTTGGCTCACTGCAACCTCTGCCTCCTGGGTTCAAGCAATTCTTTTGCCTCATTCCCCTGAGTAGCTGGGATTATAGACATGCACCACCACGCATGGCTAATTTTTGTATTTTTAGTAGGGGTGGGGTTTCACCATGTTGGCCAGGCTGGTCTTGAACTCCTGACCTCAAGTGATCCACTGATCTTGGCCTCCCAAAGTGCTGGGATTACCCCTGTGAGCCACCGCACCCAGCCTGGAAAGTAGTTTCTATAGTACAAAGCCGGGGGTGCTGCTCCCCTGCCCCACACACCTCAGCACCTCCATGTTGCTTCCTGTGGAGTAGACACTATTGTTTTGTCTGCCCAGTCTCTTCTTTTCTTGTGGGAATATGCTTCTGGAATATTTGTCTGGAAAACCCTCTCCTTTTGATAACTGTCTTTGCCTCCCTGGGACTGCAGCTGACGTGCTTGCATGTGTGTGTGTGTGTGCGCGCGCGTGTGTGTGCGTGCATGCGTGTGTGTGTGTGTGTGTGTGTTGGGATCGGCTTCCAAATCTTCCTACTGGGGGAATGCCCATTATCCATTAGATGCCACTCAGTGGGAAGTGGTGCCCCACCCGTCCGTGGAGACCTAAGGGGCTTAATAGATCCTCCCTGCATAGCCAGAGACGGATACAATCTGGGCTCAGTGAATCGGTGCTTTGACTGCTCACAGCGTAGCTGAGAGCTTACTCCCAGAATGGCGAAGGTGGCAAAGAGTCCCCATAGCTGGTGTTGTTGGCTGCCATCACCCCTTTTATCCAGGGGCACAGCTGAAATCTGTGCCACTCGGCTCTGCTGGGCAGGTGGGATAAATCTGCCCCAGCCTCTGTGCTGTCCCCATCCCTGCTCCTGCTGCCCAGCAGCCTGGAGTCCTTCTCCAGACTTCCTGTAACTCTCTCCCCAAGCCAATGCCCTCCCTCGGGTGAACAAGGGCCCCTCCTTGTGACCCATGGTGCCTGGCTTGCCTTGGCCCCAGCCCTCCTCCCTGTGCCGAAATCATCTCTCTGTGGACCTTTCTCCCTCATGGACTCCCACCTCCTTGTGGGCAGGAACCAGCCCTTGGCCATGTTCCGGCTCCCTAGTGCCCAGTATGTGTTTGGTGAATTTGGGGGCATGGGTTGGATGATCTTGGTTCAGTTACCAAATCTTTCTTTCCTGTCCAATCAGTCTTCCAGGATCTCAACCAGTTCTCTCACTGCAGAGTCTGGAGAAGCCCAGCCCTCATTGTGAAGGGAGAGCCACCGTGGTGCTCACAGCAAGACACCCAGAGTCCCTTCCAGACAGGGACACCCCTGGAGCGACCCTGTTTCAGAATGAAGTTATCTGGGTGGGAACTCACCAAGAATGCACAGAGGGCGCTGGGCTCCAAGCTTCAGCATATCCTTTCACTGGACTCCACACAGGCCTGCGGAGCAGGTGGACCCACCATTCTCAGACCCCCCAGGGCCCCATAGACAGCAGATCTGCTGCTTTCAATCACACCCACTGCCTCTCATGCCGGAGTGGGGGAAATGGAACCCGCAAAGCCTGCAGGCCAGGGAGGGTGGGAAACTGGGGTGATGTGAGCCCACAGGGTGGAGCACTGTGGACTGAATGCCTGTGTCCCCTGGGTTCATATGTTGAACCCCTAACTCCCAATGTGATGGTGTCAGGAGGTGGAGCCTTTGGGAGGTGGTTAGGCCGTGAGGGTGGAGACCCATGCTGGGGTTGGTGCCCTTATGGTTCTCCCATGTGAGGACACAGAGGGCAGCCATCTACAAGCCAAGAAGAGAGGCCTCACCAGACACCAAACCTGCCGGCACCTTGCTGTGAGATTTCCAGCCCCCAGAGCTGTGAGAAATAAATTTCTGTTGTTTAAGGCACTCAATATTTTGTTACAGTAGCCCAAGCTGACTGAGCAGATATTCATATGGAAAGTGAATTTTGATCTCTACTTCATGCCGTACATAAAAGCCAATTCCAGATTGACTGTAGATACAGATTGGCAAAGCAAAACAGTACAGTTTCTAGAAAGAAACAGGAAAATATCTGCATGAGGTGGTCAAATATTTCCTAGAGAGGACACAAAAAGCACTAACTACAAAATAAACAATGATAAATTGGACTGCATTAAAATTAAGAACATCTGTTTAACAAAAGACCCCACGAAGAGCGTGAGAAGCCAGAGTGCAGAGTGGGAGGAGAAATCTGACCTGAGATGGGAAATTAGAATATGAAGAACTCCTTCAAGTCAGCAAGAAGACAGGCAAGCCGAGAGGAGGACGGGCAAACGACCTCAACAGACACTTTACAGAAGAGATATCCAGGCCAGGTGCAGTGGCTCATGCCTGTAATCCCAGCACTTTGGGAGGCTGAGGCCGGTGGATCACCTGGGATCAGGAGTCCAAGATCAGCCTGGCCAACATGTCGAAGTGCCATCTCTACTAAAAATACAAAAATTTGCTGGGCTTGGTGGTGTGCACTTGTAATCCCAGCTACATGGGAAGCGGAGGTGGGAGAATTTCTTGAACCCGGGAGGCAGACTTTGCAGTGAGCTGAGATCGTGCCACTGCACTCCAGCCTGCGGGACAGAGTGAGACTCCATATCAAAAAAAAAAAAAAAGATATACACATAAGAGAATATTCAACTTTATTAATCATTGGGGAAATACAAATTAAAGCCAAAGGGAGACAACACTCCTTACCCCTAGGAATGGCTAAAGTTAAAAAGATGGGAATACCCATGTCAGGAAGGATTTGAAACAACTGCAACTCTCATATGCTGCAGGTGGGAAGTAGGAGGCAGGCCTCCACTCCAGAGGAGGGGCTCACATGACACACACCAAATTGAGGACTAGCTAGAACAGGGATGGCTGGAAGCAGCTTTCCATAAGACACACCCACCAGTGTGCCACGTCAGTTTACCATTGCCATGGCGACACCCAGAAGTTAATGCCCCTTTCCATGGCAATGACCTGATGACCCAGAAGCTACCATCCTTTTCCTAGAAATTTCTGAATAATCCACCTCTTAATTTGCATGTAATTAAAAGTGGCAATAAATCTGACTACACACTACCTCTGAGCTGCTGCTCCGGGCACACTGCCTATGGGGTAGCCCTGCCCCACAGGGAGCAGCCCTTCTGCTGCTGCTGCTGCTGTTTACGGCTGCTTCAATAAAAACTGCTAACTCCATTGGCTCGCCCTTACCTTCTTTCTTGGGTGAAGCCACAAACCCTCCTGGGGTAAGCCCCAATTTTGGGGCTCGCCTGGCCTGCATCAGTGGGAGTTTTTGGCAGTATAAGTTAAGCTGGATACAAGTATCCTCCATGGTGTGACTTCTAGGCAGCATATAATCAATTAAAATGCAAACATAAGTTACCAAAAGACATGTACAAGAATGTTCCTAGCAGCCTATTCATAACAGCCAGAACTGGGAGTACTCCGGATGTTACCAAGAGGAGAATGGGTAAGTCAATTGTGGTATATTCATGTAATGGAATACTCCACAATGAGAACAAATGAACCACACCTTCATGCAACAGTGTGGATGGCGATTCGAGTTCAAAAACAGGCACCATTAGTTGGTCATATTAGAAATAAGGCTGTGCTGGCCAGGCATGGTGGCTCACAACTGTAATCCCAGCACTTTGGAAGGCCGAGGCAGGTGGATCACTTGAGTCCAAGAGTTTGAGATCAGTCTGGGCAACGTGAGGAAACCCTGTGTCTACAAAAATACAAAAATTAGCTAGGCGTAGTGGCACATGCCTGTAGTCCCAGGGAGGGAGGCTGAGGTGGGAGGATTGCTTGAGCCCGGGAGGTGGAGGTTGCAGTGAGCAAAGATTGTGTCACTGCGCTCCAGCCTGGGTGACAGAGTAAGAACCTGTCAGAAAAGAAAGAAAGAGAAGAAAGAAAGAAAAGAAAGAAAAGAAGGAAGGAAGGAGGGAAGGAAGGAAGGAAAAGAAAATAAAAGGAAAAAAGAAAGAAAGAAAAGAAAAGAAAGGAAGGAAAGAGAGGGAAGGAAGGAAGGAAAGAAGGGAGGGAGGGGAGGGAAAGGGAGGGAGGGGAGGGGAGGGAAAAGATAAGAAAGGAAAAGAAAAGACATAAGGTTGTGTTGGCCGGGCGCAGTGGCTCACGTCTGTAATCCCAGCACTTTGGGAGGCTGAGGTGGGTGGATTGCTTGAGCCCAGGAGTTTGAGACCAGCCTGGGCAACATAGTGGGGCCTTGTCTCTACAAAAAATAAAAAAATTAGCCAGGTGTGGTGGCAGGTGCCTGTAGTCCCAGCTTATTCGAGAGGCTGAGGTGGGAGGATTGCTTGAACCTGAAACGTGGAGGTTGCAGGGAGCTGAGATCGTGCCACTGCACTCCAGCCTGGGGGACAGAGTGAGACCCTGTCTCAAAAAAAAAAAAAAAAAAAAGAAGGCTGTGTTTACCCTTGGAAGGTCACGAGGGAGGGAGGTTTCTAGGGGTTCCAGCAATGTTCTATTTTTTGATCCAAGTACTGGTTCTCAAGCATGCTCACTTTGTGAAAATTTACTGGGTGGAACTGTGGGGAAAAGAGAGAGATCAGACTGTTACTGTGTCTGTGTAGAAAGAAGTAGACATAAGAGACTCCATTTTGTTCTTGTGGCCCAGGCTGAAGTGCAATGGCGCGATCTCGGCTCACTGCAACCTCCACCTCCCAGGTTCAAGCAATTCTCCTGCCTCAGCCTTCCCAAGTAGCTGGGATTACAGGCATGCGCCACCACGCCCGGCTAATTTTGTATTTTTAGTAGAGATGGGGTTTCTCCGTGTGGGTCAGGCTGGTCTCAAACTCCCGATCTCAGGTGATCTGCCCACCTCGGCCTCCCAAAGTCCTGGGATTACAGGTGTGAGCTACCGCGCCCGGCTAATTTTTTTGTATTGGTTGCAGTGAGCCGAGATCGCGCCATTGCACTCCAGCCTGGGCAACAAGAACAAAATGGAGTCTCTTATGTCTACTTCTTTCTACACAGACACAGTAGCAATCTGATCTCTCTTTCCTTTCCCCACATGGAACTCAATTTGTGTTTTTCAAACAAAGATGTTACACCTTGCAGTTTGTACTCTGTTAAATGCTTTTAAATTTTACACACAAAACTCCAAGGGATCACATGAGTGACAGAATTGAAACACTCACACTGTTTTTTGGGTTTGGAAACCACCCCCGCTCCATCCCACACAGGGGCTTGCGGATCCAGCTCTGTGCCCGGCCCCCCTCTTGCACACATCCGGAAAGCAGGTGGGCAGGGAAAGCAGGTGGGTGTGGTCTGGAGGAGAGAGGGGCACAGGCTGAGAATGGTGGGGGGGTCCCTGGGCCCTGCATGGTGAGAGGAGGCCCAGGGCAGGGCCTTCTAAAATCCAAGGCCCCGACAGCAGGATCCCTGGCTGCCTAGGTCTAGGGGCAGGACCGAAGGTCATCGAGGACGGGTGGCCTGGGATTGCTGGCACCAATTCCTGTTACCTCGAGGGTGGGGCCTGCCAAAAGGAGGGATTAGGATGAGGAGGCAATGCCTCCCTTAAGGAATTCTGACTGTGACTCGGTCGTTGTAGGGAGGGGGCTGTGCATTTCCATGCAGGCAAGTCAGGCCCTGGGCACATCCTGGCTCCTGTCTTGGAAGCTGGTGAACACCCCTAGCCAGTGTGGCCGAAGGCAGCATTCTGGACCAGTCCAGGCCTTCTGCACGGGTATAGCACAGCCCTTTGCCTCTCACTATATGGGCTGTGCCAGGACATAGTACCTTGACCTTCAAGTTCTTTTTTTTTTTTTTTTAAATTGAGACAGGGTTTTGCTCTGTCGTCCAGGCTGGAGTGCAGTGGCACGATCTCAGCTCACTGAAACCTCCGCCTCCTGGGCTCAACGGATCCTCCTGCCTCAGCCTCCTGAGTAGCTGGGACTACAGGCACCTGCCACCATGCCTGGCCAGTTTTAAAAAATATTTTGTAGAGAGTTGCCCAGGCTGGTCTCAAATTCCTGGGCCCAGGCAGTCCTCCCACCTTTGCCTCCCAAAGTGCTGGGATTACAGTTGTGAGCTGCCACACAGCCCCCCAGGTTGTTATCACTCATCACAGAATGTTCTCAGCTTGTTCTTCTGCGTGTGGCCAACCTGGAGGCGCAGGGCTGGGTTCCCATGCGGCCTCCTTGCCACAGGGTCCAGGAAGGCTGTTTCCAAACCCTCTTGGCAGGAAGATACACTTCTGGTGGGATTCAGGTGGAAAGAGACTCCCTCACTACTGGAGAGCAGGCTGGGGTCTGTGTGCTTGGATAGTTATCCCACAGAGAGGGACTTCACAAGCCCGAGAGAGAACAGTCCCACCAGGAACAGAGGAGGAGTGAACAGGACAGAGACACAGACAGGCAGGACTTTTCTGAACAGTCATTTGAACCAGAGAACAATTTTTCAATGGACAATAAATGTTGCATATAATTGAAATCTCGGTTACATTCCCTGAAAAGTGCTTTCTGTGCAACCTGAGATAAGAGACTCTCCTGGAGCTGCGGTTTCCTCATCTGTTACACAGTGGTTATAACGCCTTGCCGTTTCTATCCGGGATGACTGGGAAATTCCTCTGGAAAACAACTACAAATGCAAAGGTGAAGTATTTGATGATGTGTATATGAGCACTTCCCAGTGGGTTTTGTGGTCTGTGGGCATCTCCATAGGTCAATAGGTCTTAATAGTTTAAAAAAAGATTCCTTGGTTAATTAATTTGATGAAACACTGGGTTAAACACAGTCAAGCAGATTTCCTTACTGCAGGACTTCTCAAGGCCTTTAGTATGTTAATACGCATTGAAAATCGCCAGGAGAGGGGTGTTCTATGTGGCATATCTCAGACATATTTACCTAGAGAAGGGGGTGTGGTATGTGTGCGTGTGTGTGTGTGTGTGTGAGAGAGAGAGAGAGAGAGAAAGAAGAAGGAAGGAAGGAAAGAAGGAAGGAAGGAAAAGGAAGGAAGGAAGAGGAAAGGAAGGAAGGAGGGAGGGAGAGAGGGAGGGAAGGAAGGAAAAGGAAAGGGAAGGAAGGAAGGAAGGAAGGAAGGAAAAAAATTCACGGGGTTAGTGCAGGGAAATTCTGTGGTAAATTTTAACAGCAAGTGAAGAATGCTGTTCCACATGGATGCAGGTATTTTTTCCACCATGCCAATTTTACAGTGCAAACTGAATCTAACAGGTTGGATTAATTTGGGGATATGCATTGCTCCACTCAGACAGTCTCTGCATAGATTGCCAGGGCGATGGGAACTAATTCAGAAAAGCGGAGGAAGACTGTGGCTTGCAAAGCCCGCAGATACATGGCTGCTTTGAGGATTTTCTTTTGCTCAAAGGATTTAGGGTGGGGGTGGGGAGTGGGGAGGACGGGAGGTGCTTCTTTTGCTTAGAATAAAATTGCAACCTTGAGGCCAAATGACAGAGGCTTCTCAGCGTATGGCTGGAGAAGTGCAAATGAGAAACAGTTCTGTTTTGGTGAGTGTTTTGGCTTTGTTTTTGATGAGTTTTGATCATCAGTTTGCTTTTTTCTAAAATACAATTTTTTAAATGCTCTTATAAAACACATTTTAATTATTGAAATTCCGGCAAGAGAATGTGTTATTGCGCATATAAAGCACTCTAGGTCTTAACTCCTCATTCCCAGAGACGCGGTGTTTTCCCATCATGCATTTCAATAACATGAGGTTTCTTCGGTGCATCCGGTGACCTTTGGTCATAGCAGAGTAGCCTGGGCTGTGTGGGAGATGGGTTCTGGGTGAGTGTGTGCGGGCCGAGGCGTGGGCCCTGGTTCCCTCTTGGCGCTGTTCCGTCTGCTTTTTCATTGGAAGAAGTGAAGCCTCTCATCTAATTCTGTCACCAATACTAAATGGCCTTTCTATATTTTGACACACTGAATCACCATGTCCGAGTTTGTTCCATTATGTATGATGGCTCATGTTTGGGGATGATGAATCATGATTTTTTTTTTCTGAGCCCCTGCCTCCCGGCAGGGCCTCCCTCCTCTCCTATTCACCCTTCTTTGAAGCTGGACCCCTGGGCACGGGGCCCACCAGGAGCACCGCGAGAGGTGGAAACGCAGATGAAAGAGCAGCTCTGGAATCTCCCAGGCCTGCGGGCACGCACATCCCCGCTCCGCGGACAAATGGCAGAAAGACAACTGGATGCAGCAGAAAACACAGCATCGTTGGCCCAGGTCTCCATGGCAGCTAGGAGGGGAAAGAGAGCCGCTCCCCCTCCAGCCCTCACCTACCACGGAGCCTGGTGTGCAGAGAGCAGAGCCCGGTGCGGCAGCCTCTTCCCGCTGCCACACATCTGCCTGCCCAGTTCCAGGCTGGGGTTCAGCCCCCACCCAACTCTCCTGGGAAGACATGACTCTTACACAGCTCCAGGCCCGTCTCCTGGGCTCCTTCCCCATTGCCTGGGATGGCTGCACGTGGCGCCTGGGCCTCCTCATGCTTCCCTAGCCTCCATGTGGTGCCCAGGCCTGGGTGAGTGGTCTGTGGGGAGGGCACGGGCTCACCAGCGTGCAGTCGCCACCGCTGACCAGCCCCCTGCAGCTTATGTGTGGGTGATCAGCCAGTATGTCCTCCTCTGAGCCTTGGCTCTGACCTGACTAAGTGGGAGGGCAGCCCACGAGATGCCGTGTCGGACCAGCCCCTGAGAGGCCCCTCCCCAGCCCACCCCTCTCTCAATCTGTTTTACTTTCCCTTCCTTCAAAGGGCTCCCTGGGCAGCTGCCTTGGGCCTCAGGCTGGGGCAGGGCCCTCCTGTCTGCTGCTCTCTGCTTTTCAGACACTGAGTGAGCCTTTACTGTCATCACCCATCTGGGGCAGCCTCCCTGTTAGACCAGGATTTTATTCACTTTCACATGCCCGGCACTCAGAGCACCAAGCTAGTAGGCCCACTGGCTTTCCAGGTCTGAAGCCTGCCATCCGGTCAGCACAGCCTCCCCACTGCTGCCAGTGCCCGGCCTGTGTGCAGGGCTGCTCGCCACTCCAGGCCACCTCTGGCCGGAGCAAGGACACAGGTCCTGGTGGTACAGGAGGAGGCTGTCCTGCTGGAAAAGGGGGTGGCCCTTGCCATCTAACCTGCAGGCAACTGCACCTGCCACGCTGGCCCTTCTGCGGCAGCAGCCCAGGTTCTGGCTCCCTGTGCCCAGGTGGTCCTCCCGTGAGCACCTCTTCTAAGGACTCCAGACTTGCAACGGTTGCAGGACTGCCCTGCTGAGAAGCACAGGCAGTGCGCACAGCCTTGGACATCTGGGGCCAGTGCCCCAGCAGGGGGATGGAACTCCTCTGCTCCTGGGGGCCTGGTGTCTACTGTGCTGGATGGCCTCCCCAAGCGTCCCACCCCTCACTCCCCAGGTGCTCCTATTTGGGTTTGAGCTTTGCTAAGCACCACCCCTGCTCTGTGTTGGGTGCTGGGGCATCTCCCAGAATGCCCCACCATCTGTGACCCCATAGGAGGAAGAAGGGGCTCCGGGGCTCTCATTTGCTGAGGCCTTCAGAGGCATGAGCTCATGCCATCCTTGCAAACCTCCAGCAAAATGAGTGTCGTATTTCTGTTTACAGATGAGGAAACAGAGAAGTTAGGTGCCTTGTTCAATGCCCTAGAGGTAGTAAGTGGCAGAGCTGGGATTCAAACCTAGAAACACCTGTCTCCTTGTAGCATGCACCATGTCAGACTCTGGAGAAGCCTTTTGTGGATTGTCTCTGCCATGAGACCTCACAGACCCTAGGAGAGAGATGCTGTTTGCTACGGTCTGAATGTTTGTCCCTCCAAAACTCATGTTGAAATTTAATTGCCCTTGTAGCAGTATGAAGATGTGGGGGCCTTTAAGCGGTGATTAGGCCATGAGGGCTCTGCCTGCAGGGATGGGATTAATACTGCTATAAAAGGCCAAGTTCAGTTTCCTTCTGTCTCTCTTTGCCCTTCTGCCTTCTGCTGTGTGCTGATGCAGCAAGAAGGCCCTGGCCAGAGGTTGGGGTTTGGGGTTAGGAAGGCCTTGGACTTCCCAAGCCCCAGACTGTGAGAAAATAAATTTCTGTTCATTAAAGAGTACCCAGTCTCAGGTATTCTGTCATAGCAACACACTATTCCTGCACATTACAGACAAGACACTATTGCTGTCTGTTTTACGGGTGAAGAAATTGAAGCCCAGAGAGGCCAAGCAACTCACACAGCTGGGAAGTGGCAGGGACAAAATCAGATCCCAGTCTGTCTGTCTGGAGCTGTGATCACACTGCCTGCTGCCTCCCACCAGCTGAGCACACAAGAGGCCCCATCAATCCTTAGGGTTGCCATCCTTCAGGGGGCCTTGCCTCTGTCTACAGGACAGGCTTGGCGCCACGTGACGAGCTGCAGTTCCCTTTAGAGGTGAACCCTGTCCTCCCCGGAAGGAGGCAGCCTTTTCTCTTTGAATCTTTTTTTTTTTTTTTGAGATAGAGTCTCGCTCTGTCGCCCAGGCTGGAGTGCAGTGGCGCGATCTCAGCTCACTGCAAGCTCCGCCTCCCAGGTTCACACCATTCTCCTGCCTCAACCTCCAGAGTAGCTGGAATTACAGGCGCCCGCCACCACGCCCGGCTAATTTTTTTGTATTTTTAGTAGAGACGGGATTTCACCGTGTTAGCCAGGATGGTCTCGATCTCCTGACCTCGTGATCCGCCCACCTCGGCCTCCCAAAGTGCTGGGATTACATGCGTGAGCCACCGCGCCTGGCCTTCTCTTTGAATCTTGATCACGGCCTCCTACCTCCCCTCGGCTGAGGCTAACTGTAGCAGGGCGTGGGGTTCAACAGAGAAGAGCAATTAAGGCCTCTGAGCCATTTGTGCTGATTTTCCTATTAAGCTGTTGTTACCATCCAGGCTGAGGCGGCCAGACTTGGGATAATGACTGGTTTTGCAGATCAGCAGGGTGTAAAGGAGATTCTGCTGTTGGTAAACAGTTTGGCAATTTGAAGAGCAAATTGTGGCCTGCACGAGGAGCGGGGCGGATGCCAGGCTACCCCCGTGGAAACACTGGGGAAGGAAGCAGCGTCTGCAGCGGGGGCGAGAGACTGGAGGGAGAGAGGTGATGGCAGGAGGCAGGCGGAGTCGGCATGGACTGGGTGCCATCTCCACAAACTTCCAACCCTGTGGCCGCCAACGTGCTGGGGCTGAGGGGTCTTGTTCTGGCATTGTGGTCCGATGGGAGACAGACACGTGGGTGGGTTCTTAAATACAACACACGACCACAGTGCGACACCACTTCACACCCACCAGGATGGCTCCTACCCCAAATCGGAAAATAACAAGTGTTCGTGGGGATGTGGCGAGGCCGGAACCCTTGCGCACCATTGGTAGGAGTGTAAAATGGAGCAGCTGCTGTGGAAAACAGTCTGGAGGGTCGTCAAAAGATTCATGGCAGGATTATCAGAGCATCACAGAATTCTCATATGATCCAGCAATTTCTCTTCCGGGTATACGTAAAAAAACTGAAGACGGGGACTCAAGCACATTTTTGCACAGCTGTGTGTACAGTAGCATTATTCACAATAGTCAAAGGTGGAAACAACTCAATTGTCCATCAGTGATGAATGGATAAAAAATGTGATGTGGTCTCTCCATACAGTGGAATATTATTCAGCCTTATTAGAAGGGGAGGGAATTCTGACGTCTGCCAGTACATGGATGATCCTTGAAGACATGAACCTTGAAGACATTAAGTGAAATACAGCAGTCACAAACAGACAAGTGCTGTGTGATTCCACTCCTGTGAAGTGCCTACAGTCGTCACATCCATAGAGACAAAGGCAGAATGCTGGGTGCCGGGGCTGGGGGGGTGGGGAGCTGTTGTTTAGTGGGTAGAGTTTCGGTTTGGGAAGATGAATCAGTTCTGTGGACAGATGGTGGTGATGGTTGCACAACAATGTGAGTGGACTTCATGCCACTGACCTGTACACTGAAAAATGATTAAAATGGTAAACTTTATGTATATCCTGGCAATGACAAAACAGTGCCCAGACGGGAATTCCGGAGCCCCAAATCTGCACAATGAAGCTGCAGCCAATTCCTCTGGGGGTGGGGGGGTGGCGGTGACAGGTTCTAGTAAAAAATACTTGCTTTGAGGACTGGTTAACTCATTCATAAACCAGCAAGCGCTGGCTGCACCTGCTCTCTGTGGCACCCTGGGAGATGGCCAGCTGTGGGCGCCCGAGGGTGGGTTTCAGCACCACTGCAGGGGAGGAAGAAGGGTTGGGGGGATGGGGGTGCGAGGTCTCCCCAGGCCTCAGAGGCCAGCGGGCCCTGCTGCCATCAAGGGCGAGCAGGGGCTCCCTGCGGGGGGGTTTGTGCCTTTCCCGTTAGGCCCTTATCAATAGCGCAAGTAATTTCAGGTTTGGCTGGGAAAAATTCACTCAATCAGCTGGCGTCTATCATTTCCCCATAATGACTGTGTTTTTCTCTGGCTGCGAGATGCCCTGAAGCACTTATTTTCTTGAACTCAGAGCAGCTGCAGGGTCCGACTGTGGGAGCTGCCTTGGCAGGGGTCACACTTCCTGCCTTTTTCTTTCTCCTGCAGGAATTTAGCTGTCAGCGCCAGGCGAATCGGGTCCCTGTGGCGGGTTCCTTCTCCCCAGCCCCCTGCTCAGCTGTCAGGATGGAGGCTAGATGTCACCTCTGCCGTGGGCCCCCCAGAGGGGAGGTGGTTAATCAGGGTGATGATGATGAAGATGGCAATGACCCCTTTGGGGTGCACAGCCCTTTACTACTGACACCTCCTATTCCTGCTTGATATCTCATTTGAAGTGCACAGCCCTTTATAGTTGACATCCCCTATTCCTGGTTGATCTCATTTCATCTTCACAGCCATCCCAGGGGTTCAGGGGTTATCCTTATTTTCCAGGGAAGGCTCGGAGAGAGTCAAGAAATGCATCACCCAAATGGCCACCAGTACAGACGCTCTAACACCGGCATGACTGATTCCATCACAGAGCTCACCCCATGTAGTGGGAGTTAGGGATTTTGTGGCTTCTCATCAAGAAGCCTTTTGTCCTCCATAAAACAGGTGTGACATGCCTTCCCAGTTGGCCTCCCGGGCATGGTGAGAACAATCAAAGAGACATGGTGGATGGGGCGGGAGGGCATGAACTGGGAGGAGCCATCTGATGGGAGAAAGGGTCAAGGGTGGCACGACTGCAACTGACCTCCAGCTAATTCACTCCACCTGCCTCAGGACAAGTTCCAACGCTGGGGGTCAGCCTTGAACACAGGGAAATGGGGGTGGGGCGCAGGCATCAGGCCAGGGTGATGGGCCATTCACATTTGTTATAACGGAACAAAAACCAGCGATTTCCTCCGAGATACAATCAAGCAAGTTTCCAATAGCAGCCGATGTCACAGAGGGGAGCCGCGCAGAGTGAATGGTGGAAACACTGATTGACACTCTTATTGGGAAGAGGCCAGAAGAAGCAAACATTAACACGTGGCTGTCAGAGGGTTGACCAGACACTGGGCCTAGTCCTCGCTGTGCTCCAGGGCTGGGGTCAGCAGGGCTGATAACCTCATTTGCAGAGTCCATGGTGACCTGGAGTCATTTCATTAGTCCCTTTGTCAGAGGCGTTTGAACCAGAGCGACTCCATCTTGAATAGGGAAGGGCTGGGTGAAATAAGGCTGAGACCTACTGGGCTGCATTCCCAGGAGGTTGAGGCATTCTTAGACACAGAATGAGATACGAGATCAGCACAAGATACAGGTCATAAAGACCTTGCTGATCAGGTTGCAGTAAAGAAGCCAGCCAAAACCCACCAAAACCAAGATGGCGATGAGAGTGACCTCTGGTTGTCCACACTGCTACACTCCCACCAGGGCCATGACAGCTTACAGATGCCACGGCAATGCCAGGAAATTACCCTATATTGTCTAAAAAAAGAAAAAGTCATGAATAATCCACCCCTTGTTTAGCATATCATCAAGAAATAACCATAAAAATGGGCAACCGGTAGCCCTTGGGCTGCTCTGCCTATGGAGTAGCCATTTTTTATTCCTTTGCTTTTTTTCATAAACTTGCTTTCACTTTATGGACTTACCTCGAATTCTTTCTTGCACGAGTTCCAAGAACTCTCTCTTGGGGTCTGGATTGGGACCCCTTTCCAGTAACACCTTTGGCTTCCAAGAAGGAGGTTGCATATGACTAATAAGAGCGTGGCATTTGACTCAAGCCTGAGAAAGTTCCAGGGTGACAGTGAGTAGTGAGGGACTGCTGGGGCCCCAGGAGTAAAGTGCCCAGGGAAAGCGGGCTTCTGCGGTTTAACCATCCCAGAATCCCTGTCCCTCTTTTGGGGAGCCATCCCTCACCTGCTCGATGCCCGTATGTTCTGCTCAGGGCAGCCCCCACCCCCCACCTGAGACTTTGGCCCTCTATTCCAGAGGTGGCATGGAACCAACTAGAGCCCACACTCCCTGGGTCAAAGGTGGGAGAGATCCAAGCCAGAGAGCCCTCTCTGTGGTGGGGGCTTCTGGGGACAGGCATATTCTCTGTCGGGGTTGAGGAGGTGGCGGAGTGTGAGGCTGTAGAAGCTGGCAGAGGCCTTTGCAGCCGTGCGTGCCTTGCCTAAGGAGGAGAGCAATGGCCAGGAGAGCGGCCAGAGAGAGCCCAGACTCAGGACGTCCCTTGAGCCCCCGCATCCTGCTGTGCCTGCATCCCCCGACCCCCATGGACATCCTGGTGTCACTAGCCAATAAACTCCCTTTTCTGCTTGCACTAGACAGAACTGGGTTCCTGTCATTAGCAACCGAAAGTGTTCCAGCTAAAAATACACTCGAGATTTTAACTTCTTTAAACCCTCTCCTAAATTATAAATTGCTCTTTTAAATATAATAATTAGTGGTGGTAATAATTTATTCTCAGGTCTTTGAATACAATGTTCTGTTTCATGGGAAACCTGAATTGAGTGGGGAAGCATTGGAGGAAGGTGGTCCTGGTCCCACTAGCCTCCCAGAGGCCTGGCATGTGAATAGCAACACTTTGGCCAAATGCGCTCGGTAGCCATCATAGCCCCAGGGCCTGTGAGGAAGAAATCATCCTTTGGTGACTGACCTGGCAGGTGAAAGAGGTACCAGGGGTGATGGAGGCCCTGAGTGAGGGGGCATCATCAGGGAAGATTGTCCCAACCCACCAGGAGGGGAGAGAACGGGCACAGTTACCTTTCGAAGCATCCCGGCGTAGGTCCTGTGCTGGGCCCTCAGGAGCATCAGGCCTTTCCATACTCAGCAGTCAGGCAGCAGGAAGGTGTCACTCTCCCCATCCTGCTGCCAAGAACCAGGGGCTCAGATGCCACTGACGACTTCCACCCCGGTCCTCTGCCTCCTTTCATGTCCCCCTGTGGATGAGGGGGACATCGGTCATCTCTGACCCTCATGGCGTTCCAGGAGAGAGCAGGAGAGAGATTGCTGTCCTCAGCCTGGAGGCGGGGTGGGGGTGATGAGGACCAGAGGGCCGGGCGCGTTGTCCAGGAGGCTTGGGATGTCCCTGGGACCCAGGTCTCCCTAACTCTCTGCCGTGGGCCGAACTGGGTCCCCCAAAAAGATATTCAAAGTCTTAAACCCCTGTGACCTTGTTTGGAAATGGAGTTCTTCGCAGATGAAATCCAGTTAAGATGAGGTCACCCTGGAGTAGGTTGGCCCCTGAATCCAATGACTGGTTTCCTTGTGAGAGAGGAGAAGAGACCCCCAGTGAGAATGTCAAGTGACAACAGAGATTGGAGTGGCGTGGCCACAAGGCAAGGAGTACCTGGGGCTACCAGAAGCTGGAAGCGGCAAGGAAGGACTCCCCGTGCCCCCACCCCCACAGGCTTCGGAGGGAGCTGAGCCCTGCTGACAGCTTGAGTGCGGACTTCTAGCTTCCAGAATGAGGAGAAAATGCATCTCTTCTGCAGTTGTTGTTTTTGAGACAGGCTCCCTCTGTTGCCCAGGCTGGAGTGCAATGGCAAGCAGCCTCTACCTCCCCGGTTCAAGCAATTCTCCTGCCTCAGCTTCCCGAGTAGCTGGGACTACAGGTGCCCACCACCACGCCCGGCTAATTTTTGTACTTTTAGTAGAGACAGGTTTCATCATGTTGGCCAGGCTTGCCTCAAACTCCTGACCTCAAGTGATCTGCCCGCCTCGGCCTCCCAAAGTGCTGGGATAACAGGCGTGAGCCACCGCGCCCGGCCACATCTCTGTTGTTTGAAGCCACCCCATCTGTGGAACTCTGTTAAGGCAGAGTCATAGGGAACTCACACACCCTGTAAGCTCAGCGTGACCCGGCCACCGGGACATGCAGCTGGGAGTGCTGAGTGGGGAAGCGGGGAGGGTGAGGGAGGGAGACGACTGCCCACTCTAGGTCACAAACGCCCCAGAGTCAGCCTTGGCCCATTAAGGAAGGAGTAATAACACCAGCCTGCTCCCCTGCCCTCTCCTGAGGCTGGGCTGTCATCACAGAGCGCTAAAGACACCTTCCCTTTGAATTGGAAACAATGTCCTCCCAGCTGCAGCACCTGAGCCAGAAGCACAGGAATGCTTTCAAAGGAGGGAGGGTGTGACCCCAAGAGAGGTTCAGATGTTCATTGAGCAGGCCTCCCTGCACCTGGGCCGCCAGGCTGGGTTAACTCCCTCCGCCCCAGGAGCTGTCAGGCAGCAAGCTCCCTTCATTCAAGGCTGCCTTGCCCTGCAGGTGGGCTAGCCACGGCCTCTCTCACTCCTCTCCCCTCTCTCCAGCCCCCTTGATTGCAGTTGCTGGTGGCTGCTTTATTCTGAGGCTGAGTCCTCCCTTTATCCTCTGTCCCAACTCTGGTGGCCTGGCTGGGAGGTCCTGGGCTGAGGCCATAGGCCCTTTGCACCCAGAGCCTACCTCCCAATGCCCCTGCTGACACGGGTCTTGGTTTTGTGCTCTCAGTGGGCCTCACCGCTCTGCCCCGTGCAAGGATGCAGCCGTGCCAAGACCCCAGCACAGGCTTGCCCAACTTTGTGTCACTCCCCGAGACGTTCCCAGCATGTGAAGGTCCAGAAGTCACTAGAAGCCCAGGTGGCTGTTCCCCAGCCTGTAGCCTCTGCCTTCTGAGCCTCCAGAGTACACAGCTGAGTTGTTTACGGCCCTGAACTTTGCAAGCCTCTTACGCAGCATTTCAGCTGCGACCTGGAAGCTTTTGAAATATTAAAATCTTGTTAGCTCCCTGAGCTTTTCCAGGGCTTCGGAGTCCAGTGACTTCCTCTGGTTTCACAAGTCAAATTCAGGCCATGGCTCTTCGCCTCCCTTTGCAGGGTGAGCTGAGGCTTCGAGAGGACGCCTCTCCCTGTCTCCGTCACCTGCCCTTAGCTCTTGGCCTGATGCCTGGTGAAGACTTATGGGTCCTCTCCTGATCCACCCTCACCTTGGCTGTGGCACTCTGATGGGGAGTCCTGGCAGCCACAGCGGCCCCCATAGCGGGCAGAGCTCTGACCCCACTTTATTAGTGGGACCCAGCCCAGCCAGGGCTCGCCAGGGCTCTCTGTTGCCTGACTTGGGATTTCTGCCTGTGTTCCACGAGTCACAGCAGATGAGGTGTTCCGGTTATCTACCGCTGTAAGAAATCACCCCAAAACACAGTGGCTTAAAACACCAAGATTTTATTCTCTCTGATGGCTTCTGTGGACAGGAATTTGGGACACACCCAGCTGGAAGGGCCTAGCCTGGGACCTCAGATGGTTGCAGTCAGATATGCCTAGAGCTGGAACAGTGAGGCTGAAGCCTCTTTTCTTGTAGCCTCTCCTCTCCCGCAAGCCAGAGGAGGAGCCACAGAGGGTTGCTAAGTTCCCTTCATACCAAGGGAGGAAATTTTAAAAAATAAGGACCCACCATCCGTTCTCCCCATCACTTCATAAAAGAATGGATGTGCCAGGTGCAGTGGCTCATGGTTGTAATCCCAGCACTTTGGGAGGCCAAGGCAGGAGGATTGCTTGAGCCCAGGAGCTTGAGACCAGCCAGGGCAATATAGAAAGACCCTGTCTCTACTAAAAATTTAAAAAAGTAGCCGGGCGTAGTAGCATGCTTCTACAGTCCCGTCTACTCTGGAGGCTGAGGCGGGAGGATTGCTTGAGCATGAGCTGTGATCGTGCCATTATGCCACTGCACTCCAGACTGGGCAACAGAGTGAGATCTTATCACTTAAAAAAATGGATGTAGTTATACATCTGAGTGCAAAGGTCAGTTATTCACAGTGGACATATTTGCTTTAGAAAAAACTCACCCCACAGATATTGTTCTCCTTTTGTTCCCCACCAGCAAAAACTTGATCCCAGAGGCACATTCCCTGGCCCTGGACTCCCCTTTCACAGGGTTGGAGCAGGACTCCAAGGTCAAGGTTCCTAACAGCATGGCCCAACCCCAGGCAGCCCCTGTACGCTTCCTCCTGCCTGCAGGACAGAGACCTCTGGCCAGTCAAGGCCACGGATTTCAATAGAAAACCCATCGAGAGCTGCTTGCCTGTCTATGGGGGAGGGAAGATGCTGAAGGCAAGGCTCATACAGGCCGGGAATCTGTCTCCACGCCCCTGCTAGCCTGTGAGAACAGAGGCACTTAGTGTAGTCCAGGATTCATTCTTTTGTCTCCTAGGATCCCTCCCCTTAGAGCTGCCTTCTATTTTTTTTTTTTTTTTTTGAGACGGAGTCTCGCTCTGTTGCCCAAACTAGAGTGCACGAAATCTTGGCTCACTGCCAGCTCCGCCTCCCGGGGTTCACACCATTCTCCTGCCTCAGCCTCCCGAGTAGGTGGGACTACAGGCACCCGCCACCATGCCTGGCTAATTTTTTGTATTTTTAGTAGAGATGGGGTTTCACCATGTTAGCCAGGATAGTCTCGATCTCCTGACCTGGTGATCCGCCTGCCTCGGCCTCCCAAAGTGCTGGGATTACAGGCGTGAGCCACCGTGCCCGGCCAGAGCTGCCTTCTTAGAGTCCCTCGCTCTGAGTCACTGCCTGGAACGTCGCTGGCTGCAGGAAGCCCGTCCTTTTCCTTGGAGCTGAGTACTTCTTGCCCCTTAATTGAATGACCCCATACTGTGGTTTGTCCCCTCATCTTTCATTTGCAGGAAAGCGTTTCTTTTCTGTCTCCTCTTCCAAAAGGTCATTTAAAATCAGATCTCAGCTGTGGGGCACAGGCTTTGAGACTTTTTGTTTTGACAGCCTGGAAGCTTCCTTCTTGTTCTGTTCTGTTCCAACTAGGAGAGGTCGTGCCCAGGTGCCTCATGGATGATGGACAGTTAGAGCCAGCTCCATGGCTCCCGAGAGCCTGGAATTCCATGGGAGGAATGGTGGAAGCTGGTTGTTAAAATGTGGTTGCTTGGCGGGAATCTTTACACCACTGAAATGGGAACCATCCCACACAGTGTCTGACCCCACTTAGTGAGGGGGGTTCAGCCCTGGCTCACGCTGCAATGTCTGGGAGGCCTTTATGTCAAGTGCCTGGGCCGCACCACAAGCTAATCAAATCGAAGTCCCTGGGAGTGAGGCGGGTGCACTGGCATTTTAAATTCCCCTGGTGATTTCAATGCACAGCCAAGGTTGAGAGCAAGGCGAGCGGCTCCTGTGTAGAGATGTCTGCCCCAGGAGACACGATTGATCAGCCAACTCCCTCCCAGGCGCCACTGCTCACTGCCCAAAGCAGGGCTGGGGGCTGTCTGGGAATAGGGCAAGACTTCTCCTTCATTGAAAAAGGCTGATCTATGTCCCAGACCAGCACCTGGTCCGAGGCCAGTTATTTACCCAGTTATTTAACTGAGCTCTTTATCTTCTTGGTCAATAAAAAGCACCATGAAAGCTCTGATATCAGGGAGGGGCGGCCAAGCACACCTTTCCTGGGAAGCACAAATACACCGTGTTTATTAAGGTGCTTGGCGACCTGGGGCGAGTCCCTGCCCCACCCGGAGCATCTGTCTCCAGGTTTAAATGCGGGTGTTTTGCTGAGAGATGGCAAGGCCTCGTCAATGCTGCCCCCTCAGACTGCCCAGGCTGAAACCATGGCCTTTTTTCTTTTAAACACACAGACTCAGAAGGGAGGAGCTGAGCCCAAGGCCCCAGGTAGGGGAGCTGGGCCGGGCTGCCACTGACGTACGGGCTCTAGGTGCCCTGTCTCAGATGGCTCTGCAAAGAAGCTCCGAGACTGGGCCTCCGGGCCTGAGGAGAAGCGTGAACAGGGGGAGGGTGGGGGGCTCCACAGGGGGTCAGGGGCTGGAGGATTGGGGTGGAGCAAACCAGGAACCCACCGTTTCAGGATGTCTTCACTCTTTTTGTTGGCAGCAGCCTCAAAAGCTGAATGGAGCCAACTTCATCATCCTCTTCTGAATGATCTGATTCAAGTGGGGCCTTGCTGGGGAAACTGAGGTCCAGCCACCAACAGCAGTCACGATGCTCCTGTAGCTCCCTTCCCCCAGTTTACTCCCAGAAAGGTCTACATTGTCAACAGCCACAGGGCTGACCCTCATTTCCACGTCCAGGCCCTGGCCAGGGCCATTGCTGGAGCCCAGCTAGGTGTTCTGCTGTGCCCCACCTGGGAGCTGTGCCCCATCCCTCTTCCCTGCAGCACCCACTGACTCGCCTGGCCATGGGGCCTGGGCCCTCACTGTTGCAGTGCTTCCCATTCTGTTCCGTTTCATTTGGAATTGTTCTTCCAGTGTTTAGAGTGTTCCTAGAAAGGGACTGTAAGCGCCACCAGAAGAAAGGTCATTTGGTATCCTGTCCCGATTACCAATTCAGGCAGCATGAAGAGAAGGGAAGTGAGTGGGACTTGGGCCCAGAGAGTCCTGAGTCCAAATCCTGATCTAGTCCGTTAGCAGCCTGAGCCTCTTATTCACCCACAGAGCGGATGAACCCTCCCTGTAGGAGAAGCTGCAAGCTCTTCCCGAGATATCCATTTCCTTGTCTTTCCAGGTACACTCCCCACCCCCTCCATTTTTTTTTTTAGACTAGATCTTGCTGTGTCGCCCAGGCTGGAGTGCAGTGGATCAATCTTGGCTCACTGTAGCCTCAACCTCCCAGGCTCAAGGGATCCTCCCACCTCAGCCTCCTGAGTAGCTGGGACTACAGGAGTATGCCACCACACCCAGCTAATTTTTTTGCTGTTTTGTAGAGATGAGGTATCACTATGTTGCCAAGGCTGGTCTAGAACTTTTGGGCTCAAGCAATCTGCCTGCCTCAGCCTCCCAGAGTGCTGGGATTACAGTGTGAGCCTCCACACCTGGCCTCCAGGGGCACTTTCCATCCTCCTAACAGCTCGGTGTGAGTGAGCTTCAGCCAACTGAAGGCAAATGGAGCAAGGCATGCAATTCCTGTGTCAAGGATGTTATTATAGGAATAGCTGGGTCCCCTCCAAGCTCTGCCAAGCTTTTCCCAGCTGAAAACAGGGGAGATTGAGGCCCTCGTGGCTGGTGACCCTGGGATGGAAGGAGCCTGGGTCTCTGTGTGGTCACTGCACAGAGGAGAGCTTCTACTGGTCAGGGACATCTGCCTTGACTGGGTGTGAGTGAGCAGTAAACCCCTGTTGTGGAGCCGGTATACATTTTGGGTCTATTTGTTATAGCAGCTAGAGTTATCTGAACTAATACGCCGCCTCACAGCTTTGTTGGGAAGATGAAACGAAGTATGTGAAAGGCCTGGCATAGTGCCTGGGACACAGAAAGTGGGGGCACTTATAGATTTTAGTTTCTTTCTTTCCTAATTAAGATTAATTGTTCCCAAGCACATAGGTAGACATGGCCTCAGTCCTTTTTTATGACTCTGAATTGAAGGCTTAGCTTTAAATATTATTAGTTAATATAAATGACATACATAATCGTAAGTATTTTATAATTAGTAGAAGCTTAGACTTTCTTAGGAATCCAGTCTTTAAGGTGCCACTGGCAAAGCTGCACCAATCAAGAGCTTTGGGCTGCAAGCGACAGAAATCCATTTGAAACTGGCTTAAGCAGCTGGACGTGGTAGCTCACGCCTTTAATCCCAGCACTTTGGGAGGCCGAGGCGGGCAGGTCATTTGAGGCCAGGAGTTCGAGACCAGCCTGGTCAACATGGTAAAACCCCATTTCTACTAAAAATACAAAAATTAGCGGGGCGTGGTGGTGGGTGCCTGTAATCCCAGCTACTCAAGGAGGCTGAGGCAGGAGAATTGCTTAAACTCACGAGGCAGAGGTTGCAGTGACCCGAGATTGCGCCACTGCACTCCAGCCTGGGCAACAGAATGAGTGAGACTCCATCTCAAAAGCAAAACAAAGCAACATAACAAACAAAAAAAGAAACTGGTTTAAGCAAAATAAATGATTGAATGATAGGTAAATCCACACATAGCAATGGATAGGCTTGTGATGTGTCCTCAGGTATGGCTGTATCCCGGCACTTAGATGGAGCTTCCAGAGCTCTCTCCCCACCTCTTGGCTGTTGTAGCTTATTCTGCAAAAAGATTCTCATGGGAGGTGGGCAGGATGGTCCGGAGAAGCCATATAGCCACACCCTCTCATGATAATAATAAAACTGGCTGACGCCGGTGGCTTCAGATTTGAAATGAAGTGGGTTTGCCACCACTTCACCCCTAAGCTAGGCTGAACTGCCTGCCAGCCCTGGCACTGCTGGACGAACACAGGCCTCCCTGAGAGCAGGCAGCGAGCAGCCCAGACCCAGCCTGGCTCAAAGGGGAGGAAGGCCCGGGAGGGATGGAGCCTGGAGCTCAAACCCTTTTGGAAACGCCTGTCAGAGGTGCGTCTTCTCCCTCTGCCCCTCATGTTTGTGCTTCAAAAAGAGATTTCAGTTTTGAGTAACACACATTCGGCTGCAGACTGAGCCCTGCCATCAACAGTTATGAGACAGACTTACCGACGCCTCCAGGTCCCTTCCTAAAAACCCAAAGCAGAAATACCTGCTTCTTGTCCCTACAGCTAGTTGGATGGAAAACGAGGTCTCGGGGAATAAGCGGAAGGAAGTGGGAATGTTCTAGGCTGGAGCAGTGACACTTATGGAGGTCATGAGGGCCGTCCTCAACCTCCCTGTGCCGTGCAGCTCTGGAAGGGGGCCCTGGGATGGACACAAAGAAGCTGATTTTGCTCAAACTAAGGAAGCGCTTTTTGGAAGTCAGGGCAGCCAGCGCTGGAAGGGCTTTTCCGGAGGCGCCGAGGGCCCCGTCAGCGGCCGTGAGAGTAGGAGTTGGGAACGTCGGGTGGAATCTGAATCCGAGTTCTGAGTGTGCAGGGCAGGCCAGCGCAGCCACCAAGGCCACGTGCTCATCTGTGTGGAAGGGAGAATGCCGTCCTCACAGGGAGATCAAATGAGGGTGATTGGGGTGCTGCTTTGCAAGAAACATGCTAAGCAAATATGACCATCCTCAGCCCAGGAGACTTCAAGGGCTAAAGGCAACGGGAGCTTCAGGGTCAAGGTGGGGGTGCACCGGCAGGTGGAGTCAGGCCCCGGAGGCCGCGCGGGGCTGTGCTGGCTTGTGAGCACAAGGTGCCCATGGGTTGGCTGGAGCTCTGCAGGTTCCTACAAAATGCCAGGGCTGGCCCCCAGCCCCAAAGGGAGCTCACATCCTAGTGTGGAGGGGAACAGAGATTGAACAAGCACGTAATAATGAGTGAGCTGTGTTGTGGGAGAGAAGGTGGGCAGTGCAACAACAGCCCAGGTTTATTTCTTTAAAAAAACAACAAAAGTCTGGGTGCGGTGGCTCACGCCTGCAATCCCAGCACTTTGAGAGGCTGAGGCAGGTGGATCACGAGGTCAGGAGATCGAGACCATCCTGGCCAACATGGTGAAATCCCATCTCTACTAAAAATGCAAAAACAAACAAACAAAAAAACACAAAAAACAAATTAGCTGGGTGTGGCGGCTTCTGCTTGTAGTCCCAGCTACTTGGGAGGCTGAGGCAGGAGAATCACTTGAACCTGGGAGGCGGAGGTTGCAGTGAGCCGAGATCACGCCACTGCACTCCAGCCTGGTGACAGAGTGAGACTCTGTCTAAAAAAAAAAAAAGCAACAACAAAAAAGAAAAAAAGTGGTGGCAGTTGGTGCTGTGAAAGTGCGACAGGATGAAGATTGTGAGTGTGTGTGTGTGTGAGAGAGTGGGTGAAAGTGAAAGTGTGAGAGTGTGTGTGATTGTGTGGGTGTGAGTGAACCAGTGGGTGTGTACGTGTGTGTATGAGAGTGGGAATGGGTGCAAATGTCTGTGACTGTGTGTGAGTGAATGAGTGCATGTGGGTGTGAGTGAATGGGTGTGTGACTGAATGTGTGTGCGAGTGTGTGTACGAGTAAGTGGATGTATGAGTATGTATGTGTGTGAGTGAGCAGGTTGTTGAGCCGTTATACATTTTGAGTCTGGTGAGTGTGTGCATGAGTGTATGTGGTGTGAGTGGGTGTGAGTGTATGTGGTGAGTGTGAGTGGGAGTGAGTGTGCATGAGTATATGTGGTGTCAGTGGATGTGAGGGTGCATGAGTGTATGTGGTGAATGAGTGGGTGTGTTCATGAGTGTATGTGGGTGAGTGAGCGGGTGTGTGTGCATGAGTGTGTGGTGAGTGTGAGTGGGTGTGAGTGTTAATGAGTATGTGGGTGAGTGCATGTGTATGTGGTGAGTGTGAGTGGGTGTGAGTGAGTGTGCATGAGTGGGTGTGTGAGTGTATGTGGTGAGTGTGAGTGGGTATGAGTGTGCATGAGTGTATGTGGGTGTGAGTGGATGTGAGTGTGCATGAGTGTATATGGGTGAACGTGAGTGGGTGTGAGTGTGCATGAGTGTATGTGGTGGGTGTGAGTGGGTGTGAGTGTGCATGAATGCATGTGGTGAGAGTGGAGTGAGTGCATGAGTGTATGTGGTGAGTGTGAATGGGAGTGAGTGCACATGAGTATATGTGGTGTCAGTGGATGTGAGGGTGCATGAGTGTACATGGTGAGTGTGAGTGGGTGTGAGTGAGTGTGCATGAGTGTATGTGGGTGAGTGTGCATGAGTGTGGGTCGGAGAAGGCTGCAGTACTACATACAGGCCTCAAGGAGAAGCTGGGGTTTCAGTGGGAAGTGGAGGACTGGAAGGGGAGAGTTGGGGTGAAAAGCCTCGGTTGGAGCTGGCCGTCCTGGGGAGCACGGGAGCCCCACTTCCACTCTAGCCACCTCCTCTACAGCAAGCTGAGCTCAGGAGCCTGGCAAGCACAGTGGTGGGGCCAGGAGCTGGGGCACAAGTGTGAAAGCCAAAGTATGCCAAGTGGAGGGACGTCTTTCCCATGGTCTCCAGGGAACCTTCACGTCCCTGTAGTGAGAGGGCCCTGCAAAGAGACAGCTGCAGCTCTTACCTGCGGGGGGCACCCTGAATTGGAGCCCCACATCCGCCCTCACCGCTCGGCCCTCTCCCCAGCTCCCAGCAATGAGGGGGCCGAGTACAGCCCAGGGAGCACTCAGGGAGCCGCAGGTGGCCAGATGCCTGAAGGGGCCTGGCTTGCGCCATGGCCGTGGGCAGGGAGTGGTTTCCCAAAAAAGGAGGGCACTGGGCTGAGGGGTGTGAAGGAACAGCCCCTGGAGTTGGGTGGGGAACAGGGATCAAAGCCAGTGGGGCTTCTGGATCCCCCCAGCATCGTTCCCCTGCCCTGCCACCCTGTGGCTTTGCAGCTGGGAAGACGCAAGACTCACCCGCTCAGCGTCCTCCCTGGGGCTGGAGAGAGGTTTGCCTTCCCCAGTGCTGGAGGATGGTCACCAGCAGGGGAGGGGGCCACACAGTGGCCGCAGCTTGGAAGGCCCCAGGTTCGAGGGGAAGCTGCCCCCATCGTGGGTCAGTGGGCCTCCTTGTCTCAGGAGGAAACCAGGTCGTTCCAGGTCACCACAGGAAGTGATGGATTCTCCACCCAGCAGGGCCTGCGGACTTCGTTTTATCAAACTCTCTGGAGGCACAAATCCATGTGGGTGTCCTTCTGGCTGCTCCCCATCAGCTGGGCTCTAGGCCAGACCCTCCCTACTTTTCTGGAGACATCCCTTGGGGAGGCGGTGGGCTATAGAGCCAGGAGCTGGCCAGTCAGGCACAGGAGGGTCCTAATCCCCCTGGGGCCTGGCACTGGGGAGTTAACTTTGGGGGCCTTCACTTCCTTCTCTGAAAATTGGGAGAACAGATACCTCCTCCTAGGGCGGGGGTCCAATGGGACCATAAAGAAGGCCTTTGGCCCAGCGCCGGTTTGAGGAATTGCTCAGTAATTCCAAGCATCTGGGGATGTGGGCTGAGGGCTTAAGCCTTGGACTGGGCTGCAGAGGTCTGGATTCTGGTCCCAGCCCCGCCACTAATAAGCTGTGGGGTGGCAGGCAAGCCTTTCAATGTCTTGGGGACTGAGTTTCCTCATGTGCACCTGGGAGGTGCCATGCCAATTCCATGCAGAAGAACCTTTGGGACTGTCCCGGGATAGCAGCTGGGAAGGGCTTCCTGGGTAAACGTGAGGCGTGACCGGGCATCCCTACTCGGCTGCCTGCCGGAGGTTTCCGAGGGGCTCCTCACTAGCTCACCGCCCCCAGAAACGTCCTCCTCTTTCATCCCGGACCGTCCGTGAAGGGGTAGGTGGTGCCGTCTGTCATGAGGCCCATGGCAGTGCCTTGTGGCTTCTGACGCCTGCCCTGTGGCTTGCAGGCAGATCCACCACTGTTCTTTCCTTGCCTTGCACTTCCTGTGGGCTACGCATGCTGTACCCATTTCACCAACAGAAGACTGAGGTCCAGAGGGCGTGGGTGTGTGCCGGGGTGCGCGCTGCTGAGTGCGGAGCCAGGGCTAGGCTAGGTCTCCGGCATGTGTCCTGTGTCCTGGACAGCTCCGGTGGGCACCTGCTGCCCCGGACAGTGAAGAGAGCCCTCTCCCTCTCAAGGTGCCTTACTCGAATGCTTGATTCCAGGGCCTAAAACAAAGTCCACTGCGGTTTCCACCACCTCCCAGCTGATTCAATGGGGCTCCACCCAAACCGGGGATCACCGTATTTCCCAATGAATTGGGGTTGGGAAGCGGGGAGAGGTGCCTGTTCCCAGTGGGCACTGTCCCCTGCCTTCTGCCTCAGGCAGATTTTTCTCAGCTTGGCCTTTGCCAGCGCCAGGGGGTGACACCCTTCCCACCCTCTTCCCTCTTCTCCATCCTCCTCAGGGCTCCCTGCAGCCCCAGCCACCTGTGCCTCCCCAGCTGCCCAGAGGGCACAGGCAGGACCTCAGGAAAAGGCACCCATCTGTATCCACCCCCATCCTCACCGTGGAGGACCCATCTTCATCCCCACCCCTGTTCTTCCCATTGAGGGGCCCGTCTTCCACTGACCCCCACCAGTCCTCACCATGCAGAGCCCCAGGACCCCAGCGAAGTCAGCCAGACATCACCAGGTGCCACCTCCTCCTCCTTTCCAGCTCTGTCCAGCTAACTTGTGGTTCCCATGGCACCAATGGACATTCAGAGAAATGTTCTAGATCGGGGGGTGTTGGACAGAGTAGGAGGGATCCCCTCAATTCACATCCAAGCCTGTTGAGGGTGTAATGGAGCCCAGGACCTGTCTCTTGTGGAAGGTGGTTCCCAAACCCAGTGATGCTTAGAAGCATCAGAAGGGTCCTGTGAAGTTCATGGCTTCCTGGCTGCGCTCAGGTACCCGGCTGCCGTGGGTGCGGGTGAGTCATGCCCTGCTCTGGAATGGCTTCCCAGGGGCTCCATTCTGGGAGCATCCTGGAAAAGTACAAAGCCATTACTTACAGGGCAGCACGATGCCAGCTTTCCTTGCCATTGTTGTTGGTTGGGCTGCTGCAGCTGCATACATTTCTGAAAATGCCTCCAGTGGGTGACATTTATCAAATCAAGTGCTTTCTAGCTTTATTCCCCAAATACATAGCCAATTCTCTTTGTAGCTCATGCGCCAGCCCGCCTGGGTGATTTGGTTGGAGAAGAGGTGATGTCTCCCACCAGCAGAGGGAAAGGTGGCGACAGGGCTGGGGAACTTGCTGATATGAAAGCAGGTCCAGCCATTTCCTCCCACTGTCGCCTTTTCTAAGAGTGGCAGGGAGGAGGTGATGGGGTGGGACTGAAAGATCCTAGCCATTTTAGTCTTGTGACACACAAATGCTGGGAAAATACCCAGGCCACCTCTTGCCTCCCTGCAGGCTGCTCCTGTGCCCCGGGCACCATGGCTCAGCATTGTCTGGGAGGAGCTAGAATGTGTGGGCAGCAGCTGCCCTGGCCTAGAATGCTGGCAACTGAAGGGGGCTCAGCCATGGGCCAGCCACCTGCCTGCCCACAGCAGCAGAGGAGTGCTCAGCCCTGTGACCCCGCCCTGGTGCACCTTCCCTTTGCCACCTGTTTGAAGAAGAGTTGGCTAAGAGGATGTGCTGGAGCCCCCTGGCACCTGCCCTGGGCTCTGGGGGCTAAGGAGGACATGCTGGAGCCCGCCCTGGGCTCTGGGGGCTAAGGAGGACGTGCTGGAGCCCGCCCTGGGCTCTGGGGCCTAAGGAGGATGTGCTGGAGCCCGCTCTGGGCTCTGAGGGCTAAGGAGGCCATGCTGGAGCCTGCCGCAGCCCCCCGGGCTGAGGGCGCAGTCCTTGCGGCTGCCACAGCAGTGCTGACTGCACTCCTGCTGCGTACTCAGCTATATACAGCTGCCCCATTTACCCCTTAGAGGCAGAATTTGGTCTCCTCCCATTTTATGGGCAAGAATACAGTGTTTCCCTCCAAGGTCACCCATCTGGTGTTGGTCAGAGCTGGGGTTCCATCCTGCCTCCACCCCCAGCCCTCGACCTTGACATCGTGGCGCCTGCTCTTCCTCTGGACACACCCTGGCCGAGCTTCTCCCAGGGCTGACCCTGCTTCTCAGGACGCACTGGGGAAGCCCTTGGCAGAACCTCTGGGATGGAGGAAATCAACTGGAGACTCAGCCTCACTCCTGACCTTCAGGAAGTCGCTCCCCTTCCTCTATAGGAAGGACACGGAGAGGCCGGAATGGTCTCCAGGTCCCTCCGGCCCCCACGCAAAGCTGTAGGGCCTTCGACTGTTCTGGGAGGGGCAGGAGGCCAGTCCTTTGGAGGATGGTTCCTTCAGGGTAGCCCCTAAGTAACGGCAGCAGCAACGCTCCAGCCGTGTGGACAGCACTGGGGGTTGGCAAAGCCGGTCTGAACGTCCCCTCTGATTCACTGGTGGCTCCTCACTTGCGACCCCTGAGCCTCGCAGGCAGCACAGCCACACCTGGGAGTCAGGTAAGGCGGTGAAGGCCAACGTGAGGACTGTGCCCACCGCCCCTCCCGGAAGGGAAAGTCCTTTCTCCAGCCTCTGCCTCTGTATGAATACAGCATGGAAGAGGGCACTGTGGAATCTCAGGTGGTTGAGGTCACCTAATTGCAGCCCATCTCTGTGGGTAAGAAATTGAGGCTCAGGGTGGGCTTGCGACTTGCCCAGGGTCATGTGACATTGGTGGCAGAGCTGTCCAGCAGGCCTGCTGTTTGGACGGGTCTCTGCTGCTCACGTGTATGTCTGAGGCTGGGTCAATCATGGCAGCATGTCTCTGGCCTGGACCTCCCCACCTCCTCCTTGCAGACCCTCTGGTTGGCGTTGATGGTCCTGACATCCTGACATCCTGCTACCATGGACTACTACATCGTTGGCCTTGGTGTTTGTTGGTTTTGAGACAGGGTCTTGCCCCGTCACCCAGGCTGGAGTGCACTGGCACGACCACAGCTCACTGCAGCCTCAACTTCCTGGGCTCAAGGGATCCTCTCACCTCAGCCTCCAGAGCAGCTGGGACTATAGGGGCATGCTACCATGCCTAGCTAATTTTTAAATTGTAGAGCTGGAATTCTGCCATGTTGCCCAGGCTGGTCTCAAATTCCTGGACTCAAGTGATCCTCCCACCTGGGCCTCCCAAAGTGCTGGCATTACAGGCATGAGCCACGGCACCCAGCTGACCTTGGTGTTTCCAGGGCAGCACTTGGCCCCCTCTTGCTCGTCAGTCCTGAGCCCGAGTGAGGCCAAGTGTCTGTTTCCTTGCGGGCTCAGCGGCAGCCCCTTCCTACCCCCCCGGCTTGCAGAGGAGGGTCCAGGGCTGTGCTTGGGTCCTGAGTCCTGGAGTCAGGCAAGGCAGGGCTCCCAGGTGGGCCCTGCATCTAGGCTTTGGGGCCAGGTCTCTCTAGAGCCCACCCATCATGGGGGGAGCTGGCCGGTGGGACATCTGGGTCCCCAAAAGGAGCTGTCCTCTTTGGTTGGTTCCCATAAAGTCCCTTCCTCCACACTCCCAGCTCTGTGCAGGGTCTTCAGGATGCACGGGCAGCAGAGGGGCCTCCTTGGGTCCCTCCAGAGGCTGGCCGTGCTGGCCGGGCTGGCCGGGGTGGAGGCACCCGCCCCCGTAGGCTTCCATCCCACTCCCACCCCAGGGTCCGCAGGCAGCGTGTCCACACCTACTTAATTCTCTTTTAAATGGAAGGGAAAAAATAGCAAAGAAGAGTCCCAGGTGCTCTAAAAGGCTTTCACAGGCTCCGAGCAATTAGGAGGCTGGGCTGCGGGAAGCGCTGAGTGCTGGGAGGTTACTCAGGGAGGCAAAGTCACGTGCAGAATTTTCCATTTCGCCCTCCTCCAATAACAGCCTGTCCATGTGAGGGACACGGGGGAGTTCACACTGCCCTCCCTGATGGTGTCCGGGGGCATGCAGGCAATGGCCCCTCCCGAAAGGAGAAGCACCAGCACTGCCTGTCCTTGGGAGCCCTTCGGGGCTTCTTTCTAGTTCCTTCAACCCCTACTGCGTGTGCTGCCCCTGCTGGCGAGGCCGGCCCCCAGCGCAGACAGGGCCTCATCGGTAGCTGCACTCAGGGTGCTGTTGGGGAGGAAGGCACCAGCACTGTACACCTTAGCCCAGCCCAGAGTCATAGGCCCTCCTATGTGCAAGACCCCAGGGAAGCACAGGGCTTCAGAGGGGCTTAGTGTGGTCCCCCTTACGATCCTGGACTTTCATGGGGGAATGGTTAGAAGGAGGCAGAGAGCCCACTCTTGAGGAGTACCTCCCACAAGATGCCCTTTGCCTCTTCCGCAATAGCCTCACAGTGCAGGGTCTCAGCCTGCGGACAGCTCAAGGGACCTGGCGGTGCTGGGCCTGGCTGAGAACAACACACGCTACATGGACCCACATGCACCCCACTCACACCCCCACGAGAACCACCTAGTACCTGCAGCTGCACCGGGCCAGAGGCCCAGGGTCCTCTGCAGGTGTCTTCACTTCCCTGAGCCTCCGCATCCTCGTGGGTCAGAGGGCAGAAGCCTGGGGACCTCTGCAGGCATCTTAACTTCCCTGAGCCTCCGTATCCTTGTGGGTCGAACAAGGCCAGCCACATTGACCTCCCTGGGAAGTGCCATCCTCCTAGGCGTGTCCCCAGAGGCCGGCCTAGCACAGAAGGGTCTGGAAAGGGCGGCTGCTGCCATCACACGCGCACAGCACACACGCACGTACACATTAACAACCCTACCTCAGGGAAGCAGAGGGCTGAGCCGAGGGTCTGCAGGGAAGCCTTGGGAGGGAGGAAACTGAGGCAAGCACGGGGCCTGGGTCAACATCTCCAGGTGGAAGGGGGTGAGGCTGAGGGCTTGGGGGGACTGGGTGCAGGGTGGGAGGGGGCTGCTGGAGAGAGGGGGTTTCACAGTCCTGCCCTCCCCACAGAGGAGCTGCGTGGGTAGGCTGAAGCTGTGCCACCTCAGGCCTTCCTCTTAGCCTACTCCCGCTTGCCTGTCCCTGTCCCCTGAGCTATCCTAGAGCACCCACCCTCCTATGGTGTCCAAGCGACTAGAATCAGACCTGAAAGAAGGAGGTTCCTTCAGGCAATGTTTGAGGAAAGACCAGCCGGGGCCGGCATAGAAGATGCTTTTGCCCTAACCCTAGCCCTGACCCTTCCTGCGGGGAGCTCAGCCCTTCGGCCCTGCCCGCTGGCCCCCTAGGCCACCCTCTTGGGTCCCAGGCCTGGGAGCATGTGACCTGCATCCCGGGGAACCCAGGACTGTCCTTCCCCTGCAGGCCCAGGGGAAGGGCCCTGCACCCAGCATGGGGTGAGGGGTGGCAACAAACCTCTCTAGAGGGAGACCCAGAGCTTCCTCCTTTCAGCCATGGCTCCCATAATCAAAAGCCCCAGCCCATGGCCACAGCCAGCATTACCCAGAGCCCAGACGCAGAGATTAATCGGCAGGAGCAAACACCGCCAGCCCCGTGGCACACGGCAAACAGAAGGGGTGAGGCCCGGCCTGGGGGCCGTGGGCAGAGGCCACCGGGGTATGGCTTCAGTCAGCAGGCCCCAGCAGGCTGGCCACGGCCACTAAAGGTGCCGCAAAACAAGACTGGGAGGAGTAGCGTGGAGCTTTGGTGCTTGGAGTGATTCATCCTCACACCCACCGGGGGCAGGGCTCACAGAGGGGCTGGGGGTGGGGAGCCTGGACTGTCCACTTCATGAAACGGGTGCTCTCAAAACTCCCCCTCCCTTGGCCAAACTTCCGCCCCCAGCCCCTGCCTCGCCGCATCCTTTCAAGCAGCCTCTTCTTTTTGGCCCAGGGATTTTTGTAAACCAGGTCAACCAAAGGCACTTCGAACTCAACCTTGCATTTCTAATAATACTCAGATTCATGGGCAGCGCTCACCAACGGTGGATTGGCCCCACACCTGCTGCTGAACACCCGAATCACTGCTTTCCATCTGCCTCCAGGCCAGGCCCGTCTTGAGCCAGCCATTGGTCTGAAGAAAGATCAAGGGGGTTGCCTCATTTCCCATTTGTTGCGCAGGGAGTTCATTGGTTGTGACGCAGGGCGTGCCCGATGCCGCGGCGTGTACAGAGAGGGACTCCAACTTCCTTCCTCACTCTTGTTGCCGATTCATGGAGCTGAGCTACAGATTTTAGCTGAATCTTGGCCTGGTTATCCAATCCCCTCTCTGTGCCTCAGTTTCCCCAACTAAAAGTGAGAAGGTTGCAGCAGACACCACTAAGCCCTCTGGTAGCCCTGGGCCCATATCTAGTGAACTCAGGGTCTTTCTGAGGAACACCCAGGCTAGCGTCCCCAGCCAGATTCCATGTGGCCAGTTGGCTAAGCCATGTCCTGACCAGATATAGAGACCCTCACTTTCAGCCTCCACCCTAAATCCAGATGCCCCCTCCCCGGAGCCGGGAACTGAGATAGCTTGAAGCACCCTGTTGCTCCCCCTTTCTGCAGAGGTGGGCACGGGGAAAGGAGGTGACCCCAAGAAACTGCATTTGACCTTCGCTAAAATTAGGTTCCAAGCCCCAACGGGCAATTGAAATGAGAAAACAAATTGAGGGCATTGGCGGATGTTAAAAATATGTGACTATATTAATGGAAGCAATGAAAATGAGGACTCCTGTAAGCAAGCAAAGCGCGCGCGGCTGTCATTATTTCCGATGCAGAATCATGGAGCACCCGGTTCCTCCAGGTCCCGCATCCTGCAGAGACAGGGAACTGAGGCCTGCAGACAGTGGCGACACCCAAAGCCTTCTCACAGAGCAATACCAGAGCCAGGCCAATCAGGCGGGCACCATCCCTCCCTCCAGGAGCTTCCTCTGGTCTAGGAAGTCAACAGTCGGGGAGGTCCCCTTGGAGCCTGGGGTGCACCCCTTGCTGCTCTCTGAAGGAACTGGGCTCCACGGGGGGGCGGGAGGCTCCTCAGGGCCCCACGGGCTATGACGAGCTTATACAAAGTGATGACGACAATGAGCTTCTGGCAGTGCCTGGCATACAATAGGTGCCTAATAAACCTCGGTTATTATCTTCATGATTAATATTGATCGGTGGAGTGGAGTGACGTGGAACAATATTTGCAGGAAATTATTTCTCCTCTGCAGACAGAGTAGGAAGAGTGATGCCAGGGCTGGCCCGGCTCCGGGAGGCCTCAAACACTCTGGGAGCCAGTGTGTGGGCAAGGCGGGGTCTCTGTGGGGGATTCACACGTGGCTAGGACAGCCCCTTCCCTCACCCCATCTGGGAGTGATTAAAGCCAGGCTGGGTCCTGAGCTCTGAGGAGAAACCCTGTGGCTCTGAGAAAACACAAGAAGCCCTGGCCCTGCCAGGTGCCCTGCGGAGGCCATCCTCGCTGGCGACGACACAAGAACTTGACCTGTTCCCTCCGCTGTGACCTGGGGAGAGGGGCTGACAAGCAGAGATGCTGGCAGGACACCTGCCCATGTGTCACTCCCACAGCCTAAATGGCACCCACTGGATGTCGGACTCCAGGTTGGGCACTGGGGAGAGGCTGGAGAGAGATAGGCCCGGGCCAGGAGTCGCAGCCTGGTGGGAAAGGCGAGCTCAGAGCCATGACCCAAGGCAGAGCGGTGGGGTGGGTGGTGCCCGTGCTCCGGTATCCAGAGAGGGAGGCCACATCAGGAGGGGAGGGCCCGAGGGCTTCTCAGAGGAGGTGGCCCAGGCCTGGCCACCCTGCCCATAAGGTGTGACCCTACCAGTGAACCTGTGGCATAGGCAGGACAGAGGTCAGTGACCCATTAGGTTCAGAGAGGTCGTGTGACTTCCACAACGCCACACAGGCAGAGCAGGGCTGGAGTAGGAGCGTACCCCCAAGACATAGATGCTATGTCCCACACTCTATCACTCCCCACAACCCACAGTCCGTCCCGGGGCATGCCGGGTCCACACTCTCTATGACCCCCTGGCCTCTCCCCCCACTCAAACCCTGTCCCTTCTCACTGCGATGCCCGCCGGAGGCCTCACGTGGCCTCCTCGCTTCCACACTTGCCTCTCTACGACCTGTAATTCCGCCAGCAGCCTGTGTGCTGGTTCAGAATCCTAAACTGTATTCCTCTTCTGCTTAAACTCCCCAGTGGCTTCAATCACAGCTAAAAGCCACACTCTTTATAGGGTCTTGCAAGCCGGGTCTGGTGGCCTCTGTCCCCTGCACCTTGGTCACTCTCCGGGCTTCTTGTGCTCCCTGAACACCTCCGGCTTGCCTCCTCCCAGGCTCTGGTGTGTGCCATCCTCTCTGCCAGCAGCGATTTTTCCTCCGACCGGCAGAAGTCTGGTTTTTCCTGTGGCTCGGGCCTCAGCTTCGTATCACCTCTGCAGAGAGGCTCTCCGTGGTAGGAGACAGAGTGCTGGGATGTGACATTTGGGGTGATGGTGGGGAACTGGGAGAAATACGGCTGTGAACAAGAGATGTACGAGAAAGTCCCACGGGCATGTCCCTACCTACTGAGGCTTCCCCAGTCGTAACATCTCGCACAACTATAGTGCGATACTAAAACCAAGACACTAGCACTGGTGCAATCCACAGATGTTACCGGTTATACATGCACTCCTGCGTGTCTGTGTGTGTAGCTCTATGCAGTCTGATCGTACACACAGTCTTGCATAATCCCCGCCAGAATTAAAAGCTGCCCCATCGTGCCATGCCGGGCCCCCTCGGCTTACTCCTTCACAGCTACACCTGTCTCTTCCTCGCCCAATCCTAATCCCTGGCAAACACGAATCTGTTCCCCATTGCCATGATCACGTCATTTAATGAGTGTTACATAAATGGAACCGTGCAGTATGTATCTTCTCAAGCTTGGCTTTTTCTAATCAGCATCCTTCCCTTGCATTTCATCCAAGTTGTTGTGTATTAGTAGTTTGTTTCTTTTTACTGCTGAGCAGTATTCCATGGTATGGATGTGAAAGAGTTCGTTTAATCATTCACCTGTTGAAGAACGTTGAATAGTTCCCGGTTTGAGGCTACCGCGAATAAAATAAGCTTTAAAAAAAAATCCTATGGGCCACTATATAGAGAATGGATTAGAATGGAGCAAAAAATGGAAGTGGAGAGAAGTGCTTTGACCGTGGCCCAGGCGAAAAGTGATGGTGGATTGAACCAGGCTGCTGTTGGAAGAGATGGGGGAAAGGGGCCATATTCAGGTCATGCTTTGGAGGGAGTCAGTAGGACCAGTTGATGCTCCCAAGGAGGTGGGGAAGAGGGAAGAGGTGGATGGGGGATGGGGACAGGAGTTGAGTTGTGGTAGACTTGTAGAAAAGCTTATTTTTGCCCCAAGGGGGAGGCACTCGAGTTTCGCGTGGGCCCTGGCAACCCTGAGGCACCTGTCGGTACTCTCATGGAGGTGGTTTTCTGAGAAAAGCCCAGGGCTGAGATACAGATGAGAAAGACTGGAGTCTAAGACCCAGCAGGGTCACTTGGGCATCGCCGGCCCAGCCATCAGCAGGAGGAGACAGAGAATACCAGGCAGCCAGAGGGGGCCGTGTGGGTGGCTGCAGAGGGAAGAGAAGGGAGTGTCCCTGAAGGAGTGTGTCGCCAGCCACACTGAATGCCCTAGGAGCTCAGGGAAGATAATGACGAAGAAGAGACCATTTGACTTGATGACAGGAAGTCACTGGTAACCTTGTCCAGAACAGTCTCAGAGGATGGTGGGAAGAGCCTGGTTGAACGGGTGGAGGAGAAAGCCAGGGTGAGGATGTTGGGCAGTAACTAAAGATGATGCTTTTAGAAAGTTCTTCTGGGAAAAGGGGTGGGGGGCTTAAGGGGTGCAGCCCAAGAGGGGGCTTTTGTTTCCCGTGGTGGAGACAGCACCGCACCTGTGTGCACCAAGGGAATGATGCCCGAGCGAGAACAGGACAGAGGGACCTAAGAAGTAGGTGCACTGAGACCTAGAACACAGGTGGGAGCCTGGCCTTGGCAGGGAGTGGGGACGTGGCCTCCGTGGTGACAGGAGGGGAGCAGTGAGCTGGGCCCAGATGCCTGGGGCTAGTAGCCTCAGAGACGCAGCCATAGGAGCATGGCAGGGTTGCCTCTTGCTCCTTAATTACGGGGCAGAATCATCCGCTGGCGATGTGCAGGAGGGACGGCAGTGGTAGGTTTGGAGAGGAGGAGGTGTGACATTATTTGTGACATATTTGAGTGGGGAAAAGAACACATTTGAGAAGGACAACACCGAGTGCCCATTGATATTGAGCCTTGAAATTTCTGGCCGTGACCTTGGTCTGTGACCATTCAGAAGGTTCTCTGTCTCCAGGAATGTTGATCTTCTCAAGTAGAGACATAGAGCTTTGACTGGTACTGGGGCCTGGGCCATGGAATTGGATGAAGAGAGGAAGAGCTGAGGAACCTGAGTGAGTTTGCAATGCAGGGATGATGACGAGGAGCCGGGGGTTTACAGTGGGTAAAGAGGGAAGTGTAGACATGAGGGTGACTGATAGTGACGAGGATGAATTGTCAGTAGTTGGGGGTCTAAGTGAGGTTCAAGAATTGATTAGTGGCCCAGCTTGCACTTGTAATCCCAGCCCTTTGGGAGGCTGAGGAAGGCGGATCGCTTGAGCCCAGGAGTTTGAGACCAGCAGACCAGCCTGGACAACAGAATGAGACCCCATCTCCATGAAAAAATGCAAAAATTAGCCTGGCGTGGTAGCACGCACCTGTCGTTCCAGCCACTTGGGAGGCTGAGGTGGGAGGATTGCTTGAGCCCGGAACGAGGAGGCTGCAGTGAGCACAGGTCACACCACTCAGCCTGGGCAACAGAGCAAGACTACAGCATGAGGTACCCAGGAAGGGCCCTCCCACTACCACACTGATGGATTCTGGAAAAATTACAGCAAACATATTTCTTAATGTATTGCTGAATTCACAAGAGAGTTAAAAAAAATCTCCAAGCAACGTCTTCATGTCTGCTAAAAAGAACTGTAAGCTGAAACCTGAATAAAGGATTGTAAGCAAATGAGAAATGGGGAAATGCAACTCAGCTCTGAGATTGGGAAGTTAAGCTTTGGGACCACTATAAGATTGTGAAGTTAAACTTGAGACTTCTACATTGTTGTGGGAACTGTGATGGGGCTAAAGGGGTTCGAAGTAGTAGAATTGCCTAGTTCCCCAAAGAAACGAACGCAAACCCTCTCTGGAGGACAACATCCCTCATTTAGGCCCACAGGGTTCCCGCACATCAAATGAAACAAACATGAGTTCATAATCACAGATCACCACATGCATAAGGAAACAGTTCATCATAAATCGTAGAGCAGAAACAACCACAAATGATTAAGTCTCTCAGAGATGTCAGATATTGAAATCCTCAGATACAAATTTGGAAACAGCTGGATGGAGCAATTAGATAAAATGTTTAAAGAATAAAGGGTAGAATCCCAAAGTGGAACAGACAACTAAAGCCTATTTGGTATGATCAAACAGATGAGAAAAAGAGCTAAATGAAACATTTAGGACCAAAAAATATAATCATTGAAATAAAAATTCTATTGGATGAGTTAAATAGAAGATTAAACACAGTTGAGGAGAAAATTAATACTTAATAACACAGCTGAGGAAATTGCCAGAACACAGAATAGAAAAATAAATAGTTAAAAAGTATGAGAAAGAAATTAAAAGATATAGAGGACAGGATGAGAAGGTATATAATATATGCTACATGGAGTTATATAAAGAGCAGATAGAGACACTGAAAGAGACATAATGACAAAATTTTCTGTAAGGATGAAAAATAAAATCTAGAAATTCCCCTAACACAAAATTCTCAAGCAGAAGAAACAAAAAGAAATCCATACCTAGTTAATTCCTTGTAAATCTCAGATCCCCAGTGACAGATAGAATTTATATAGTATATATATATAAAATTCTATTATATATATTCTATATATGTATTCTATATATATTCATCTATCTATCTATCTATCTATCTATCTATCTATCTATCTATCTATCTATCTATCTATCTATATGATAGCCAGAGACAAAAAGCAGAGAAGTCGAGGATGGAATAACAATTAGGCCAGCAGCAAATTCCTCAACAGCAACGATAAAATTATAAAATGATATCTTCAAAATTTCAAGAATAATGTTCAAATAAAGGTATTTTCAGATAAAGAGCAGATGCTCAACTTCATTAGTAATAAAGAAAATTAAAATTGGATCACATTGAAATACCATTTTACTCCCACTTACATTGGTAAAAGAAGTCTGACAATACCAACTGTTAGGGTGAATATGGGTGCTATGGAAACCCTCATACACTACTGGTGAAAATATGACACTCAGGGGCCTATTGTATTGGCCATTGGTGTATTTTCTTTGGAGAAACCTCTGTTCAAATCCTTTGCCCATGTTTTGATTGAGGGTTTTTTTTAAATGATGGAGTTGTAAGAGTCTTTCATATGTTCTGAATAAAAAATCCCTTAGTAGGCTCACACCTGTAATCCCAGCACTTTGCGAGGCTGAGGTGGGTGGATCACAAGTCAGGAGTTCAAGACCAGCCTGGCCAATAAGGTGAAACCCCATCTCTACTAAAAATACAAAAATTAGCTGGGCGTAGTGGCACACGCCTGTAGTCCCAGCTGCTTGGGAGGCTGAGGCAGGAGAATTGCTTGAACCTGGGAGGCAGAGGTTGCAATGAGCTGAGATCATGCCACTGCACTCTAGCCTGGGCAACAGAGTGAGACTCCATCTCAAAAAAATAAATAAATAAGTAAAATAATAAAATAAAAATCTTAGTAGATATAAGATTTGCAAATATTTTCTTTCATTCTGTGGGTTGTCTTTTCACTTCCTTGATGGTCTCTTCTGAAGCATAAAAAAGGTTCTTGAAAGTTATGATTAAGTCCAATTTATCTTTTTTTATAAATCATTTGTGATTTTGGTGTCATATCTAAGAAACTATTTACCTATCCAGGAATCATGAAGATTTATGGCTATGTTTTCTTCTAAAAGTTTTATAGTTTTCACTCTTACATTTAGGTCTTTAATCTATTTTGAGTTAATTTTTATTCATAGCGTGGGATGGGGGTCCAAATTAATTTCTTTTGAATGTGCGTATCCAGCTGTCCCAGCACCATTTGTTGAAAAAACAATCTCTTTCCCCATTGAATTGTCTTGGATCCATTGTCAAGAATCAATTGACCATAAATGTAAGGGTTTATTTTTGGACTCTCAATTCTATTCCATTGGTCTATATGTCTGTGTCTTATGCCAGTATCACATTGTCGTGGTTACTGTGGCTTTATAATAAGTTTGAAATTGGGAAGTGAAATCCCTCCAACTTTGTTCTTTTTTATGATGTTTTTACTATTCCAGGTCTCTTGGATGTGAATTTTGTAGGGTCGGCTTATCAATTTCTGCAAATAAAGATGAGATTTTGACAGGAATTGCATTAAATCTGTAGATCAATTTGGAGAGTACTGTCATCTTAACAAAATTAAGTTGTCTGATCTATGATTATGGGATTTTTTTCATTTATTTAGGTCTTCTCTAATTTTTTTCAACAATGTTTTGTAGCTGTCAGAGTATAAATCTTGTACTTCTTTTGTTAACTTTATTCCTGAGTACCTTTTGATGCTATTATAAATTGAATTATTTTCTTGATTTTTTGGATTGTTCATTGATAGTGTATAGAAATATAATTTATGTTTGTACACTGATCTTGTGTCCTGCAATGTTGCTGAACTCGTTTATTAGTCTTACAGTTTTGTTATTGTTTTTTTTCTTGGTTGGTTTCTCAAGATTTTCTGTATATAAGCTCATCTGTGAATAGAGGAAGGTTTTCAATTTGGATTCCTTTTATTTATTTAATTTATTTTTAAAAATTTTGGCCAAATTATCACGGTAAAAGCTTTCAGTACAATGCTGAACAGAGGTGTCAAGTGCAGACATCCTTCTCTTGTTCTGGATCACTGGGAGGAAACATCCAGTCTTTCACTATTAAATATGACATTAGCCATGAATTTTTCATAGATGCCCTTTATGAGACCGAGAAAGCTCCTGTCTCTTCATGCTTTGTTAAGTGTTTATCATGAAAAGGTGTTCCATTTTGTCAAATGTTCTTTCTGTGTCTATTGAGATGATCATGTGTTTTTTGTCCTTTATTCTGTAATTACAGTGTATTACATTGAGTGACTTTCATATGTTGAACCAACCTTGCATTCCTGAGATAAATACAACTTGGTCATAGTATATAATTCTTTTTTTATATTTCTGGTTTCTGTTTGTGGTATTTTGTTGAGGATTTTTTTGCATCAATATTCATAAGGGATGTTGGTCTGTAGTTTTCTTGTGATATCTTTGTCTGGTTTTGATATCTGGATAATACTAGGACCTTATTGAATGAATTGGGAAGTATTCATTCTTCTATTTTTTGGAAGAGATTGTGAAGGATTAGCATTCATTCTTCTTTTGTAGCATTTACCAGTGAAGCCATCTGGGCCTGGGTTTTTCTTTGTGGAAAATTTTTAAATTACTAGTTCAGTCAGTTCATTTGTTTTGATTCTGTTCAGATTTTCCATTTCATCCTGAGTCAGTTTTAATAGCTGTTTATGCATAGTAAGTTTTTAAAGAATTGCTAGAGTAGAGATAATAGAGGAGGTGAGGTAGAAAGAAATGAGCTGTTCCCCAGAGGGTGTGATGCTTAATGTTAAGATTTCAGATGAAATGTTTTTATTAATGACAACAGGGTCAAAGGAAAACATTGCCCTTTTCTTGGCACCATCCTATTCAACCTTCCCATCTCATCCTGGCTACCATGCTCCCTAATGGCTTCCTGGATCTCTCAGTCTAGTTTAGGTGCACCCCCTGAGTGCTCCTTCTGTAAAACACTTGTCATGCTGCATTGCAATGGGATGTTCAATAATCTCCTCCTGTAGAAGTTTTGTGGGAAGAATGGTTTGTTTGCCATGTTCACCCAGTGTTTGGCACATCATAGGGCTTCCTCAACACTTGTTGAATTTGATTGACAACATGGGCCATCATCCTGAGGATTTCCTTTGCCTTTCTTTTATATTCAGTCCCCCATTTCCTGAATTCCATGTGTTTCTATTTCTTAATTTGCTAGTTTGCTTTCTCATTTTGAGGAACATATGTTCCAGTAGCTTCTTAAGGAAGGAATATGCAATATAGTCCTTTCATATCTGAACTGTCTCTCTTCTACCTTCACACTGATATTCATTCTAGTTTGGAAAACACCAGCTTCCAGGACTGCTGTTGGAAAGATGGGTGTAGTTTTAATTCTTATTTTTTTTTTGGATGTAGATTTTCTTTTTTCTTCTGGAAGCATTTTAAGAACTTCTGTATCTCAGGTGTTTGGGATTTACTTGATGGAACACCTTCACATGCTAGGCCAGCGGTTCTCAACCTTTACCTTACACACATCAGAATCACCTGGAGGGAGGGATGCTGCTGCTGTCCAGGGACCACTGTTTGAGAACCACCGTGCCAGGCCATCAATGGGCCTTCAACCCAGAGTCGTGTCTTTCAGTCCTAGAAGGTTCAGTATAATTATATATAATATATATATAATTATATATATTTGTATATTATAATGTACATGTATATACATATACAAATATAATTATATAATATAATTATACTATATAATTTAATTATATTATATAATGTATATAACATATACATATAATGTATCTAATGTATATATAATTATATATATAATATAATTATATAATGTTTGTTGGCATCTTGGTTGATTGGTCTTTCTTTTTCCTCTTCTTCTTCTTCTTCCTCCTCTTGTTCTCCTTCTCCTTTTTCTTCTTCTTCCTCCTCCTCCTCCTTCTTCTTCGTCTTTGTCTTCTTCTACAGGATTTCACTGTCACCCAGGCTAGAGTGCAGTGGCATGATCATAGCTCATTGCAATCTTGAAGTCCTTGGGTCCAAGTAATCTTCCCATCTCACCCTCCTGAGTATCTTGGACTACAGGTGTGCACCACTATGCCAGGCTAATTTTTATTTTTATTTTTTTTAGAGATGGGGTCTTGCTGTGTTTTCCAGGCTGGTCTTGAACTCCTAGCCTCAAGTGATCTTCCTGCCTAGGCCTCCCAAAGTGCTGAGATTACAGTTGTGAGCCACTGCACCCAGGCTGATTAGTCTTCTAACCTTCTGAAATTCCTATTAACATGCTGAACCTCCTAGAATAAGCTCTTCATTTGCTTTTCTCTCCATTTCCCCCCGGTCATTTTGTTAATCTTTCAAGGAGATTTTAGCTTCCAACTCTTTCTATTGAACTTTTCCTTTGGGTGATCATATTTTTGATTTTCAGCTCTTTCTTGTCTATGAATTTTTAAAACAAGCACTCTGTTCTTACTTCATGATTGCAATATCTTCTCTATTCCTCTGAGGATGCTGATTTGGTTTTTTAAAACTTCTCCTTGCAGAATTTACTCTCCCCACTCCACCTCCAAGTTTCCCCAAGCTGGTGTTTGTCTTTGATATGAGAGCTTTTCTCAGATGTCTGGGAGCCTTGGCTTGACTCATGTGTAGAGTGAGACACCAGAGGCTGACTGGAAGACTGGTGTGTGCATGCGTGTGTGTGTTGTGTGTATGCCTGTGTGTGTGCATGTGCGTGTGGTGGTGGGAGGGGTGCTTGTTGACTGATCTGTGTCACAGAAGGGTGATTAGGTGGCCAGTTGGGTTTTGTCTGTGAGAGGTCCCTCACAATATCTTATTTGCAGTTATCCCTCTTAGGGTGATTGTGTTTCTCTAGTAAAGAGTCCTCTCATGTCCTGCCAGGGGATATATCTCCAGCTGTTGGGGTTCTAGGAGGGGCACCCCACAATTCCCATGGCACTTGCCTAAGCCACTCCCACTTCACCCACCACCTCCTACTGTGCCCGGAGTTCCCAATTCCAGAGCCTTCTCAAGCTCTCCAGTGGATGGACTTCCTGCCTCTCCTATGGTGGTGGCAGCAGTGGGGAGAGGGGCAGGAGGAAACCCTTGGTGTTTGTGGTTGTCTAGGGAACCTAACCACCCTACATTTGAATTGTCATCCAGTCTCCCTGCTTATTTTCTGCCCTTGCCTCTCTCTGCTGCCTTCTGTGGGACCTGGTGCCTCCAAGTTCACCCTTCTTGACTTCCTTTTCTGTTATTTTAATAGCATTCACTGGAGGAGGAAATAAACAGGTGTGTTTAAGTGGACGTTCTCTGGGCGATTTTTCTGTTTTTTTGTTTTGTTTTGTTTTTTGAGACGGAGTTTCACTCTTGTTGCCCAAGCTGGAGTGCAATGGTGCAATCTTGGCTCACTGCAACCTCTGCCTCCCATGTTCAAGCAATTCTCCTGCCTCAGCCTCCCGAGTAGCTGGGATTATAGGCGTGTGCCACCAGGCCCAGCTAATTTTTTGTATTTTTAGTAGAAATGGGGTTTCACCATGTTAGCCAGGCTGGTCTCGGACTCCTGACCTCAGGTGATCCCCTGCCTCAGCCTCCCAAAGTGCTGGGATTACAGGTGTGAGCCACCGCGCCCTGCCCCCTGGGTAATTTTTCTGTCCCTGAAGTTGGCATACGCCCACCCAGTGTCAAATTGAGCTCTCCCAGCAGGACAGGACTCCCCAGCAGCTGCCTGCCTCTCGCTCCTTGCTCTGACTCCGAGGGGCACACAGTTGCTTCTTCAAGCCTCCAGCCTTTTGCTCACGCCATTCCCCTTCCCAAAAACACCCTTCCTGGCTAAGACGCAGTGAGGGTGCGCCTCTTCTGGAGAGCTGCAGGACTCTTCCTGTTCCAGCCCCCAGGCTCCTGCATTTGTCTCCCGTTTGTCTCCTACTCCTGGAGGGCAGGATGGAGCACCAGCTTTAACCCACAGGGGAGGCTCTTCACATGCTGCCTGACCAAGCAGGACTTCCCAGCAGCTCCTCCTTCCGAGGAGCCCAGAGGGCAGGGCTGTGCTTGGGGCGGTGGGGCCTGCATGTCCTAGAGATTGCCGCCTCAGGTCACATACTTTCCCTGTTTATTTCCCTGGGGCTGTCCCCTTCCTTGGAGGCTCTCAAATTCGAATGTTCATGGCAGTCACTATGAACAGGCAGCCCAGGCCCAGCCCAAGAATTCCAGTCAGGGCGGAAGGTCGGGCAGGACTCAGGGCTCTCAAGATGATTCTGGGGCAAGAGGCCCTCAAGCCGGGTCTTCCTTGTCTACAGAGGGCTAGGGAAGAGGCTGTGGGTGCTTGGGCCCCAGGATTAAAGAAGTGAGCCCTGAGGCGAGTGTGGTGGCTGCTCCCTGGAAATGTGGGTCTCGGGGAGCGAGGCCAGCTTTGGCAGCTCCTCCGTCCATGAAGAGCCCCTGTCCCCCTGACTGCCTGGAGACCAGGGCGGGCGCTGGGAGAGAACAGGGTGTTGGGAAACCCTCTCAAAGGCCTTGCCTCCAACACAGCCTCCCAGGTTCTGCTGGCCTGGGGGAGGAAGAGGGCTGACGGGTGGGGCTGGGTGTGGTCGACTTCTGGCTTGAGACGTTGCTACCAGCGACTTCATGAGACTCTGATCTGGAGCCCCACATTCAGAGCAGGGTGACACGCTGGGGACATCAGCCTCCCAAGCAAGGGGACAGAAGACTGTGATTCCCCTGGTGGCTGGAGAGAGCTGGTCTAACTCAGGACACGGCATTCCTGGCGAGCTTGCCCTGAGCCGGGCCTGGCGCGGCGGTTCGGATCTTCCCAGCCCCGTATCACTAGGGATGGGGGGAAAGGCAGGGAGGCAGAGCTGTGCAGGTCAGTGGCCAGATGAAACAGAGGACGCTCAGTCAGGTCTGAATTTTAGATAAACACCTAATGAGTTTTTAGTATCTGTCCCCAAAGGGCATGGGCATCCTATATTTTCGTCTGCTCCATCTGGCAACGCTGTGTGCAGGACTCTAGCGCTGAGATCTGAATGACCCCAGCAGGCCTGGCCCAGGGCCGGCTTGCCCAGAGGCAGCTGGAGGGCTCCCGTGTTCATCAGCCTCGCTGGGGCTGGGTTCGCAGCTGCTGAGTCACAGGTGCAGGGGGAGGCAACCTCCTGGGCCTCATTCGTCTGAAGCCTGGGAGGATATGGGCTTGGAGCATCAGCTCACCCTGAGGGAAACAATGAGTTGTTCTGGGAAATGATGCCGATACCCTGGGATAACCTGGCATACCCTGGGGTGCCCTGGCCGGGATGCGCCGGCTGCTGTTAGTAACGACGTCAGGAGTGCTCTTCGTGCCAGGAGTGCTCTTCGTGCCCCGTCTCCGGGGTGTCCTGGGGAGCAGACACTAGTGTGTTCTCCTCATTGCCGATGGGGACTCGGAGGCCCAGGGAATGTGGCAGGAAGACTGGCTGGAGGGACTCAGAGCCAGGGCTGTCGGAGTCTAAGCCCCGACCAGGAGCCGGGTGGACTGGCCCCTCCCTCTGGTCACAGCTACGGAGTCTAGATCCTGACTCAGCGGACAGTCGCTTGCTGTGTGCATGGCACTGGGGTCAGCCTTCACCCCCGGAGGCCCCCTTACTGTCGACCCACTTTATTGATGAGAAAACCGAGGTCAAGGACGTTAAGTAACTGCTTGAGAGGCCCACGCTAGGAAGCAGAAGAACCGGCCTCAAGTCCAGGGCTGTTGGCGCTCAGTCCAGTTCTCCCAGAGGTCCTCTGTCCCAGGTGCTCCTGAGGACAATGCCAGGTCGGGCTGGCAGAGCCCCTCTTCTGCAGTGGGGGCAGGATGAGGTTATGAGGTTAAAGAGTCTCACTGGAGAGGGAGCCACACCCTGCAGAGCCACACTGACCCCTCGGGGCCTGGGAGGCAAGCCGGCTGGGAAGGAGGGGGTGTCCTTGGCCACTGAGGCCAGTTCCTGGTGTGCAGGGAGCAGGGCCAGGCTGTGCTACCAGGAGGGACAGATGCTTCCTCATGCAGCGTGACATGGTTCACTCTTCAGGGCAAAAAATGGATTCTTGCCTTAGCCAGGTGAGCTTGCTCTGTGGCCACCTGTGCCACAGCTGGTCAAGCTCCCCATTAGAGAAGTCACACTGGAGTCTGGGTGCACCCCCCAGCACCCACACACGGGCCAGAACCCACATTTCCTTCTTTGAAGCCAGCCCAGCTAGGGCAGAGCACTTCTAGCCAAAGCCTGAAACTGCCAGTTCACCCAGAAACGAAATCATCCCCCTAAGAGACTGACAGAGCTCCCCAAGGGAGGGGCAGAGAGTGCCAAATTGGGGGTGGGGTGGGGGTCAGAAAACGAGTGTTGGGAGGGGCGGCTTGCTGAAGAGAGGGCACATTCGGGCCAACTCTTTCTTCATCTGGCCCCGGTGTGTGAGGCCTCCTTCCCACAGGCCTTGGAGGGGGCGAGAACAGTCATGGGCAGGGTCGGTGCCCACATCCCCTGCTCTCGCTGCTGGAGTGGTTCTGCCGGCTAAGTAGGAACCTGGGCAGAGGGAGCCCAGCCTGCAGGCCCGCAGACACCAGGAGAAGCCAGGGGAGGGCAGGTATGGGAGCAGCGGCTATCCAGGCATGGTGCCTGAAGCTGGGGGCAGGGCCAGAACCAGTTCTGGGTGCCAGCATCGGGGTCTGCATCTGCAGTGTCAACCTGAGAGTTTGGGGGTGGAGCAGAGATCAAGGTGGGCCCCAAGGTGGACAGGGACACAGGTGGGTCCAAGGCGCGGGTGACCCGGTGGGGAAGCAGCTGGGTGAGATTTGAGCGATGGACACAGCCAGCACAGCAGGTGCCAGGGGCCTGGGGGAGAAGCAGGCTGGACAGCCCAGGCCTCGGCTCCTTCTGCTTCCTCACTCCCTGTCCCCAGTGCAGGGCGTCTGCTGACCTCGTCCCTGCAGGGTCTGTCCTGACTGGGACCAAGAGGCAGCTGCCTGGCGTGTGGTCGCAGCCACAAGGGCAGCCTCCTGAGACCCTCCACCGCTGGCCTGGTGGCACCTCTCACGGGCAGTGTGTTTGCAGCAGCTCAGCACCCAGCGTGCTACACTGCAGAGGTAAACAAACTCTGCCTTCCGAGGCGAGGCGTCCACAGCTCCGGGCCCACCACAGCTACTGCTTGGGCTATTGCCAGGAAATGAATGTGGTTAAGACTTTCTAATCTGTGAAGTGAGAATGCTCGCTCCCAGGGACATGGAGGAGAAAGGCTGCAGGACATGCCTCCCTCACGCAGCGCCCCCTGACCAGCAGGTGCGGGAAGCAACAGGCCGTGCCTCTCCTTGCCACCCTCCTCTCCTCACAGGGACCAGTTCTTCCTAGAGTTCTGCTCTTATAATCACGTGCAGCATTTGACCAGGATGAACCAAGCCACGCCACAGGTTAAGGAGTGACTTGGACTCCGCAGCTGAGGTACACAATGGGCCCAGGTCTGCAGAGGGCTTATGGCAGGCCCAGACCTGCAGGACCCAGAGAGACCGCTGCCTCGACCCTCAGGCTGAGCACGGGAACTCTCTGCACTATGAGTGTGCGGTCACCACCCCTGCCATCTCCCCCACCCATCTGCCCTCCCACCACATTGACTGTCCCCATCGTTGTCACTGATATCTCTGCCATCATGCATTTGTGATGTCCTATATTTGGTGGGCATGGCTATGCCCCCATACACACACACAAACACACACACACACACACACCCCGTTTACACCACACCTTGTTGGTCTGGCCCCAGAAAAAAGGGCACAAACAACCATGGACACCATACGTCCAGCCCTACACAACACGCTGGAGGCTTGCTGGCCTGCACCGTGCACACGGACATCATGGGATGCCCATGCAGAGAGAGGGAAGTGGGGAGCAAAATGAGCCTCACTGCCCAGGGAGGATGGGCCCGTGGTGGCGGCAGTGAGTGCAGGGAGGAGGCACAAGGCAGAGTTCTGCGGCAGACCCTGCCCATGGCCACCAGCCCCCACGACTTTGGGTCTGGCTGCCCCTGCTGCAGCTGCCCCTGCTCCTCCTGAAACTCAGAGTCTCTCTCTGTTCTCTCCCTGTGCCTCCACACTGAGCCGAGGCCCGCAGACACCCAGCCAAAGCTGCTTCTCCGAGGCATGTGTCGGGTGGGTGCTGCTGGTGGACACAGTGCGTGGTATGTGAGGGACTCATCAACCCTCAAATGCCCACTGAGGATTCTGGAATATTCTCTCCAGAGTTCAGAGAGGGATCTTAGCTGCCTCTGGCCTGGGAAGAGAGTGACCCTCACTATCTGGGAAGGTCTTTTCTGTGGCCCAGGAACTGCTCTTGTGGAAAAGGGAGACTCCATCTGAGGCGATGACCACGCTCACAGCCCCTGACAGTTTCCTAATGACACGCGTGTGGGCCATAGTTTGGAGAGGGAGGAATTTTAGCCTCTGCTGAAAGCAGGGTTGTCTGGGCTGCACTTACAGTTCTCTTGGCTTCGGAAGCAGAACCTACTGCCCGCTGTGGTGGGAGTCACGTTGCTGGTGAAATGTGGGGTCCCTTCCTCCTCCTTGCTCACCTTTGAACCCCTGGGGACTCCCCTCCTACAGGCAGAGCTGTTATTTTCTCCAAGACTCTCTCCCAACTCACCCTCTACCGAAATGCCTTTGAGAATGTCGGGAGGGAACTGAAGGATGCGACCTTGTTGAAAAAAGATGCAGACCCTCCCTCCCCATAGGCTCTGGAAGGAGAAGCTTCACCCTGGGGGTTAACAGAGCACTGGGGACCCCCTTCCCCTCAAGGTCCTGCCCTCATCGGGGCCCCACTCTGTCCCCACAAGGCTCTGCTCCATGAGCAATGCCCTGACCTGCAGCTGCCCTGAGCTAGGAGGAAGACAGTAATGACCTTGGCTTCCTTATGAGGGATTCCCACCTCTCCACCCTCCGACCACCTTCTAGTAGTAGGAGGACCTGGTCAGGGTGGTTTTCACAAAGGAGATTTGCAAACTGCAAAGCACACAGGAAATGGGTTGTCTGTCCAACATGAGTCTGTGAGATCCGATGGTATTAAATGGAACTAAATTAAATGTGTTTGTATTTGTTCATGCAACAAATATTTGTTCAGTGTCTACTATATATGTGTACTGGGAGTAACTAAAGCAACCGATCATCTTGATTTGCCTGGCACTGAGAAATTCCCTGGGATGCTAGACTCAATATGCAAGACTTTCAATCTCAAAGCCCTGGGCAAAGTGGGACGGCTGGACACCCTAGGTGAGGCCAGGGTCTCTATCCTTGAGGAGTTCATATGAGAGGAAGAAAGTAACCCTGGCCATTTGCCACTAGACCCTTCTGTCTGCTTCCCCAGAGCCTCCCTTTTATTTTTTTCTTTTTATTTTTGAGACAGAGTCTCACTCTGTTGCCCAGGCTGGAGTGTAGTGGTGTAGTCTCTGCTCACTGCACTCTCCACCTCCCAGGTTCAAGTGATTCTCCTGCCTCAGCCTCCTGAGCAGCTGAGACTACAGGCACGCACCACAACGCCCGGCTAATTTTTGTATTTTTAGTAGAGATGGGGTTTCACCATGTTGGCCAGGCTGGTCTCAAACTCCTGACCTCAAGTGATCCACCCGCCTCGGCCTCCCAAAGTGCTGGGATTACAGGCATGAGCCACTGAGCCTGGCCAAGCCTCCCTTTTAAATATGAGTGGTGAGAGGAATTTCTCCCCAACTGCTCCTTGGACTTCACCATCCCTGTGGCCTGGAAGGGGTGGTGGGTGTTCCTAATATCAGCCACTGTATTAGCACAAGAAAGAAATAGCACTCAACTCTTGGGTTGATCAGTAATTCCTATTTCTTAAACCACGACAAGCAAACCTGTGTGTATTGCCATTTGAGCCCAGATGTGCTCTCTCCAAAGTCACATAAACCTGTGACCCAAAGCAAACCCATAGGGTATTGTGTTCCCAGCTAAAATGCTGTCAGAAACTGCCCAGTGTAATGAGAGCTCACACTAAATAGCGCATACCTTGTGCAGAGTGAAGTCTCAGAGCCCAGGCACCTGTGCATGGAAGTATGTAGTGGTGAAGTCTGGGGAATCTTGAGGCCTGTGCACTATTTTCTATCTAGAGAGCAAAGCAGAACAGCCATCACTAGTGCTGGGGGCTCCTGTGTTCCAGGCCTGTCTGTGTGTATGGGCAGCTTTATAAGATGCCTTCTCAGACCCTGGCAGCAGGGCCCCACGAAGGTGGCATTATGAGCGCCGTCTTGTAGATGAAACAGATTCAGTGTGCTTAAGCCTTTGCCCAAAAGGACAGAGCGGGCAATGAGGGAACCGGGATTTGAACCGGCTCTTTCTGAGTCCAAAGGGCCTTCTCACCTGAGGCTGTCCTTAAATCTTGGAGCCTGGCCCTGGCTGGAGAGATCCCTAGGGGGTGATGGAGGAGCCAGGACCTCCCAGAGTCAGCTCCCTCCACCTGCCTCAGTTTACCGATCCCAGGGACACTTGCGGTCAAGATTTATGGGGATGACAAATGCGAGCCTTCAGGGCTGCAGGGCCCAGCCGCTCTGGGAGGATGACTAATGCCCATCTTTTTAGAGCACACTTTGACCGTCTGGCGCCCAGGGGTGGGGTGACCAGTACTGGGAGAGGTGCCATTAAAACGGTTATTGCTCTATTACATTTCGCTAGGAGCAAAGAGCATCCCTCAGCTGGAGAGAACTGCAATTACAGCTGAGCAAATTATTGCCTTTTAAACAATTCTCCATTTCTGCGACGGCCTGGGGAATGTGTTTCCAGGTGGGAAATCACACCCACCCGGCTTCTAGTTCCTGGGCTCCCGGCCTTCTCTTCCTGTGACTCTGGTTCCTTTTGCCATTTTCACCATCCCCCAATTGCCTTTATACATTTTTGTTGATTTTGTAGGGGAGGCTTGAAGAACTGCACTGCACTGAGAATGCAGGCTTTCGGTTTATTGATCAAGAACTGTAGCATCACTGAAAGCAAATTGGACTAGAATGGGAATCAGGAGACCTGGGCCTGACCTGTCTCTACTAAAAATACAAAAATTAGCTGGGCGTGGTGGCGCGTGCCTGTAACTCCAACTACTGGGGAAGCTGAGGCATAAGAATCGCTTGAACCCAGGAGGCGGAGGTTGCAGTGAGCCAAGATCACACCACTGCACTCCAGCCTAGGCAACAGAGCAAGACTCTGTCAAAAAAAAAAAAAAAAAAAAGAAAGAAAGAAAGAAAGAAACATCTTAAGAGCCAGGAGGCTTTCAGTTGCCTGTAGAAGAAATCAACATAAAAAAGGAATTACAGTCTTTGGCTTGCATGATTGGGAGTCCAGGGGCTGGATCCGGGGGCCTTAAGTTATGTTTTCTGGGCTGTCTCGAGCTCCTCCATTTCTGAGTTCTGCTCATCTCTGCTGTTCTCTGTGTGTCTGCTTCATTCTCTCTGGTTTCAGACATGCTCTAGACTTAGAGGAACAGACAGCTCCTTCCAGCATGAAGCCAAACCAAGGACAAAAACAATCCTGTCTGTCTTTATTCATTTGCTGTTGTTTAGAACAAAATATCTGAAACTGAGTAATTTCCAAAGAAAAGAAATGTATTTTTTACAGTTATGGAGGCCGAGAAGTCTAAGGTTGAGGGGCTGCATCTGGCAAGGGCCTTCTTGCTGGTGGGGACTCTGCAGTCCTGAGACGGTGCAGGGCACCACGTGGTGAAGGGGTTGAGTGTACTAATTCGGGTCTCTCTTCCTCTTCTTATAAAGCCACCAGTTCCCGTCCCATGTTAGCCCATTAATCCATTAATCCATGAATGGATTAATCCATTCAAGAGGACAGAGCTCTCATGACCCAATTGCTTCTAAAAAGCCCCACCTCTCAATATTCCCACATTGGGGATTAAATTTCAATGTGAGTTCTAGGAGGGACAAACATTGAAACAAAGCCTCCCTTTCAGCAGACATATGTGAAATCTCATGACAGAATGATCACGCCTGTTAGCTTTTGCTCCCAAGAAAACCTCTACAATTCAGCGTCTTTTTTTTTTTTTTTTCCCTTGAGACGGAGTTTCGCTCTGTAACCCAGGCTGGAGTGCAATGACGCCATCTCGGCTCACTGCCACCTCTACCTCCCAGGTTCAAGCGATTCTCCTGCCTCAGCCTCCCAGGACTGGGATTCCAGGCATGCACCACCCTACCTGGCTAATTTTTGTATTTTTAGTAGAGATGGGATTTCACTATGTTGGCCAGGCTCGTCCTGAACTCCCAACCTCAGGTGAACTGCCTACCTCAGCCTCCCAAAATGCTGGGATTACAGGCGTAAGGCACCGCACCCAGCCAATTCAGCATCTTAAAGGTTCTCTGGGGATCAGCTGATCCAGGCTGGGTTCAGCTGATCTGTCTCTTCAGTCTCTCTATTCAGCTGCACTTTTCTCCCCTCTGAGGTTTAGGCCTGATCCCTATGTGTGGACTTTGGGACTCAGACTGAGAGAAAGTGGCTACCTGGAGAAGCATGGAAACCAGTTAGGAGACTGGAGATGCTGAGGCCAAAACTAGTAAAGAGGGGGTGCAGAGAGGGAGTGAATCAAGAGCCATCTGGCACTACAACGGACAAGGCCTGGTTTCTGAGTAGGGATGATGAGGGAGAGGGAAGAGTCCAGCGTGATGCCCAGGTATACTAGAACAGGTAGTGTTAGCTGCTGTAACAGATGAATTCAACACATCTCAATGGCGCTACACAACAAAAGCTTGTTTCTTGCTCATGCAGTTGTTCAAGTTGGGTGTCTCTGGTGGGGCAGCTTTCCTGGACAGCTGTTTTCCAAGCAAAGACTCAGGGACCCAGGCTCTTTCCATCCGTTGGAGCTGTATTTCTACACGTGGCTCTCCAGGCCACCCTGGAGGTTGTCTCCCTTGCAGCCACTAGAAGGAAAAGGGGGTGTGGAGGAATAGGAGGAGAAGATTTTTATGGGGCTGGCTTAGAAGGGTGATAAATCACTTCTGCCTAAATGTCCCGGGTTCCATCTTGGTCTCACTGCCAGTCCCACTGTGTGTCCAAGGAGAGGAGATGGGCTTTGGTGGTCAGCTGGCAGCCTGTGCCACATCAGGCTTTGGCTTGGAGGAACCAAAGTGGGAAAGGTTGAAGAAGAATGAAGTTTGTGGAGGTGATGAGTTCCGAGAGTCTCATCATGAACGACCTGAGGGACGTCTAAGTGAACGTATTGGGAGACAGTTGAGGCCATGGAGGTGCAAAGAGCAGAGGTCAAAAACCTGCAGGGAGCCCCCTATCAAGGCCCTGAATAGGGGTAAGGCAGCTTACCCGGGAGCCTGAGAATGTAAGGCCAGGAAATGTGAACTTGATTCTGGGGACAATGGGGAGCCCTGAAGATTTTTGAGTAGAGGAGTGACCTAAACAGAACCCTCTTAAAGGAAGACTCCCCTCTGGGGTCGCCATGAGAGTGAGATGCTGAGGGGGTGGAGGCCTGGGGCCAGGTGAAATGAATGTTCTCTGAGCCCACGACACAGGATGCTGGGTCTTGGCTTTTTAAATCTTGTGCGGAAGCTTTTTCCTTGTCTTGAAGCTATTTTTGCTTCTTGATTAAAGCCAAATCCACTGAAAGGATTCTTGCTAAGTGAAAGCTTCAGACACGAGAACTGGGGGAGGGCAGTGTTGGTCTAGACTCCAGTTAATCAAGGTTTTCTCTTCTACACATCTTCACTGTTCTATAAAATATGTGACTGCTGATAGTGCAGCCCTCTGTGACAGCAGAGAAAAACCGATTTTTAAAAGTCAGGAAATTTATTTTCTTTCTGTCTAATTGAGGGCTAACCTGTTTTTTTTTTTCATTCCCTCATTTATCATACACCTCCTTTATTCCATTCTTGAATTCTGTTTAAAAAAAAATAAAGGCACATGCACACGTATGTTTATTGCGGCACTATTCACAATAGCAAAGACTTGGAACCAACCCAAAAGTCCATCAGTGATAGACAGGATTAAGAAAATGTGGCACATATACACCATGGAATACTATGCAGCCATAAAAAAGGATGAGTTTATGTCCTTTGTAGGGACATGGATGAAGCTGGAAACCATCATTCTCAGCAAACTATTGCAAGAACAAAAAACCAAACACCGCATGTTCTCACTCATAGGTGGGAATTGAACAATGAGATCACATGGACACAGGAAGGGGAACATCACACACCGGGGCCTGTCGTGGGGTGGGGGGAGGGGGAAGGGGGAAGGGATAGCATTAGGAGATATACCTAATGTAAATGCCGAGTTAATGGGTGCAGCACACCAACATGGCACATGTATACATATGTAACAAACCTGCACGTTGTGCACATGCACCTTGGAACTTAAAAAATAAAAAAAACACAAAAACTCTTTGAAAAGCCACGCTCCCCCTTCCTAAACTTGGACTTCATGTTCTCTCTCATGTGGCCTTGTTTGGACCTCTCCAAGGCCACCAAAAGGCTCTGCTAGACTTGGGGAAAGGTTAGCTTTGAGAAGGTCTGACTCAAATCCAGCCAATAGCCAGAGGTGAGCCTGCAGCCTGCAGGTATAGCTGGAAGGGCTGATGTGATGCGGGGACTCACAGGGGATTAAGACCGTGCTGACCCTAAGTTTTGGAGGATTTGGGAGAAAAAATAATTGAGCTCCCAACAGTGATGGGATTTCTACAATCAGCTGGGAGGAACTGCAGGCTCAGGATCCACCCTGTCTGGAGGTCTCACCCCATCTGGAGGGTCTCACCCTGTCTGGAGGTTCTCACCCTGTCTGGAGGTCTCACCCTGTCTGGAGGGTCCACCCTGTCTGGAGGGTCTCACCCTGTCTGGAGGTCTCTTGGGTTGGAGGTCTTCACTCTTCACTACAATCGGATTCTGAAGCCTGCCAGTTGTCAGATGCCTGCCAGGGTTGGGGGTGGGGGAGGGTCATACCCTCGAATGAATGGGGCCTTGACCTTCTCAGGCCCCCCAACACCACCAGTTCCACAGGCACACGATGCACTCGCCTTGGTTGGGGAGCCCATGGCATTGCCCTCGCCGGCCCCTGCCTTCCACCCGCACATTCCTGAGCTTGGCAAAGCGTCCCGCGTGGGGCTGTGTGGGGTGTGGTAAATCGTGGCTTCTCAAACCTGAGGGTCATTTCTCCAGTGGATGGTGTATCTGTTTCCTGTGGCTGCTGTGACAAAATGCCATTCGTCTGATGGCTTTAAACAGCACACGTTTGTTCTCCTTCAGTTGTGGGGGTCCGAGTCTGAAATCCATTTCATGCAGCTCACACTGCGGTGTCATGGGCTCTGGGAAAGAACGGCTTCCTCACCTTGCCCAGTTTCTGGGCTGCGTTCCTGGCATCTCGTCCTGTGGCTCACGGTTCCTCCCTCCACCTGGCTCCAAGGCCAGCGGTGGAGCAGCTTCCAATCTCACGTCTTCACAGCGCCCTCTCCTCTCCTTGCCTCCCTCTGCCCCCGTCTTAGAGGAGACTTGCAGCTGTGCCTTGGGCCCATCCTGATGATCCAGGATAATCTCCCCGTCTCAAGATCCTGAATGTACTCCCACCTGCAAAGCCCTTTCCTTACACCAGGGAACACTCCCAGGTTCCAGGGATTAGGACGCGGACATCTTTGGGGACCATTATTCAGCCAACAACAGGTAGACAGGAGTCCTGGGCTGCGCAAAGGCCCAACAGTCTGGGAAGTCCAGAGTCCCTCCCTGTGACAAGAACACCCCTCCCTGCCCCCTTCCCCTCTGTGCTTACTCCCCAGGGTCAGCTTGAGGCCAGCCGCCGCAGGGACCCCGTTCTGTTCCTCCCAGTCCTGTTAGATCTGAGACTGGAGGGGCCTTCACGAGGATGGCCCTTCTCACCCCAGGACACTGTGAAGCTCACGGTGGGGGCGGGGGGCAGGGTATGCTCAAAGCTTCAGCCCCTAGGTGACAGGTCAGACCTTGAACCCACTTTTAGTCTGAGGCTTGGCTCTCTACACTATCACCCCCTGCAGCTCCAAGTCCTGACGCATGGCTTCCCCAAGAGAGGCTCCAACACCTGCTCTGCTCCCACTCCCCCCGGGGCCGCTGCAGGCTTCTGCACGAGGTGGGCTGCCCTGGTGTTTTGAAGCCTCCCAGGTTCGGGGCCCAGTTCTTAGCACTAGCTGACGTCTGTCCTGGTGGCCGAGTTCTATGGAGCCTGCTGTCTTTGTCAACAGTTTGAGGAAGGAGTCCAGGGTGGCATTGACATACTTAAGGCCAGCTGTGTTTCCTTGGGCCAGTGGCCACATCCCTGGGCTCAGTGTTCTCACGCACAACACTAGGGCAGTCTCTGCGTTCCTGCCATGCCAGCCCCACACCCCGCAACCAGCCAGCTCCCAACTTCATCAAACATTTGAGCACTCCTGGGGGAGGGAGCGTCTTAGTGTAGCCTAGGGGCTAGAAGTGTCCTTGAAGATTCCTGCTTTTCACTGGACACACGGGCAGGCACACTTTCTGCCTTCACTTCAATAAGCTATTCGTGTTTGCTTTAACATAAAAATCATGCTTCTCTTCAAGTCTGCAGCAAAGGATGGCCCGGGAGGGGGCGGTGTCCATGTGTGGCTTTGTTTGCTTGCACCCTACAGCCCACCCGAAGGCACTCACACCCCTATTTGAAAAGCCCACTTTCTCAGATACAGTGTTTTTGTAAAAAAGATCTTCATAACCTCAAAAAGTGAGTCATCAATACGAGGCTTTTAGAAACGATTCCAGGATGACAGTAGAAATACATGTGTACAGCCAGGCACGGTGGCTTGAGCCTACAATCCTAGCACTTCAGAGGCCAAGGCGGGAGGATCACTTGAGGTCAGGGGTTTGAGACCAGCCTGAGCAACATAGCGAGACCATAACTGAATTTTAGAAAAAGAAGCCCAGGTACAGTGGGATGCCTGTAATCCCAGCACTTCGGGGGATTGAGCCCAGGAGTTTGAGACCAGCCTGGCCAACATGGTGAAATCCTATCTCTACAAAAAATACAAAAATTAGCTGGGCACCTGTAGTGCCCACCTACTGTAGATGGTGCACACCTGTAGTCCCAGCTACTCGAGAGGCTGAGGTGGGAGCATCACCTGAGCTGGGGGACGTCAAGGCTACAGTGAGCTGTGATGGCACCACTGCACTCCAGCCTGGGCCACAGAGTGAGATCCTGCCTCAAAAGAAAAGAAAAGAAAGAGAAAGAGAAAAACGTGTGCATGTGGTTGTGGGAGAAGGGTCTTTCCTGGGCCCCCCACATCCCCACCTGCCTCCACCTGCCACATCTCAAGCCCTGCCTGGGAGGAGGATGAAGACCCGGACGTACAGGCAGGCCCCTTTCTCCGCAGAGGTTCTGAGCACCTTAGAATTACCAGGAGGTTGCCCTGGTGTCTGGCCTTTTTCTCCTTTTGCCTTTCTTAAAGGCCTATGAGATTTCCAGAATTTTCCATCTCATGGCTGGCAACTCCATGAGGAAAGCCCCAGTGGCTGCATGCAGGCTCTGAGAGGGGCCAGGTGAGCCCGAGCCTCCTGTGTTCTAGAGACAGCGGCCTTGGAACCCTGCTCTGTTCCGAGGGTGGGTTCCTCACCTCCTCTGGAGAGATCCTGCTCAGAATTGCTGAGAATTCCTGGACATTCTGGCTGCCTTAGCTATGAGTGTCCAACAAGTTCCATTTTTAGGAAATCTAATTTAGAGAAGCCCACGTGTGTGACGGGGCTACTATCCTCAGTCCATACTCAGACTCCGCTGACTCCAAGCAGCTCCTCTCAATATGCGTTTCTTGATGCATTTAAAACATTCAGTTCTGCAAACCCTTATCAGGTGCCAAGTGCTGGGTGCAGGGCTGGGTTTCCCAGAGACCACGGGATAAGGGAAAAATCCCCGACAACCGCGACAAGGCAGGGCGCCATGTCCGGGTGAGGGAGGGGCTGGTTCCCTGGGAGCTGGGGGGCCCAGGACATCTGTGCACTTCCCTGGAGCCACAATGTTCCCAAGTTCCCTCCTCTTACAGGGACCTCCCGGTGACACCTGTCATGCGGGCCAGGCTCCAGCCCAGCGGCCTGCACAGCTTATCTGGGCACCAGGCGCGGCCTGAACACGGCCTCCTCTGAGGTGAGTTATGCCCTTGGCTTTGCCGAGCGACAGCTGCCATCCGTGGGATGCCCCTCCCCAGCCCTGCCCTCCACCTGCTCCTCAGGGAACGGGCCTCTGGAAACTTCTTTCTTCACTGACAGGGAAGGGCCTGCCGGCCTTCTTTACCTGGCATCTGAGGGTTGGCTCAGGGCCAGTCCTGGGCTGTATGGACAGATAGGACGCTCTCTTTCCCTCAGATGCCTACAGCCAGGTGGGGAGGCAAACCCATGACAAACAGTGCGACAGCTTGTCCCTGAGAGCTCACGTGTACTAGGAGGGTGCACGGGGGCCCACAGGAGGGGCGAGGGGCGGGGAGGGGGACGGGGGCAGGATGGGCTGCACAGAGGAGGTGTGCTGACTCGCTCCTCCTGCCCGGTGGCACATTGGCCTGGTCAGGGCTACCCCCAATCCAGGGCCCCGCACCCCAGCCTAGGTTCCATTAGGTTCCAGCTACCTGCCGCTCAGGCCCTCGGAAGCTGTGTGGAGAAGCGGTCCCAGAGTCTCCCTCTGGAGGCAAGATGGCATCCAGAGGTTCGCCACTGTGAGGATTATGTGACGCCCCTGGCTGTAAGATTCCGTGAACTAACAGATCCTCCACTGAACCAAGCATGCAGGGAGAGGCGCAAACCAAGGGCAATTGGGAGAAACGCTTGGAGTTCACAAATCCTGTAATGTGTCGGTGGGGAGGGGGATGCATTTTAGAGTCAGGAGATGTTGGAATTTGCTTTGTGAATGACGCAGACCACACTCAGAGACTGCAGTGCAGTGATTCTCAAAGTGTGGCTCAGGGGCACCCCTGGGAATCCCTGAAACCCTTTCGGGAAGTCTGTAGGTCAAAACTATTTCCATAACAATACTAAAATATTATTTGCTTTTTTATTCTCATTGTCTCACACATGTGCAGTGGAGTTTGCCAGATCTGTGCACTACTGCAATCGATTAAATGCAGAAGTGGGTATGTAAATCCTCTATGAAGCCAGACATTCAAGAAACTTGCACAAATGTAAAATCATGCCACGCTTCTCTCTAAACATCTTTTCTGCTTTGCAAAATATTCGTTTTTTAATCAAAAATTATTATGTTAACATGTAACAGACATTATTATTTTTAAGCGAGTTAAAATATTTCTAGAGTTTTTCAGTTTTAGGTGTTCTTTTTGTCTTTTGTTTGTTTTTTTTGGAGGCGGTGTTTTGCTCTTGTCACCCAGGCTGGAATGCAATGGCTCAATCTCAGCTCACTGCAGCCTCCACCTCCCGGGTTCAAGTGATTCTCCTGCCTCAGCCTCCCGGGTAGCTGAGATTACAGGTGCCCGCCACCATGCCTGGGTAATTTTTGTATTATTAGTAGAGATAGGATTTCACCCTATCTGGTCAGGCTGGTCTCGAACCACTGACCTCAGATGATCCACCTGCCTCAGCCTCCCAAAGTGCTGGGATTATAGGCATGAGCCACTGCACCTGGCAGTTTTAGTTTTAAACACAGAAAATCTGTAGATATAGCCCTTATGTGTAAAACATGTTTGGGGTCCTCAATACTTTTGAAAACTGAAAGGGGTCCTGAGACCAAAACATTTGGGAATGCAATGTAGTGCTTCCTGTCCGAGCCAGCCCCACCGCGGCCTGAGAGCTGTGAAGCCACATGAGGATGCCCTCAACGACTCTGAACTCAGATCGGATCTGAGGGTTGGAGGCAGCCTCTGCCCCACCAGGGCCCAGTGGCTGTGGGCAAATCACTGAGTCTCTCTGAACCTCCGTCTTCTCCTCTGCCCAGGGAGAATGATAATAGGACCCACTTCAGAGCCACCGAGAGGATCAAAGATGAGGCAGAGTGTCGGGAGAGAGGGGAGCTATGCTTCTGAGCTGCATGCTCTGTGCAAATAATAACTCTTCATCCCCTCCATGGGATCTTCCGAGTCCCTGGGTATCAGGAGTGTGTCACCAAAAGAAGCCTAATGATGACGGAATCTCTGCGTAAGCGGCAGGCAGGGAGTGCTCTCTCCTCCTCTCCTCCCTCCCCACCTCCGCTGCTTCATTCTCCCCTCCAGGCTGCTTGCCAGCTGTGCCTTTACCCCAAGCCCTGGCATAAGCCAGGTGGGAAAGGCTTTCTGACTTTGAAAGGTGGGAGGCAGTGAGGACAGAGAGGAGGCCCGGGGTGTTCTTGGCTGGTCCCAGCCTTGTAACTGTTTCCAGCCAGGCAGAGCCAGGCCAGGGCTGTGAGTCCCAGCTGGGAGAAGGGTCTTCCCTCCTGTGGCTCCGGCTTTGGCTGGGTTCACCCTTGCCAGGCCACCCCTCTGGACTCACAGTGTCCTGAGTGCCCAGGTCTGGAAACGCAGGGACAGGGGCACCAGGGCAAGCCTGGAGACTCGGCGGAAGGAGTGCAGGGCTTGCCACCTGATGCCTGGCTCTGCAGCTGACCAGCCAGGTGACTTTGGGCGTGTCCTTTCTTTCCAGGCCTCAGTGTGCTAAGCTGTGACATGAGGGGGTTGGACTCTGCTCCAGGATCTGAAGCCTTTCCCCTGGGGCCTCACCCAGGCTGCTAAGGGCATCTCCATCAGGAAGGTGCCCAGGGACTGAGCCCATGAGAGCAGCCTGGCTTCGCCTGGCAGACAGGCGGAGGGTATCAGCCAGGGCTTCAGGGGCCCTGTGTGTGCCAACCCCCTTCCTCAGACCAGCACAGGAGACTTATATGGCCAGTCCTGCCCAAGACACCCCAATCTGGATCTTGCAAACCCAACATTTCAGGCTGGGTGGGTGTCTGCGTGTGTGCAAACGTGCACACATGGGCCCTACCTCCATTTACACTGGAAGGACTCCTCCTTAACCTCAGGAAATGGGCAGAGCGAAAGGCCTCCAGCCAGTTTCTCAGCTCCTGCCCCAGGGGGCAGGCTTGCTCCAGAGACCCCGTGGGCGAGGGCAGAAGGGAGGTGCTTCCTGGGCTTAGAGGTTGGGAAGTTCCCGCAGAGCCCTCAGTGCCAGCCCTGCGCCGTGGAGGACCATGTCCTGCAGCCAGTGGGCCCAAAGCGATCTGATCATGCTCCCTGCCAGGAAGGAGGTTTCTTGCACCCCAGCAGGTACACAGTGTTCGTTTACAGATCACACACAAGTGTTGTGCAAATTATGAAACATTCCACAACTAAAATTTCATAAAGATGAGGTCATTGTTCTCAGAGGCTGGCTGTTCACAGGTTCACTATGCCAAGCTGCGAAGGCACACACTCCCCGTGCGTCTGGAAGTCCAGGTGAGGCAGGAGAGAGTCCCAGGGTAACCTGCCTTCATCTTCCCACAAATCGGAGTCCAGCACTTGCAGCAAAGCTGGCATGAGGCTGTGATGACCCTGATGTCAAAGGTCCTTTTCAGGCCAGGTGCAGTGGCTCATGCCTGTAATCTCAGTACTTTGGGAGGCCGAAGCAGGAGGATTGCTTGAGCTCAGGAGTTCAAGACCAGCCTGGGCAACATGGCGAAACCCTGTCTCCACCAAAAATATAAAAAACTAGCCAGGCATGGTGGTGCAGACCTGTGGTCCCAGATACCAGGGAGGCTGAGGTGGGAGGATCGCTTGGGCCTGGGAAGTGGAGGTTGCAGTGAGTCAAGATCACACCACTGCACTACAGCCCGGGTGACAGTAAGACCCTATCTCCAAAAAAAAAAAATGGTCCTTTTCAGTGGTTCAGGGGACATTGTCAAACGGGCCAGAGCTGTGCTGGGCTGATGGGCTCCAGGAAGGCAGCCCCCCACAACACACACAGACAACGCACACACAAGCACACACGTGTGAGCACACATGTACACATGTGCACACACATGCACACACGGACACATGCACACATGCGTGAGCACACACATGTGCACACATGCCCACACACGTACACACGTACACGCGTGCACATACACACACATGCGCACCCAGACCCATGCACACATGCACACATGCACACAGACACACACATGTACACACATGTGCACGCACTCACATGCACACAGATACCCACACTCACATGCACACACGCAAACACACACACGCACCTCTCCCCTCAGTTGTGCGCTCAGACAGTGGAGGGGCTCGCCAGGCCTTGCTTTTCGCTTTTTCCTTCAGACTCTGGGCGATTAATATTTTCCAAAAGGCCTAGTGGCCTCCCCATCCCTTTATCACTCCTGCACTTGCGGCTGGTTTAAAAACAATTCCCAACTTCCTTTTACTCTTTCCAGCTGATCTAACTTTCCATGCTCAAGGCCAAATGACACACAAGCCCTCCCTTTTGAGTCACCAGTGACAAGTGTCCCGTGGCTTGGTGCATGGCGTTGGCTCTCTTTGCAGAGGTGGGACCTGAGGGAGGCTCTGGGAGGGAGAAGGTGGGCCGCGTGGAGGGGACCCAAGGTCTGCTTCTGGAACAAGGAGGGCTCCCCTGCCTGCCCCACCCTCCATATGCTGAATGGTGGTGGTCCCTCCTGCCCCACTGCAGCTCCCACAGAGCTCGTCTCCCCACCCTACCCCTGCCTGGTCAGAAAAACTCCATTTATCCTACAGGGTTCTGCGTGGTTGCTCCCGGAAGCCCACTAGGATCTCCCGGGTAAGTGGATGCCTGTTCCTCCCTGCTACAGGTGGAATTGTGCCCCCGTCTTGAAGCCCCCAGTACCTCAAAATGTGACTATACTTGGAGATAGAACCTTTTAAAAGGTCATGGAAGTAAAATGAGGTCATTTGGATGGGCCCCAGTCCAACAGGACTCATGTCCTTTAAGAAGAGATTAGGGCACAGATACACACAGCAGAAAGACCACGTGAGGACACAGCCACAGTACAGCCACCTCCTAGCCAAAGGACGACCTCAGAATACACCAGCCCTGCCGACACCTCAATCCTGGACTTTCAGCCTCCACGACTATGAGAAGGTAAATGTCCGTGGTTTCAGTCACCAGTCTGTGGGACTTTGTTACGCACCCAAGGGGACTGAGACTCTCCCCTGCGCTCCCGTGCCTCCGGGCCTCCTCCAGCCCAGTGAGCGCCAGGCTGAAAGGTTCTTTCCCTTGTTTCCCTCCCTGCACTGGGACTGGCCTGGAGAAGAATTTGTCTGAACGCCTTTGGTGCCTGGCTCTGCAGGTGTTCAGGAAACACTTGCTGAAGTGAATTAAATTCTTTTTTTTTTTTTTGAGATGGAATCTCACTCTGTTGCCCAGGCTGGAGTGCAGTGGCACGATCTCGGCTTACTGCAACCTCCACCTCCCGGGATCAAGCCATTCTTCTGCCTCAGCCTCCTGAGTAGCTGAGACTACAGGAGCACGCCACCACGCCCGGCTAATTTTTGTGTTTTTAGTACAGATGAGGTTTCACCATGTTGGGCAGGCTGGTCTCCAACTCCTGACCTCAGGTGATCCACCCACCTCGGCCTCCCTAAGTGCTGTGATTATAGGCATGAGCCACTGCACCTGGTGTGAATTAAATTCTTCTTGGCCTAAACACACGTACTTTATACAGCTCTGAGGCTCACAGAAGAAATACACAGTTGGTGCCGGTGCAGTGACTCTGGGGCCACCAAAGGGTACATCAGGCCCCATCAGATCTAGCCAGCGACCTGCAGCCCCCGACAAGCCTTCCTGAGCTTCCACCCCGGCTGCAGCCTTCTCCCCATGTGCCCACGTACTTGGGCTGCTACTGCTGCCTGGGTCTGTCCGCTTGTCAGTCAGTGAAGTTTCCCCAATCTGTTTATATTAGTTATGCTTATCATAATGGCATTGTGTAATTGAGTATACACAAAATGATAAAATATGAATATGAAAGTGATTTCTATGCACACTCATTAAATGCCTTGAAAAGACTCATTAAAGGTGAATTGCTTTACAAAATTGCTGTTGAGTTAAGCTTGGTGTGACCGCCAGTCTCCAAGATGGCCCCATGCTTCTTATCTCTTGGAGTTCACACCGTGTGTGGCTCTCTCCCATGTCGAATCAAGACCGACTGGGAGACATAGAATACCATGGGAGTGACACTCTGTGTGCTCCAAGGCTGGGTCACAGAAGGCGTTGCAGCCTTTGCTTGGTTCTCTGGGGTCTCTGGCTCTGGACGAAGCTGTCACACCATGAAGATGGCTCTTTGGAGGGGCCACATGGAGAGGAGCTGAAGCCTCCTACCCGCAGCTAGCACCAGCCTCGGGAATGAGGCAGTTTGGAAGCGGCACCTTCAGCACCAGGCAATGCTCCTGAGGGCAGCTCCTGCTGACGTCGGCTGCAACCTCAGGGGAACCTTATAGTCCAGTTGCTCCCACATCCCTGCCCACAGACAACATGAGAGAGTGTGAATGAGGGTCGGTGCTGTAAGTGCTGGGGCGGCGTCGTTGGCTGGGCAGCAATAGCCAACCAGCACATCACAGGAAACAGGGGCCTAAGTGGAGTCTGCACCTTGTTGTTTACAAATGTTTTTAAACTCGCATTATATTATTTTTTTTTTTGAGACAGGGTTTCACTGTCGCACAGACTGGAGTGAGTGGCACGATCTTGGCTCACTGCAACCTCTGCCACCTGGGCTCAAGCCATCCTCCCACCTCAGCCTCCCGAGTACCTAGGACTACAGGTGCATAGCACCGCACCTGGCTAATTTTTCTGTATTGTTAGCAGAGACGGTGTTTCGTCATGTTGCGCAGCCTGGTCTTGAACTCCTGTGCTCAAGTGATCCACCCATCTTGGCCTCCCACAGTGCTGGGATGACAGATGTGAGCAACCGTGCTGGCCTCTCATTAGTTAAGAAGCAGAGGCTCCGAGTCAGGGGTCCCCCGGGCACCACAATGCCAGAGTCGGTGTGTACTCTAACCACGTGGCCCAGGCCCAGGGAAGGCGTCGCACAGACATCCGGATATGATGGATGAAAGTACTTTTGTATGTTTTAGGTTAAAAATAAAAATATAAGGATATATGTGAACATTAAAAAAAATTTAGGCCGGGTGCAGTGGCTCACGCCTGTAATCTCAGCACTTTGGGAGGCCGAGGTGGGCAGATAATGAGGTCAGGAGATTGAGACCATCCTGGCTAACACGGTGAAACCCCGTCTCTACTAAAAATTAGCTAGGCTTGGTGGTGGGTGCCTGTAGTCCCAGCTACTCGGGAGGCTGAGGCAGAATGGTGTGAACCCGGGAGGCGGAGCTTGCAGTGAACCCAGCCGAGATCGTGCCACTGCACTCCAGCCTGGGAGACAGCGAGACTCTGTCTTGAAAAAAAAAATTTCTCATTGTAACCAAATTTTTGCTAAACAAAACCAACGCCAGTCCTAAAAGTTTGGGAAGAACATTTCTGAGGGTTTCTCTGAATACCTGTGGACATCCCTTCATGCAGTGACCTGAAGGTTGTGTGTCAATCAAAGTTTCAGACATTCGAATGACACTTTAAATGTCCAATTAATTAGGCAGCTTTGCACAGAAGGGGCCCATGATGAACCCTTTTGTTACCGGAAAGGGGTCCAGATCCAGACCCCAATAGAGGGTTCTTGGATCTCTCAAAAGACAGCATAAAGTGAAAGCAAGTTTATTAAGAGACCAAAGGAATAACAGAATTGGCTACTCCACAGGCAGAGCGGCCCCGAGGGGTCCACTTTTATGGCCATTTCCTGATGATATGCTAACCAAGGGGTGGATTATTCATGAATGTTCCAAGAAAGGGATAGGCAATTCCCAGAACTGAAGGTTCCTCACCACTTGAAACCATATAGGATAACTTCCTGACGTTGCCATGGCATTTGTAAACTGTCATGGTGCTGATGGGAGTGTCTCTTAGCATGCTAATGCATTATCATTATTGTATAATGAGCAGTGAGGACGACGACCAGAGGTCACTTTCCTCGCCATCTTGGTTTTGGTGGGTTTTGGCCGGTTTCTTTACCACGTGCTATTTTATCAGCAAGGTCTTTATGACCTGTATCTTGTGCCGGCTTCCTATCTCATCCTGTGAATAAGAGTGCTTGACCTCCACCGGGCATGATGCCTGTAATCCCAGCACTTTGGGAGGCTGAGGCGGGCGGATCATGAGGTCAAGAGATCGAGACCATCCTGGCCAACATGGTGAAACCCTGTTTCACTAAAAATACAAAAATTAGCTGGGTGTGGTGGCACTTGCCTGTAGTCCCAGCTACTCGGGAGCCTGAGGCAGGAGAATCGCTTTAACCGGGAGGTGGAGGTTGCAGTGAGCCGAGATCACGCCACTGCACTCCAGCCTGGCAACAGAGCAGACCTCCATCTCAAAAAAAATAAAAAAATAAAAAAAATAAAAAAGAATGCCTGACCTCCTGACCTCCTTGGAATGCAGCCCACTGGCAGTAGGTCTCAGCCTTATTTTACCCAGCCGCTATTCAAGATGGAGTCACTCTGGTTTGAATGCCTCGGACACTTTGACCTCTTCTAGCTTCGGATCCCAAAGTGGCTTAACAGGGCAAACCTGTACCCTTGGTAGCCTGGACCAGAAGTAAGTGCTCCCTGCCAAGAAGTACCCTGCTGCTGCCCCCGCCAACTTTGGCTCAGTGTCTGTTTGAAAAGAACTGCATGCTTCTTCCTTTCCGTTTTCATGAACTGAAGAGGGCTGACCCGGCAGCTCTGCAGCCCCAAGCTGGCGGGCAGGTGACGGTGTCAGCATCACAGTCCCAGGCTCCGTCTCGGCTTTTCTTCTTCCCTCCCGTCCGCCCCAGTGGCTCTTCTCCTCCCACAGCTCCCTCACCTCCCCATGGCTGCCACCCCTTCACCCCTCGCCCAGACCTCTTTCCTGCATCCTGTCACCTGAGGGATGAACACTTCTTACGTCCCTGACCCTCGCCGCTCCAGTGCCCTCTGCCAAGACTGGTGCTGCCCTCCACCCACCCCTGGGCCAGGCCCGGGTTCGCCTTCCCTCTGCCTGCCCCTGCTTTCTTCCCTTCCAAACAGGGACAGAGTCGCTCAGGCCCCCGCCACCCTGTGCCTCCCCTTCTGCTTTCATGCCTGGCCCCAAGCCCTCCTGTCAGGACAGAGGGGCTTTCAGGCATTCAGCAAGCACTTAACACCTGCTGTATGCAGGGCACTGTCCCTACTCCGGAAGCTCACGCCAGCCGAGGGGGCGGTGGGTGGTCAGATCAGCTCACACCTGGTCAGTTGACCACAATACCAGGGGTGCTATTGGCGCCTAGGAGTGAGTCTCGGGCCACCTGCCTGACAGAGAGTCGTTAAAGTCAGGTCCTGAGAAGGGGCTGAAGCTGGGCAGGAGGAGAGTGGGGCCAGAGCATTTCGGGCAGAGCAGGTGATGTGTGTGGACACCCGAACCTGAGTGGGGGCCCTGCAGGACTGGAGGGGTGACGTGGGCTCTGCTTTCTTAGAGAGTGGTGGGAGGGGATGAGGCAGGGAGCGGGGATGAGGCAGGGAGCCGGGATGAGGCAGGGCATTCCATTCCTCGGAGCCTTGGGGGGCTTTGGAGGCTTGGAGCAGGGAAGTACTGGGATCCACTCGTGATCTAAGGGCTGAATTTGACACACAGGGGACCCACAGAGAAGCTCCACGCAGGCCGAGGGAAGGCCGCTGCAGTGGCTGTGGAGGCACAGATGAGGAGAGCATGTTCCTTCGAGGGATGTTTAGGAGGCTGGGCCGTGGGGACTTGGTGGTGGACCAGATGGAGGACGGGGGAGAAGCAGGCCACAGGTGACTCCCAGCTGCAGGTTCAAGGCCTCAGGGGGCCAGTGACGCCAGTTCCCAAGACGGGGAACGCCGGGAGCAATGGGCCCGGGAAGGAAGAGAATTGATGAATTTGGGACACGTTCAGCCTGGGACACCTGAGGACAAGTAGGTGGAGATGCTACGCTGGCAGGCAGAAGTGGGGTCCAGGCAGAGGCAGAGGGAGGAGGTGGCTCGCCTGCTAGAGGTCACTGAAGTGAGCCATGGCCAGTGGATGGCACCTGGCAGACCTGCGTGGGAAGGAATGCTCCCCTGCTGAACCCTAATCTCTGGAGCGAGGGAGGAACTTCGTCCTGTGGCAGGCCTGCCCGGCAGTGTTGCTGCATTCCGGGCAGCGGCAGCATCGGGCGAGGGTATGGGGTGGGAAGAGCGGACTCTGGTCTCAGCCCTGAGGAACTCTGCATCTGAGGAACAGGTGGAGGGGAAGCCGGCAGAGGGGGCTGAGCAAGAAACCCTGAGACATGGGGAGGACAAGGCTCTGTCCAGTACCGTAGAAGCCGCAGGAGGAGAGCTTCAGGCCAGGGCAAGCAGCCGAGTCAGAGCAGGGCGGAGGAGTGCCCACTGGACTCAAGTAAGAGGAGGGTGGAGGAGTGCCCCCTGGACTGGGGCCAGAGGAGGGTGGAGGAGTGCCCCCTGGACTGGGGTCAGAGGAGGGAGGAGGAGTGCCCCCTGGACTGGGGTCGGAGGAGGGAGGAGGAGTGCCCGCTGGACTGGGGCCGGAGGAGGGAGGAGGAGTGCCCCCTGGACTGGGGTTGGGGGAGGGAGGAGGAGTGCTCGATGGACTGGGGTCAGAGGAGGGCGGAGGAGTGCCCGCTGGACTCAGGGACACGAGGCCATCGGGGGCTTTGGGGGAAGCAGCTCTGATCATATGATGGAGGCCACACCAGAGTGCACCAGGAGCAAACAAACCCTGAGGCTTTTCCCATGACAAACTGTCCTAAAAAGGAAAGGATAGGCCCATCAATGAAAAGGAGCGTGGAATCCTGGGAAGAGCTGACTGTTCTGTGTTTTCAGATGTGGGTGGTGGAGCACGTGGTCGGTTATGATTGGGGTTGGCTGTGACACTATTTCGTTAGGAGAGAAGTTTAGAGGCCAGCAGTTTGTGGTGGGAATGGCAGCGCCTCTGTCATCAGACACCCACGCTGCCTCTTCCTTTCTGCTCACTGTCCTGGCCACTTCCGCCTGTGTCTCACTGGCCAGATCCCAGACACATGGCCCCACCCCGCTGCTTGGGCTTCTGTGGCCGAGGAGGAAGAGGAGAAGGGAATTGGTGGGTGACTGGCAGCTTCTGCCACATTCCGCTTAAATATTAATGAGAAATGCCAAAGTCACAGAGAAAGGAAGATGGTTTTTGGTTTCAGGTTCCTGAGAAGGCAGGGGTAGGGGGAGAGGCAGCTGTCCAAAGCCCAGGCGAGGAGACCAGGCTTTGGGAGAAGGACAGAAACGGCTTCCATGGCTCCTCTCCTGCGGGAGGGATGAGGGAGGAGGGGCTCGAGTCTGTAGATGTGGCCACAGAGGTCAAAGGCTCTCTGTCTGATGGCTTCTACATCATGAAGACAGCCGGGAGCTCTACCAAGAGTGTGAAGTGTGCAGAACAGGTCAGAGAATTTCAGAGAGTGGAGAAGATACAAAGCCCTCCTTAAACAAGATGGGGAATCAAATGGAGAAGCATGTGGGGGTTGCAGGTTAGTTCAAGATAGAACTCAAGAGCGCAGTTGACCAGGTAGATGTGGGCTTCCAGCAGGCTGGGAAGTTGGGGAGTGGACTCCCAGTAAGGCCAAGGAACAGCCTCGGAGGAGCCACTGGGCGGGCAGCTTGGAAGAGGGGCCAGCTCAGGAGGTGGGTGACTGGAATTCGGATTTGGGAGATGGTGCATTCCGAGGCAATGTCCAGGCTGTCCCTGACTGTGAGTGGAGCTGATGGCTGAGATGGAGGGAGATGATGTGGTGGAGAAGAGGAGGTGGAAGACCCAAGAAGCCAGGGCACCAAATGGGTCATCCACATGGCACCTGAGTTGTTTAGGATTGGGGCAGGAATTGGGCGTGAGCAAGACATAAAACAACGTCCTCGCAGCTCTGCTCGGCTCAGGGCTGTGAAGAGGCTGCCATGGGAAAGCAGTCGTGAGTTGGGTGTGTGACTCCCAAGCCCTGTATGGGACCCCAGGTGGTCTCCTGCGCCCATCCCTCCCCTCACTGGCCCAGCCTACCCAGGACTTCCACGGGCATCTGCTTCCCTCAGCTCAGAACCCCCAGCTCCACCCTTTGTAAGTTAAACTCCCAAACCCTAGCCTGGCGTTTGAGGACGCCTTTACCTGCAGAGTGCCGTGGCTCAGAGCAAAGACCCCTGATTCCGACCCCCTGGGTCTATTCTTGTGCCTGCCACTTAATATATGTGGGGCCTCAGCCAAGTTAACAAACCGCTTTGTGCCTCAGTTTCCCTCTATAAGATGGCGATAGTAAAGGACGTCTCTCTAGGGATTAAATGAGGTAACCTACATAAAGTACTTACAGGTGTTAGCTGCTATTTTAACTCCTCCTGGCCTCTTCGCACACGGGGCAGGCTACTGACCTCTTGGACCACTCGGAAGCCTCGCATTTTCCTGACTCCTGCCTCGGAAAGCTCTGCATGCCTTCCTCTCCTCTCTTCCTCAGTACGGAGCACCATGCCTCGGTAAGCTCTGCTATGCTAGTCCAGTGATGACTGGCCTGCCCTTCCCACTCCCACAGCTGGGCCCTAATTCAGGACAGCCTTGCCTCCTACCTGAACTCACACAAGACTGGCCTCGCTCATCTGTGCCCTCCCGCACTTGTTCTGATTCAGCTTATGCCCCCTAAAGAACAGTGGTGGCCTCTAGCCCACCAGGGGTTCCCCACCTCATTCAGAAAGGTGTGGCTCTTTCTTTCCTTTTTCTTTTTTCTTTTCTTTTCTTTTTAAAATTTTGAGATTGGCCGGGTGCAATGGCTCATGCCTGTAATCCCAGCACTTTGGAAGGCTGAAGCAGGTGTATCATCTGAGGTCAGGAGTTCGAGACCAGCCTGGCCAACATGGTGAAACCCCGTCTCTACCAAAAATACAAAAATTAGCCAGGCGTAGTGGCAGGCACCTGTAATCCCAGCTACTTGGGAGGCTGAGGCAGGAGAATTGCTTGAACCCAGGAGGCAGAGGTTGCAGTGAGCTGAGATCATGCTATTGCACTCCAGCCTGGATGACAGAGTAGTACTTTGTCTCAAAAAAAAAAAAAAAATTTGAGATGAAGTCTCACTCTGTTGCCCAGGCTGGACTGCAGTGGCATGATCGCGGCTCACTGCAACCTCTGCCTCCCAGGTTCAAGGATTCTCCTGCCTCAGCCTCCTGAGTAGCTAGGACTACAGGCATGCGCTACCAAGCCCAGCTAATTTTTTTTTTTTGTATTTTTAGTGGAATAGAAGTTTCACTATGTTGGCCCGGCTGGTCTCAAACTCCTGACCTCAAGTGATCTGCCTGCTGTGGCCTCCCAAAGTGCTGGGATTACAGGCGTGAGCCACCACACCCAGTCGTTTCATTTTCTTTTCTTTTCTTTTCTTTTCTTTTCTTTTCTTTTCTTTTCTTTCTTTCTTTCTCTTTCTTTCTAGAAAGAGCTGAGACTACAGATGCACACCACTCACCTGGCTAATGTTTTTAAAAAATATTTTTGTGGAGATAGGATCTTGCTATATTGCTCAGGCTGGGCAAATACTCCTGGTTTCAAGGGATCCTCCTATGTTGGTCTCCCAAAGTGCTGGGATTACAGGTGTGAGCCACTACAGCTGGCCCAGAGTGTTGTTTTTTTGTTTTGTTTTGTTTTGTTTTGCAGTGGTGTGATCTCGGCTCACTGCAACCTCCACCTCCCGGTTTTAAGTGATTCTCCTGCCTCAGCCTCCTAAGTAGCTGGGATTACAGGCATGCACCACCATGCCTGGCTAATTTTTTGTAGTTTTAGTAGAGACAGGGTTTCGCCATGTTGGCCAGGCTGGTCTTGAACTCCTGACCTCATGTGATCCATGCACCTTGGCCTCCCAAAGCGCTGGGATTACAGGTGTGAGCCACCATGCCTGGCCAGCCGTGTCTGTTTCTTGATGACACTCTAACACCCCTGATGACTGTTCAATACCCTCAACGACTGTCCAAGATGCACCATGACTGTCCAACACTCTTGATGATAGTCCAGTACTTTCCATAAGTTTCCACACCCTCCATGACTGTCCAGTACTCTTCATGACTGTCCAGTACTCTCAATGATTGTCCAGTACATTTGATGACTTTCTAATACTCTCCATGACAGTTCAAAACCCTCCATGGCTGTCCAATACATTCCACAATTGCCCAGTACCCTCCAGGACTGTCTAACACCCTCAGTGAGTGCCTAACACCCTCATTGACTGTCCAAATGAGCATCGTTTATGGAGGGAGCTGGTGCTGGCTGAAGAGGGGTGCTCAGTGGGGATATATTTGCATTTGGAAGGAAGAAATGTGTTTGAAAAATGGAGAAATGTAGGAGGGGCCTTCCCGGCAGGAAGGAGCACTTGGGCACTGGCAGGTGCTGGCAGGCAGCAGAGGGAAGCTGGGGAGGGCAGGCACAGTGGCCAGCAGCAGGAGGTGAGGCCTGAGACTTTTCCTGCTCCCTGGACTGATTTTCCAGCAGGTGCCTGCCTTGTTCACTGTGGGGTCCTGGTGTACCCTTGATGACTATCCAATACCGTCAGTGACTGTCCAGTACCCTCGATGAGCATCCAATACCCTCCATGACTGTCCAATACACTCAGTGCATGTTCAGTACTCTCAATGATGGTACAATGCCCTCGATGAGCATCCAATACCCTCCACGAGTGTCCAGTATCCTCCATGAGCATCCACTACCTCCATGAGTGTCCAATACCCTCCATAACTGTCCAATACTCTTCATGACTGTCCAATGCCTTCAATGGACATTCTAGCTGGGCCACACTCTCAAACACCCTCCTACAGCACCCTTCCATACATCCTTGTTCATTTCCCCAAACTCCCCCAAAAGAACAAACCAGCATGGTCCTGCTTTGTCCTGCAGACCCCTGGGAAGGTCTGACCCCACTACAGGCCTCCAGGTACCTCCAGCCTGTCCAGTCTCCTCCATGGTAACTCCCACCCACCCACACTGCTCTGTGCATCTCTGCCTCTGTTGGGCAAGGCCCCTAGAGCCTTGAGCTGACGTCTCACCCACGTGGCTCAGCACAGGGCCATTAGTACCTGCCGACACCCTTCCCTCACCAGGCTGCAAGAACAGAGCCAGTGTGCATGTTAGCTGCATCCCTGGAGAAACTGGGGCAAAGATGAAAGGCTGACTCTTGATTTGGGAAGTGAAAGCCCAGGGCTGTGAGGGTGAAGCTGGGAAAGAGGCCAGGCAATGCTGTGCACAGCCACCCTGACCACCACTCCCAAAGGAGATGCCATGGCCCCACCTCAGAGAGAAAGGAGGGTGCTGTCTGTTGCAAACCCAACGTCTCCCAGTCCCCCGGGACCCCACAGGGAAGCCAAGTGGCATGTCCTGGACGGTGATGTTTCAGCCAAACTCCAAGGTGAGAGTCAACCTGCATTAGGGGAAACAGCAGGCAGCCGGGAACCTGAGAGGTGCCCGGGATTGTGTTCACAGCGTAAGGGTTCCCAGCATGGGGATGGATGAACGCCGGGCTCAGCTGCCTTCCACAAGACAAAGCAGCCACAGGCAGGGGCCGGCCCTCTGTGACAGTGAGGGATCTGTGTAGAAAGGCCTGGCCACGGCCTCCTTTCTCTCCTCAGGCTCTCAACGAGCACGCCTGGCTGAGGAGCTTCTTAGAGGCCTGGGAATGGGTCTGGAGGAGGAGCCAGCACTAAAGACACAAGGAAAGACAGTTTCACAGTCACCGCTTTGCAGCAAATAGAGCCACAGGCTGCCCCAAGGGCCACCACATAGTCTTTTCCCCCGAACCCCGCCCCACCCCAACCCTGACTCACCCTGACTCACTTCCAGTGGGGCCACCACTGCTGGCCCAGCAGCCCTTCTTTGGCCTGCTGGTGTCTTGGGCATTGCGTGTGTGTGGGGGGGTGTCCACCTTCTCTCTCCTTTCACCTGCATCAGACCACTACTCGCCTTCTGTATCCTTCCACCCAGGGCCCTCTTCACTTTGCATTCTTTTTCTTTCACATTAGACCCTGAGGGTCAGGTTCCCTTTCTGCAAAGGCCAGGATAGCTTGATTTCTAGAACTTCCTAGGTGTAAGGGGAGATAGTTGCTTGCTGTCCCGGGAAGTGTGCTCAACCCTGGAGTGGGTTGGATCCTTCTTATGCAGCAAAAAAAGTGAAGAGAGTGGCCAGGCTCAGTGGTTCATGACTGGAATCCCAGCCCTTTGGGAGGCCAAGGCAGGAGGATCGCTTGAGCCCAGGAGTTTGAGACCAGCCTGGCCAATATAGTGAGTTTCCATCTCAACAAAAAATCAAAAAATCAGCTGGGTGCAGTGGCACACACCTATAGGGCCAGCTATTCAGGAGACTGAGGTGGGAGGATCCCTTGAGCCCAGGAAGTTGAGGCTGCACTCCAGCCTGGGCTACTAAGTGAGACCCTGTCTCAAAAAAAAAAAAAAAAAGCTTGAAAGAGAAAAAAATTGCAGTTTCCTTATGAAACCAGGCTGCGCGTTGCTTTCCCATCTCACATCACTGAGAGGTTTGTCGTCTGGGCTCTAACAACAGGCCGGGATCCAGAGATGAACAGGGCCACGTGCCTGCTCTCAGCTCTGCTTGGTGGCATCTGAGTGAAGACAAGGGTGGTTTAGCAGAGGGACGTGCTGGCCGCAGGCTGCTTGGGGTCCCTGGTGACTCCCAGTGGCCTCGGTGTGTTGGGGCAGGGTGGGATTGTGCTTCTCTGGCCCAGCCCCATGACCTAGGCTTTAAGGCAAACAGTGGGGCTGCTTCAACACTGTGGGTGGGGGGAACTTGGAGCTATAAGATGCCATCCGAGCCTCCGTTCAGAAAGACCCTGGACTCCCACCCCTCTGGAACTGAGACCTGAGGAAGGGCACCCAATCCAGACCCTCCCTTTCCTGGTGCTCCAGCCCCTCTGCCATCCTGGTGCGGGGAGCTGAGGTCTGTGCATGGGTTTGCTTTGTCAGAGCCTGAGGCAGATGCCAGGGTGAGCACAAAGCCACACTGTGTTCCCTGGGAGGCGCTATGGACCCACACAGCCGGCTGAGCCCCATCTCGGCTCTGAGGGGCTCTGCGCCAGTGGATGCCTCCGTAGGGCCTGAGGTCAGAACTCCCTGCCCACCTGCTGCCTGCATACCTGGCAGACACCCCCTACTCCAGCAGCCTGGGACCCAGATTGTCCAGGACAACTCCAAGTATAAAAACCCCTCCCATGGTCAGACTCAGGCTGGGGGTCCTGATTTGGGGTTTGGAAAATAAAGCTATGGAACACATGCCAGCATGTGCCCCAAGACATCTGCAGGGAACAGGTTGCCTGTCACCTTCATCACTGTCCTGACCCAACTGCACAAACCTTCCTAAGCTTCCATCCTCCTGATCAAAGCACCTCCACACTGAAACTGCTTCATTCATGCCGGTGTTGAGGGGTGTGAATGAGTTCCCCAGAACACCAAGCGAATGAAGCCCATGGCATTAAACTCATCCTGTGAAGCTGGAAACACATTCAGAGGAGTAAGTGATTTGCCTGAGGTCACCCTGCAGAGCAGGGGTTTATAATGGAGGAGGGGTGCAAAGTGCTCCGAGAGCAAGGCCCCTCCTGCAGATATGGAGAAAGGCTTCCTATGGGAGGTTTGACCGGGGGAAGAGTCACTCTCCAGGGCTAGAACAGGAAGGGCTGCCTAGCAGGGTGACGGCAGGTGCAACTCTGCAGAGGCATGAGGCAGTGGTGCCTGCAGAAAAGGAACCAGGCACACAGGGGAGGAGTTGGCTTCGTTGAATTCTGGAATCAGCTTCAGGAGGAATGCTAAGTCCTAAGCCCTTCTTCTCAGAGATGAGGAAACCCAGCTTCAGAGAGTTCTGGAGCCTGGCGAAGGCTCTGCAGCTGGTGTACTGGGAGCCCAAGCCTGCAGGTCCAGACCACGGCCCAGCGATGGCCTCTCAGAAGCACAACCCCAGGCCCCGAGAAGTCACATGATCTGGCTGGCAGAAGTGGCAGCCCCTCTGGGCAGGAAGCCCGTCTCCAGTGCTGAGTCATGCTGTCTCTGGCCAGTGGCACGGGGTGGCCCAGCTGTGGTGACTGCTAGGACTTCTGCTCCCCAGGCCTTCCAGCCTCCCTGGGTCCGCCCAGCTGCATGCCAGCCAGCGCACTGCCCTCCCCAGGACGTGGGGTGTCGGGAGGCCACCAGCCTCCAACCCTCCCTGCCTCTCACACTGCATGTGCAGGCCGGTGGCCCGCCCACTCGAGGGCTGTGAGGGAGGAGTGTCCGAACTGGAAGTGCAGGGCTGCAGGCTGTGTGCAGGGAGCTGGTGCTGGCTGAGGAGGGGTACTGGGAGGGGGCACATTTGCATTTTGAAGGAAGAAATGTGTTTGAGAAGTGGAGACAGGCAGGAGGGGCCTTCCAGCAGGAGGGAGCGCTTGGGCTCGGGCAGGCAGCCTCTCCTGTGGGCAGCAGAGGGAAGCTGAGGAGGGCGGCCCAGGGGCAGCAGCGGGAGGGGAGGCCCAAGGCTTTTCCCACTCCCATGAAGTCAGGAGGTGGAGGTCCTGGAAGCAAACCCTGTAGAGGGGTCCCACTTCCTGCATTCTTCCCTAGCTATAAGGCTCTGGGAGGGCCTCCCTTCCAGGGAGCAGCCTGGTTAGGAAGAGGAGAGCCTGGGAGCTGAATAGAGAGGCAGAGGCAGGACCCTGGCCCGGGCAGGAAGGGCTGGGCAGCACCGGGCTCCACGGGTGGGGCCGGCCACCGTTAGGGTGTCACTGGCCTCTGCCCTTAGTGGGGCAGTCAAGCCCACGGCCACTTTCGGGCAGCACGGCCTCTGTTAGACCATGCTGAGATGGCAGGGGAGGGAAAGGATGGGCCTTCGTGGGTGGGGACTCCACCAAAGCATCGCTGGGAGGCCATGGTTCTAAACCAATTACTCCTGACTCCTGGGCACACAGCCCTGGCCCCTCTGAGCTGATGCCTCCTCTGGGACCTCATAGAGGGTAACCAGGGCCTCCTGGGAAGGTGACAGAAGCGGCAGCAGTCCTGGAACCCCAACCAGCAAATAGCCCCCCCGCCCCCGACGGGAGCCCTGCAGCCTGCGGCCGTGTGCAGCCAGAGCTGGCCAGGTGCCCGAGCGCCTGCAAAGCACTCTCAGCTTTGTTTGCTTGCTGGTGCCCTGTCCACCCCTCCCGAAGGCAGTGATGGGGACAGCTTCTGCCCACGGTGGCTTCAGGGCAATGGGAAGTGAAGGAGGGGGTGCCGCAGTGTGGGTGGCACCAGCAGTGGGCTGGGTGGAGTCAGGAGGTGGATTCTCGGGTTCTCATCCGGAGCTGCCCCTGGCTCACAGCCTGGCCCGGGATCCATCTCGCCTCCCTCCGCCGGTACCTGCCACGGATGGGAATTTCAGGCCCCAGTCCCCTGGAGCCTCCTGTGACCCTCTAGGTCATGGCATCCAAGAGGTTGAAAGTAGCAGTCCAAGCTGGGGACTCTGCTGGCAGCCTGTCTGAGCTCCACGAAAGTGGGCACAGATGGGACCATTTTCTCCCCACGTGAGGACACCGTGCTGCCCAGATCACCCAGCTCAGCCCCGATGATACACCCAGGCCCCGAAAAGCTTTGCCTTGGAAAGAAAACGTAACTTAGGTTACTCCTCTGTTTTACTCTCTAGAAGGGGAAGAGGGCAGGCAGGGACCCTAGATCCTGGGGCTCTGTTCTTTTAATATAGAAGGGAGAAAAAGCTGATAAATTTGGGGGTGGGGCCAGTTCATTGGTTCAGCCAGTATTTCTTGAGCATGCTTTCTGCTGCAGCCTGTCCAGGCTTTGCACACAGAGATGAATAAAGGACACAAGCCCCTGCCTGCAGGAAGCCCACATTTTGATGAACTCACACTTTTGAAGACAGGCAAATATTCAGCTTATAACAAAAAGGTGGCATTAGACTATTCCATAAGCACTTACAAGTACACAGGGGGCGCAGGAAAGCCTCCGGCAGTGCCAGGATTGGGGGAGGCCAGTGAGGCTCTCATCTTGTACACAGAATAGAAAGGGCACCCAAACTCGGTCATCAAGAGAAACATTATTTTAGTGCAATGTTTGTTAAACTAAAAATTAATATAAAAATTTGTGATGAACAAAACATCAAAATTGTAAATAGAGACAAGACTGATTATTTTATGATGTGTGTGATTATACAATGGGAACAACAGCTTCCAATCAGCCCGCAGTTCCTGGCCAGGTGGCCATCGAGTCCCCTGGACAGCTTGATGATGACACAGAGGTTGGTGATGCCATGTGAACAGATTGGGCAACTCAGGGCTTTCTATACAGTCGCGGCTTTTGACTGGAGAGCCTCATTTTCCACTTGATTCAAAGGTGGGAAGTATTTTTATAAGCATCTAGAGGGGCGGGTATGAGGCTCCTCCAGCCTGAGCTCTGTCTCGTGTGGCCCAGCATGCACTGGCCTTCGGAAGAGCATCTCAGTGGGTTTCCAAGTGGGAGGAGAGTAGAAGACACAGGAATACCATTCAGTTGACCCACCAAGTGGACAGAGAAAAATGATCATTTTTTTTTTTTTTCCTGAGACAGTCTTGCTTCGTTGCCCAGGCTGGAGTGCAGTAGCATGATCTTGGCTCACTGCAATCTCTGCCTCTTTGGCTCAAGGCATACTTCTGCCGCAGCCTCCTGAGTAGCTGGGACCACAGGTGTGCGCCGCCATGTCTGGCTAATTTTTTAATTTCTGTAGAGATGGGGTTTCACTATGTTACCCAGGCTGGTCTCAAACTGCTGAGCTCAAGTGATCTGCCTGCCTCGGCCTCCCAAAGGTGAGCCACTGCACCTGGCCGGAAAAAAAATTTAACAGTTTTATTGAGATACGATGTACATACCATACAATTCACCCATTTAGAATGCACATTTCAATGGTCTTCCATAGATTCACAGAGTTGTGCACCCATCGCCACAATAAACTTTAGGATATTTTCATCAACCGTAAAAGAAGCCACATACATTTTAGAGTTATTCTCCATTTCTCTCCAAACCCCACCTGCCCTTCCTCCTCCAGCCCTAGGAATGACAAATCTACTAGGAAAATGAGATAACTTTTGCACTGGAAGTTGGATCTTTGCAGATCCTAGATCTGTCTTGGCAGCGTTGACACAAGTGTGTGCCAACACGATGACCCTGCACCTCACTGGGAAAGTCTTCACACACCCACACGGTCAGTTCCTAGTGCTTCTCCTCACACGTGCTCTATTTTATTTCAACTACTTTTTCACGGAAATTTTCTAAGATATGGTGAGAATGGCCCCATTTTCCTCCTATTCCTTAATAATAGGATCCCCAAGTTTTTGGAACTGCAAAGATCCCAGTTAAAGGATTACACATTTTCTGGCCTTCTTAATAGGCTGTGTGATGAAGTTCTGGCTGAAGAGTTGTGAGCAGAAGTGTTGTGTTGCACTTACCATCTCCTTAGAAGGATGGGGACAGCCCTTTTCCCTTTTCTTCTTCCTTCCACCTGGAATAAGGAAGTAAATGCTAGAGGTTTTGCAGCCATTCTGGGCCATGATGTGACTTCGGGAATAAAGACCATGCAGGGCAGAGAAACAGGAGATAAGAAGACTGGGTCCCCATTAGCTGGCACTGCCATTTTATTCCCAGACTGTCTGCCTCTCAGCTACTTAAAAACAGAAAATCAATCAACTTTACTGAGTTACAATTCAGAGAAAATAAAATGCACCCATTTTAAGAGTTTAATTCAACGAGTTTTGACAAATGTTGACACCCACGCAAATGCCATCTCAGTTAAGATACAGAGCATTCCCACAAATCACAGAAGCTTCCTTGTACCCCTGGCAGTCCATCTTCAGTGCTCCTCCCCCACCACACCTGCCGCAGTAACCACCTATCTGCTTTCTGTCCTATAGATTCATTTTGCCCTGGGCTACTTTTCCAAGAGCAAGAACTAAACGTTCATCTCGCTGAAGCCAATATTTTCCAGGCCTCTATTATTTGCAGCTGATTCGAATGCAAAACTGAATATAGATATATTACAGCTTCAAATAGAGGCCCCTAAACACTGTAATATTTTCTTGATAACTCCAGACCATCGTTAGACACCCTGTGCTTTAGATCGGTTTCCTGGGAAACAGATTTGGAGATGAGATTTGCCAGCAGGAGGTTTAATAGAGAGGGCCTTCAGGGACACACCTGTGTAGTAAGTGCGGGGCCACAGGATGGGGCAGCCCCCACAGAGGGTGCGCTACGGCTTCAGAGATGGCCTGGGCAGGGGCCTGAGCTTTGGTGTGCCCACACTGACCAGTCATCGGAAGTGGGCTATCCCTGGGGACACGCGAACCTTAGCCTACGGCAGTACCCAGGGAGTGACTCAGCCATGAGCCATCAGCAGGCAACACCCGCAACCACTGAGGCAGTGGATGTCTTGGCACTGATGGGAGTCAGGAGCTACATCGCCATGGCCAGGATACCACGTGTGCTGCTGGTTTCCCCCGGGGCTACTTAGATGTGAGGGTACTTCTCGCATCTGCCCTGCACCCCCCAGCAGCCACTCCACACTCTCCTGCACCCCAGGCCCTGGTACCCATGAATCTACCATAGGCCTCCAGGGCTCTGCCTGTCCATAGCCCCTGCTCTCTGTGTGATTTGTCTGATGGGCACATGCCTGGCGCTTGGTGGGTCCCGAAGCTGTGAGGGCAGCAGAGGCCTGGCCTTGGGGTCAGGGCCAGGAGTGTCAGGAGAGCTCTGCGCCTCCCAAGCCCCTGCTCATCTTCCTCCGAGTTCTCCGTGTGCTCTTCCTGGATCCCCTCCCGGTATCACCGCCACGCCTGGGAGGCGGGGGTTTCAGATCCCTTCTGTCTTCTGTCTCCTGAGCCGCCCCTTGTTGAGGATGAGTGTCTCTAGTGGCCATTTCTGACGTCTTTCGACATACGTGACTTTGGCGATGCGTGCTCCTGGCCTGATCCTTCTTCACTGTAAGCTTCACAGTGACTTCTCTGACCCTACTCGAAAGACCTGGCATGTCATATCCTTCTGAGCCACTGGCATTCTTCTGCCCCAGGAACACCCCACTGCCTCCCATTCCCGCCTTCGTTTCGGCATGCCGCCTGAGGCTTCTCCGGAACTCAGCCCACCAGTTCTCTATCAACCATCCCCTCCGTCCACACCTACAGCTTCCCCTCTACTTGGTTCCAGGACTGTCTTCCCAAAAGCCAATGTTCCTGGAACCTTGACTGTTAGACAGGCTGGATGTTACCATAGAGCAGAATCCAGAGTTAACAAGAGATGACATAAGGGATAAGGGATGCTTTTCAAATGCTACTTTTTAAATGAAAAATATTTTTAAATATAGAGGAGTACAGAGAATAATATATCAGACACGCATATATTATTGTTTCCAAAAACACTGTTTTATTATTAAAATTTATTATTGTTTCCAAAAACAGTGTATTTGGAAACAATGCAATGTCAGGTGCAGGTGAAGTCTCCTTTCTATCACCCCAGTCTCTCTCACCTGCCCTGTCCCAGAAGCAATCACTACCCTGAATCTACATTCTGTCTGATACTTTTACCACATTCTAATCTATTCAAATATACTCTCTCTCTCATTCTATATATATATGTGTATATATACACATATATATACACACACATATATACACATATATGTATACACACACATATACATATATACATATATACGTGTATACGTATACGTATATACGTATATATACATATATGTATACGTATACGTATATACGTATATATACATATATGTATACGTATACGTATATACGTATATATACATATATGTATACGTATACGTATATACGTATATATACATATATGTATACGTATACGTATATACGTATATATACATACATATGTATACGTATACGTATATATGTATATATACGTATATGTATACGTATACATATATACGTATATATACGTATATGTATATGTATATACGTATATGTATATATGTACATATACACATATATACACACACACATATATATATATACACACACATATATACACACACACACACACATATATATATATTTTTTTGAGATGGAGTCTCCCTTGGTTACTCAGACTGGAGTACAGTGGCACCATCTTGGCTCACTGCAACCTCTGCCTCCGGGTTCCAGCAATTCTCATGCCTCAGCTTCCCAAATAGCTGGGACTACAGGTGTCCACCACCACACCTGGCTAATTTTTGTATTTTTAGTAGAGATGGGGTTTCACCACGTTGGCCCAGCTGGTCTCCAACTCCCGACCTCAGGTGACCGGCTTGCCTTGGCCTCCCAAAGTGCCGGGATTACAGAGGTGAGCCACCATGCCCGGCCTAAATATACATTATGTTGTGTTGCATGTTTTAAATGCACGTATACAGTAATTACTATATGGTTCTATTCCTTGCTTTTCAAAATTCAACATCACTTCAGAGATTAATCCATATTGATTCACATGTCTAGCTAGTTGGTTTTAACTGCGTTTCAGTAGTCTGTAGTGAGAGTATCACATGCTGTATGTACTCCTCCCTCTATTGCTGGACATTGGGGCTGCTTTCAGTTCTGTTGTACAATGTTGCAATGGCATCCTTGCACATGGCTTCTGGACTCTGCAGGGAAGTTTCCTGAGGGTAGGTAACCAGAGGGAGCAATTGCTCGGCTGAGGACGTGCCTCTTCAACCTTCCTGGATTTTGCCAGATTGCTCTCCAAAGTGCTTTTCCCAATTTACACTCCTCCCCAGTGTGTGTGGAACCCACCCCCCCCCCCCCAATTCCTCCTCCATCCCTGGCATGGCTGGGTGGGAAATGCGATCTCACTGTGACTATTTTGCCTTTCCTCGTCCTGGATAAAGTTGAGCATCTTTCTTACATTTATTGGCCATTTGGATTTTTTTCTTCTGTGAAATTTCTCTTTCACCTTATAAAAGGGTTTTGCCCTTCAGGTTTCCTCTAATGTCATGTTCCAGCAGTACTTAAGAAAGTGTAGTCCCTGGCTGGGATAGAGGCTTTAGGAGGCTGAGGCGGGAATATTGCTTGAGGCCAGAAGTTTGAGATCTCCCTGGGCAACATAGTGAGACCCTGTCTCTACTAAAAATTTAAAAGTTAGCCAGTTGTGGTGGCACATCCCTGTAGTCCCAGCTACTCAGAAGCTGAGGTGGGAGGATTGCTTGATCCTGAGCATTTGAAGTTGCAGTGAGCTATAATGGAGCCACTGCATTCCAGCTTGGGCAACATAACCAGACTCTGTCTCAAAAGAAAAAAAAAAAAAGTGGCACCCCACAGGCCAGGTAAGGTATGGAGGAAAAAACCTTCCTTAGGCATCTGTAGTCCAGGGGCTGGCTCCCACCTGACATTTATTATCTATATGATTTGAGGTAAATGTCCTCCTTTCTGCTTTTTAAAAAGGCGTATTTATTTTTAATGTATGCAACTCAGGTTTTCAGTATATTCACAAAGCTGTGCAACCATCACCACCACTCTAATTCCAGAAAGAAACCCTGTCCCTACTAGTGGTCACGCTCTTCTGCTGTCAGCCTCTGGAGGCCACACATTAATTGTTGGTCTGTGTGGACTTGCCTATTCTGGGCATTTCATATAGATAAGATCATACAGTATGTGGCCTTTTGTGTCTGGCTTCTTTCAGGTCGCATAATGTTTTTGGGGTTCAACATGTTGCAGTATGTAACCATATTTCATTTCTGTTTATGGCTGGATAACGTTCCATGATACAGATACACCACATTTTGTTTATCCATTCTTCAATGATGGGTCTTGGGGTTGTTTCCACTTTGTTGGTATCATGAGTAGTCTTGCTATCAGGATTCACATGCAAGTTTTTGTGTGGACATAGCTTTTCACTTTTCTGGGGTACATACCCAGGCACAGAATTGCAGGGTCATATGGTAGCCTCTATGTTTAACTTTTTGAGAACTGCCACACTGTTTTTCACAGCCAATACACCATTTTGTATTTCTACCACCAATGTGTGTGGGTTCCAGTTCCCCCACATCCTCACCTCTCCTGTTATTGTCCACCTTTTGGATTCCAGCCACTCTAGCAGTGTGAGGTGGTATCTCACTGAGGTTCTGATTTGCATTTCCTTGGTGACTAATGATGTTGAACTTATTTTCATGTGCTTATTGGCCAATGTCTATCTTCCTTGGAGAAAGGTCTACTTATATCCTTTCTTATTTTTAAAATTGGGTCATCTGACCCAATTTTACTTATTGTTTCATTGTTGACTTGTAAGAGTTCTGTATATATTCTAGATGCAAGTCCCTTGTCAGATACATGACTTGCAAATATTTTCTCCCATTCTGTGGGCTTTCTTTTCACTTTCCCAATGGTGTCCTTTGAAGCAAAAAAGTTTTTCATTTTGATAAAGTCCAACTTATCAACCTTTTCTTTGGTTGCCTGTGCTTTTTGGTGTCATATCTAATAAACTACTAACTAATACAAGGTCATGAATATTTATGCTTATGTTTTCTTCTAAGAGTTTTATACTTTTAGCTCTTACATTTAGGTCTGATCCATTTTGAGTTAATTTTTGTATATGGTGTGAGGTAGGGATCCAACTTTATTTTTTTGAATTTGGCCATCCCTTGGAGAATCACTTGAATCCAGGAGGCGGAAGCTGCAGTGAGCCAAGGTTGCACTATTGCACACCAGCCTGGGCAACAAGAGTGAAATTCTGTTTCAAAAATAAAATAAAATGAATTTTGCCATCCTGTTGTCCAGCACCATTTGCTGGAAAGACTATTCTTTTTTCCCATTGAATTGTCTTGGCATCTTTGCCAAAAATCAACTGACAATAATTGAGAGAGTTTATCTCTACATTTTCAATTTTATTCCATTCATCTAGATCTCTGTCCTTATGCCAGTACCACACCGTCTTGATTACTGTAGCTTCGTAATAATGATATAGTTTCCCCAGAGGTAAACTAGAAAGCATGTTTCTTGCTTGCCTCAGAGGACTATCTAGGCCAGTAGTTCTCAAAGTGTGGTGCCTGGACCAGCAGCATTACATAGAAACTTGTCAGAAATGCAAATTCCCAGGCAACACTCCAGACTTGCTGAATCTGAAACTCTGGGGGTGGGGCCTAGCAATCAGCATTTTAACAAGCCCCGCAGGGGATTCTGATGTACCCTAAAGTTTTGCATTCACAGGTCTCTATGTGTGCTGTCCAATGTGTTAGCCACTAGCCACATATGACTATCAAGCACTTGAATTGCAGCTAATCCAAATTAAGAAATGCTGTAAGTGTAGAACACACACTGAATTTCAAAGACAGTAGTATAAAAAAATACAAAATATCTCATTCATAATTTTTAGATTGATTACATGTTGAAGTAATAATATGTATATATACATATATGATTAACATTATGTCCATCCCCCATTAGTCATGGAGCTATATGTTTCAGGGAGAAATTCACCTACTGTTCCTTGCAGGGCACGTCCTTGGCATATGCACCAGGAGCTCTAGCTCCCAGAACAGGAACCATCATCAGAAGCAGAGCTGGAAAGGCAGGCAGCCTTTTCCGGTTCAAACTGGTTTGAAGCAGAGGTCAGAGCTGCTGCTTGTGTTTGGCTTTGGGTTTTGTGTTTTAGCATGAGCGTTCTGCAGCCAGCCAGACTCTGGGCTACTCCCCTCTCTCCACTGACATGGAAAAGATGTCTGTGTGTTGTGCGGAGCCCCCGGCTGGGGCTTCTGACTTCCATGTTGGGGCCTGAGCTGCCGCTGATGTGGCGTCCCAACCTGTACTGGACAACCATGTGTCATGGCCTCAGGCTTGCCTCCACCCCACTGTGTAAACCAGCAAGGGCACAGAAGTCCAACCCAACTCTGTGGAGCCACTACTGTCACCACAAAGGGGTCCCAATCCAGACCCTAAGAGCGGGTTCTTGGACCTCGCACAAGAAGGAATTGGGAGCCAGTCCACAGAGTAAAGTGAAAGCAAGTTTATCAGGAAAGTAAAGGAATAAAGAATGGCTACTCCATAGGCAGAGCGCAGGGGCATGGGCTGCTCAACTGATTATACTTATAGTTATTTCTTGATTATATGCTAAACAAGGGGTGGATTATTCATGAACTTCCCAGGAAAGACATGGGCAACTCCCAGAACTCAGAGCTCTTCTCCCTTATAGACCATATATGGTAACTTCCTGATGTTGCCATGGCATTTGTAAACTGTCGTGGCACTAGTGGGAGTGTATTTTAGCCGGCTAACACATTACAATTAGCATATAATGAGCAGTGAGGATGACCAGAGGTCACTCTTGTCGCCATCTTGGTTTTGGTGGGTTTTGCCCAGGTTCTTCACTGCAACCTGTTTTATTTTTTGTTTTTCATTTATTTTTTCTTTTCTATGTCCCCCCCATTCACAATACAGACCAGGCACAGGGCCTGGGCTGAGGTGTATATTAGGTAGGTTTACTCTAGCTCCTCTTTCTGTACAGCCAGTGTAAGAACGCAGCCTGTGGGTAAGTACCAGGAGGCCTACCGCAACGTGTTTTATCAGCAAGGTCTTTGTGACCTGTACCTTGTGTCGACCTCCTATCTCATCCTGTGACTTAGAATGCCTAACCGCCAGAGAATGCAGTCCAGCAGGTCTCAGCCTTATTTTACCCAGCTCCTCCTCAAGATGGAGTCACTCTGGTTCAAATGCCTCTGACACTACTTGAAGATGTGTAGTCCAGGAGCACATTTCACATTTTACAAAGCCATTTCCCATTCCTTGGTGCCTTGGCCTCCCTCCCTTGGGTCATCTGAGAGAGAGCCCTCAGGGGGAAAGGAACTCAGAGAGGTTGGGTGTCTGCTCAGGTGATGCCGATAGCGTATGCTGAGCTGGGCCAGCACCGGTGGGCTCCGACTGATGGCTGCGATGGCTTTCTTTATTTGTGTGGGCAGAGTGGTCAGTCAGTGGGAGGATGATGATGAGGGTGAGGACATGACAACGAAGTAACATGCCCATCACTTCTTGAGGAGCTACCTCACCAGAGGCCCTTTGCACACATTGCCTCTTTTAATCCAAGCGAGACATGATTCATATGCACATTTTACAAATTAGAAAATTGGGACCCTGGATTGGGGCCTAATCAGGGTTGCTAAAGGGAATGCTTTAAGTTTGCTAATGAGGAGGAGGGAACAGCGAGTGGGGGAGGAGGAAAGCAGCTGTTTTTTGGGTTTTTTTGAGACAAGGTCTGGCTCTGTCACCCAGGCTGGAGTACAGTGGCATGATCTGGACTCACTGCAACCTCCACCTCCCGGATTCAAGCCATTCTCCCACCCCAGCCTCCCAAGTAGCTGGGACTACAGGCATGCGCCACCAGGCTTGGCTAATTTCTGTAATTTTAGTAGAGATGGGGTTTCACCATGTTGCCCAGGCTGGTCTCAAACTCCTGGGCTCAAGTGATCCACCTGCCTCGGCCTCCCAAAGTGGTGGGGTTACAGGCATTGAGTTTTCTTTTTTTTTTTTTTTTTTTTTTTTGAGAGCATCCAATGTTAGCTCATTTAAGGCTCTCGACCCCCCCAAGAGGTAGTTCGTAGGTCAAGCTGTCTACTTTATAGAAGAGCCTGGGAGTCCAGGGTTATCTGACTTGGAGTCCTGTTCATTTTCCTGGGTACCTCCAAAGGCCGCTCGGTGAGTGGACAGTGCAGTTCTGGAGCCCTCCCCTGGCAAGTCCCGCTCCGGCCCATACCCCGCCCTGTTCCCCAGCAGCCACGGTCGGGTAGAGGGGTCAGGGAAGCAGGGCAAGAGGGTAAGGCACTGCTCAAGAAACAAAACCAGGTCCTTAACGTCCCTAGTCCTGCCGGGCAGTGTCCCAGGACCCCGGCCTTGAGATTAGAGAGAGGCAGAGGGCATACGGAATGGGAAATAGAAGAAAATGTACCAGGACATGCTTCCTGTCTTATGCTTAGACTGCCATGACGAAATACCACAGACTGGGTGGCTTCAACAACAGAAAGTTATTTCTCAGAGTTCCGAAGGCTGGAAGTTCAAGATCAAGGCACTGCTGGCTGATTCCTTTTCTGGTAAGGGCCCACTTTCTGGCTTGTAGACAGTCACCTTTGTGCTGTGTTCTCGCATGGCCTTTCCTTGGTGCATGGAGAGGGAGAAAGATTTTTCTCTCTTCCTTTCTAAGACCACCAATCCTATGACTTACAACTCCTTTAACGTTAAGTACCTCCTAAAAGTCCTATCTCCAAATACAATTACATTAGAGGTTAGGGCTTCAACAAAGGAATTGGGGTGGTGGTGGTCCACAGCAGGGGAGGGGATATTTTAGTTTATCTTGAGCTTGCAAGGATGAAGGGGAAAGAGCGGGGGTGGGGGGGTGGCATCGGAACCTGCCTCTGAGTCACACTTCCTGGATGAGCCATGGGCCACAGCATCTGTATCAGGAGTGGTTACAAAACAGCGTGCCTCAGGGATAAACAAGCTGACCTAATGATCCAATTTTCCCAGCTCTGGTCCATCTACAGATTTGAGGCAGGATCCAGTGATTCTGCTGGCTGACTGGTCATGGTAAATTTCCAACTCTCCCCTTTCCAGGCACGGCTTTGGTTTCCTGCTGCAGCTGCTGCTGGGGAGTTATCAGGGCATTTCCTCCGCCTGTGAGCTCCTGGGGTCAGGGGAAGGTTGGGTGGCCAGAGATGCTGCCTCTACCCTAAGTCAGCGTCACCCATGCTATTCCCAGCAGCTGCATTTCTCCACTCTGTAATTACAAATGAAACTGGGGAATAGAATCAAAAGAGTACCTAGAAACAAGCTAGCCTCTACTTCCTCAAACATTCTGGGGCAGGAGTTTGTGCGCTGGAACAATGTTATTTGCAAGATTCTCCCTGGTGGATATACACTCAAGTATTAAAGTGCTACAAGGAATTAAAAAAAGAATAGTATTTCTTCCAGAGCCTGTGTGGGCCCAGCACAATGACACTGAATCTGGCTGTTAAACCTGGCTGTTGCTGATTCTAATATGTGGCCTTGGACATTTCATTTTTCCAAGTATAGCTTTCCTCATCTGTAAAATATGGAAACAATCTTTAGAATGTCGGAGATAGTGTATGTAAAGGTACTTCAGAAACAATAAAGTCCAAATCCCAATGACATTTTTTGCAGAAATAGAAAAACCCATCCTAAAATTCATATGGAATCTCAAGGGGCCCTGAACAGCCAAAACAATCTTGAAAAAGAACAAGGCTGGAGGACTCACACTTCCTGATTTCAAAACTTACCACAAAGCTACAGTAATCAAAACAGTGTGGCACTGGAATAAAGCTTGACATATAGATCAATAGAATAGAATAGAGAGCCCAGAAACAAACCCTTGAATATATGGTCAAATGATTTTTGGCAAGGGTGCCATGATCACTTAATGGCAAAAGGACAGCTTTTTCAACAAATGGTGCTGGGAAAACTGGATATCTACATGCAAAAGAATGAAGCTGGACCCTTACCTAACACCATATACAAAAATTAACTCAAAATAGATCAAAGACCTAAAAGTAACCTAAAACTATAGAATTTTTAGAAGAAAACTTGGAGCAAAATCTCCACAATGTTGGATTTGGCAGTGATTTCTTGGATATGACATTAAAGACACAGACAACACAGAAAAATAGACAAATTGGATTTCATAAAAATTTGGTGCATCAAAAAGCAAAATCGGGCTGGTGCGGTGTCTCACGCCTGTAATCCCAGCACTTTGGGAGGCTGCGGTGGGAAGATCACTTGAGGTCAGGAGTTGGAGGCCAGCCTGGCCAACATGGTGAAACCCCGTCTCTACTAAAAATACAAAAATTAGCCAGACCTGGTGGCGCACGCCTGTAGTTCCACCTACTCGGGAGGCTGAGGCAGGAGAATGGCGTGAACCCACGAGGCAGAGCTTGCAGTGAGCCGAGATCACACCACTGCACTCCAGCCTGGGTGACAGAGCAAGACTCCGTCTCAAAAACAACAACAACAACAACAACAACAACAACAACAACAACAACAACAAAGTGCTGGCGGTGAGGATGTGAAGAAATTGGAACCCTGTGCACTGTTTGGCAGAATGTAGAATGGTACACTGTGGAAAGTATTATTATGATGCTTCTTCAAAAAATTAAAAATAGAATGACCACATAATCCAGCAATTCCACTTCTGGGTATATACCCAAAACAACTGAAAATAAGATCTTGAAAAGATATTTGTGCACCCATGTTCGTCGCAGCATTATTCATAATTGCTAAAATGTGGATGCAACCCAATGATTTCTTGACAAACGAGTGGGTAAACACAATGTGGTATACACACACATGGAAATATTACTCAGCCTTAAAAAGGAAGGAAATTTGGACATACACTACATCATAGATGAATCTTGAGGACATTATGCTAAGTGAAATAATCCAGTTGCAAAAAGGAAATACTGTATGATTCCACTTATGTAAGGTATTAGAGAGGTAGTCATTATTTAATGGGTATAGAGTTTCAGTTTTACAAGATGAAAAGAGTTCTGGAGATGGATGGTGGTGCTGGTTGCACATCATTAATGTATTTAATACCACTGAGCTGTTCACTTTAAAAGGATTAAGATGATAAATTTTATGTTATGTGTATATTATAATAAAAGTTAGAAAAAAATTGTCATAAAACTAAGTCAGATATTAAGAACAATCAGAATTACTTCTGTCTTGTTTACAGTCATCATATGAAAAACAAATTGTTTATCTAGCATGACACCTGTTATGGGTTGAATTGTTTCCCTCAAAAGATGCTGAACTTCTAACCCTTGGTACCTGTGAATGTGACCTTATTTGGAAATTGGGTCTGCACAGATGATCAAGTTAAGATGAGGTCATTAGGGTGTGCCCTAATCCAATAATGACTGTGTCCTTATGAAAAGGGAAAAGAGACAGGTATATAGAGAAGATGTGAATTCACAGGGAGCGCACATGGCCATCCATAAGCCAAGGAATGCATGAGGTTACCAGAAGCTAAGAGACAGACATGAAACAAACTGCCCCCCACATCTCTCCAAAGGGGCCAGCCCTGCCAACACTTTGATCTTGGACTTCCAGCCTCCAGAGCTACAAAACAACACATTTCTGTTGTTTAAGTTGCCCAGTTGGAGGTGCTTGTTACATTAGCCCCAGGAAATTATACAACATCTTACCTGAATTTGCTTTCTTCTTTGCTCTAGTTAAATTCAAAACTACATATTGAATAACGACGGTGTGCTCTCTCTCCATGAAGCTTCGGGGTGGGTAGACAGTCCTCCTCTTGAAGGAACAGGAGGGACGCAAGGGAAGGGACCAACTTGTATCTCATCTGAGAGAGATACACTCCTGGAATAAGAGGTCTGCGGTTAAGTGTGTTTCTCTAGAAGTTCAGAAACAGAGGAAGCATCTGCGGGCTAAGCTGCTGAGGGCTAGGTGAGAGCTAACTGACCTAAGTTTTGAAGGATGGATGGGTGACAGGTTGGAGGGGGAAGATGGAAAAGTCACATGGGAGAGGAACAGCATGGGCCAAGTGTGGAGGAACCAGTGAGTGGGCTGGGTTTCAGAAACAGGCCTTGGTCTGCTTTTGAGCCCTCCCTGAACTTTTCCACCCCAACCCCACCTCCTGCCTGTGTCTGCCATGCACCTCCCTTCCTGTGAGTCTGTGGACAGACTTTGCCCCTTTGCCCTGTGTGTGCTTGGGAGAAATCTGCTCAGTTTCTGTGGCAGGGATGTTTCTACGTGTTCATCAAACCGGCTTTGTTTACTTCCGAAACACTCATGAAGACCACAGCTGCCAGAGCCCCTTGCATCCTGGTGGGACTGTGCGACTACTTCTGGCCCATGGATGTGGGTGGAAGTGACGTGTGCTTCCCCAGGCCTGGCTCCTGGACCCCACCGACGGCTTCTCACCTGTAACCCCACCAGCCTTCTACCTGGATACTTCACGGGGAGCTAGAGTGGCCTTGGCTAAGAAGGAGGCATGGCACCCGCGGGTACCGGGCCGCCTTCATCAGTCGGTGCACTCTGGTCCACCGCCCACATGCCTTCATGTAATCTTCACTGTAGGGCCCACAGGGAGGGGAACTTCCTCGAGGTCTAGCTTTGCCTTTCCGCCTTCAGAGCCAAGTAAGAATGAGGGGTCTGGGCTCGGCCCACCTTCCCTGCAAGGCCCTGTGCCCGCTCCCCTCAAAGCTGGTCTTGCATGTTGCTCTGGCGGCCTCTGTAGCAGGAGTTCACTCTGTTTTCCGTGGAGGAGGAGTGGAAGGAGGGATTCAAGCTCTCCCCTAGAGACGCTAGAAAGACAGTTTTGTCTCAGCCTCATACGATCGCCCAGCTCCACATTTCTGGCTGTTTCTGTGGTTACCTTTCTTCGGGGATGTTTGGGGCGGGAGGTGGGTGTGTGTGTATATTTGCTCTTCTGAAGCCGTTTTTCCGGAGCTCCTGGTGGGGGTGGGGGTGCTCTGTCCCTGGTTCCTCTCGAGGCAGGTGCAGGGGATGGAGGATGCCCCCCTCCCCGAGAGCCAGGAGGCGCCGACCCTGGGCAGGAGGTGCCAGACCGGCGCCTCTCCCGCGTGGAGCTCGAAGACCACAGATGCCTGGAAGGGAGGAGCACCTTCCGTGGTTAGGTGGGGAAACCGAGGCAGAGGCGGCCCAATGGACTCGCCTAAACGGCCTGGGGAGTCACTGCAGGTAACCAGAGCTGGAGCCAGGCTTCCCACTCCAGGCCCGGGGCTCTCCCCCGAACAGGCGTGGGAAGGGGTGCGAGCTGCACGCGGGGCTGGGGCTGGGGGTGCGGGGCTGGGGCAACTCGGCTCTTCCCCTTCCTAGGCCGCCCGGGCCACTTCCTGCGGCGTGGGGGCGGGGGGCGCGGGCGCAGGGCTGGCCCCTCCCGGGCGCCGCCTCTCGGCCTCTTCTATACCAGCAGGCCAGAGGCCAAGGGTTAGGGGAACAGAACCGGTGCCCGGCTCCGCCCCTGTCCCGAAAGCCACTGGGGGCTGGGACCCGGCAGGGCCAGGTTTGGGCCGCGAGGGCCGAGGAGCAGCGAGGTGCAGGGGCTGCGAGGGCCGAGCCGGGCGCTGAGGGTCCGGCAGGGGGCGTGGAGGGGGCGGGGCCCGGAGGGGGCGGGGCCGTAGGAAACTTGAGCGCCCGCCTCTGGCCGCGCGCCCCGCCCCGGCCCCCGCCTCCGGGTCCCGCCTCCAGGTCCCGCCTTCGCGTCCCTTCCTTCCCGGAGCTGGCAGGCGGGCCGCGGCGGCGGCGGGCAGCGGACGGGCGGACTGACGGGCGCCTCCACCTTGCTCCCTCCCTGGCTGCCGGCTTCCTTTTGTCTTTCTGGGCGGCGATGAGCGCAGGGCCGGCGCAGCAGCTGCGGGCGCACGGAGGCCCGCGCTGCTAGTCACTCCTCCCGGCCTCGGCGCGCTTGTCCCGGGCAGCGGCCCGGGCCCGCTGCAGCCGCCGCCGGCGCCGAACTTGGGCTCGGGAAGCCGGCGGACCGCGTCCTGCGCCGGAGCAGGTAGGGAAGGGGCGGGCTGCGGTCTGCTGGCTGCTGAAGTGTGCCCCGGGCGTGTGCACCCGGCGTGTGCACCGGCGAGCGCTGCGATCCGGCTCTTTGCGTGTGTGTTGTGCGCGCGTGTGTGTGTCCGGGAGTGCCCGCGTTTCTCTGCGCGGTGGAGTTGTGGGTGACTGCGGACGGTGGTGTGTCTTTCGAATGGCGTGTACTCGTGGGCATCCATGTGTGCCTTAGGTGTGCACATTTTGGACTGCGTTTGTGGAATTGTGTGTCGGGGCGCAGTTGCTGGTGGGGAGCGGTGCCTGGCGGGTGTCGTGTGTGAGCAGCTGTGCGCAGAGCGGGGTGGCGGGGTGGGTGTGGGTGGTCCAGCCCCACGCCCAGAGCCCCCTGTCCCTGCTGGTCGGCGCAGTGCGTAGCTTAGGAGCCTCGAGGACAGCTGGGACCCGACGGGCAAGGGCGGGCCTCGCGGGCAGGCTGGGCAGCCCTCAGGGAACAGGTCCGTGCGGCCCACGTGGGTCGCCTGTGAGCTTCTGCCAAGGGTGGGGGCCCACGCGGAGGCGATCCGCTCGTTCCTCCCAGGGCCATGGGGCGACGAGGAGAGCCCTGGCCTCCCCGCGACCCGCACTGCGACCTGGGCCAGACGCGCCACCTTCCCCGGTCGCGGTTTGCTTCTCTTTAAAATGAGGACAGCTCCTCCCTTGGGGGCTGTGGTGACAGGTGAAATGAGAACGCACTGAAGACAGCTCTTGGTCCAAAGCCCCGCACACAGTAGGTACTGTGTTAATTGGATTAGCGTCTCCTGTTTAAAATCCTTTTTTTTTCCCCTTTATCGTGGGTGGGGCCTTACATTTTCCCCGGGCGTGTTTTGTGCCTCTCCCTGGCCCTAACTTAACCGCGAAGCACTGAGATTCGAGAAAGTTTAGCTGCCAGCTGCGCTGCCTCCTGCAGCACCTCCCGGGCGGCGCCGCCTCCGCGAGTGCCCGAGAGCGCCGCGCTGGGCGCCGGCCCTGCCCCAGCCCCCAGGCTCCCGCGCAAGCGTGGGGGTCCCTCTCCTGGCCGGGAGGCAGCGACTGCGGAGTTGAGAACCCTTTGGTTCAACAAGTTCCTAGTCCGGGAGGATGCAGCTCAGCTCGTGGAGTCCGAGAGTCACGGCGTAAAATTGGCGCTTCCCGCACATGCAGATCTCGGGCTCCCGGGGTGTCCCGGCCGCCAAAGGCCACCCCTTTCCTCCTGGCTGACCCCAATTCCACCAGAGGAGGATGTTTGCCAGGGACGCCGAGTCCAGCTGCTGGCCTCGGCATTAGACAACCCCCAGCCCCAGCCCCTGCCATCCCTGCTCCCTTGCAGCCAGCCTCATGCCGGGGGTGCCACATGGGACACCTCCTCCTAGTCCCACACCTTAATTTAAAACATTTACTTTTGAAACCTACTAGTCGTAAAATTGAACCGCAGTGAACGAGCACCCAGCTCTTACCACGACTCACTCTCTGGAGAGTTCTGGCGCCTCGGCGCTGGCTCGGACGCAGCAAGGCCAGCTCTAGGGGTCGGGTGGCTCTCGGCCAGAGCGAAGGATATTCTTTCCCTTCATCGCCTTGGTGTCTTTCTCTGGGGGAAAAAAATCGCCTTTAACCAAGGGAGCCAAGATCTCACCAGTGCAGGAGGCTCTCAAAATGGAGCGCCGGCATGGGGTTGGGCTGCGGAGGGGACAGCATGGGCGGCCTTTTGGTATGGATGCGCTTCCCAACTGTCAGGGGCTACGTGATGGTGTTCCCAGAGAGGCGGGCTGCTTTGCGGGCTTTTAGGAGCCAGGGATAGAAACCTGGTCCGGTTCCTTTGGTTTCCCTCGGCCGAGACTGAAGCCCTGCAATCCTAGCCATGGCAGGCCAGGGGGATGCGATGAACTCATTTTCTCATTTTTCATCCTGACTTAGTGACAGGGGCACACTTAGAATGCACCCTGTTTTCTGTTTCATCAAATGATTTTATGTCCTACAAGAAAAAAGGGCTTTTGGTGTGAATCCTACTCTTTCCTCATAATCAGGTTCCATAATAATATTAAAAAAAAAATCAGTCTGGCTTTCTCAGCTCAGAAGACAGACCCAAACCCAGGTTTGTGTTTTGTTTTGTTTTTGTTTTTTTCTAGTTAAAGCCAGCCCTTTGTCTCAAGCAAGCCAGTGTTTTGGCCTTAGATCTATTTCTGTTTCACTTTTGAAAGTGCCTGTAATTACTGAGCTCTTGAGGTTTTATTGGATAATGTGGCAAAGGGAAGGCCCGGGGGCCCTGCCTCTCCCTTGCGGTGGGATGTGGTGCCACGGTGGCACATTCTAGCCTTGCCTGCTCCCTCTGCGTCCCACTTTCATGCTGTTTTTAAGGTGGAACAGAAATGTCAATGTGTGATAACAATTTGGGAGACTTTGTCTTTGGAATCCAATAAATGGAAGGTCCTTTGATCTGTGGAGAAACCAGAACAAGTCAAAACCCCAGAAGAACAGAGATTTGCCCAAACTCCAGCCAATGACCCATTTATTTCCAACAAGCCCTCCTAGAGATAGATTCTAAGTGAAATACAAGAACGTGGACACACTCCGTCCCCTTTCTGGCCACAGGGCTGTGCAGAATTAGAAGTGCAGTCTATGGAAGGACAAGGACTGGACTTCGCTTGGTGCAAACGCCCCAGCCAGGCGCCCCATACTCACCTAGCACCATTTCACCCTGGAGCTGTTTCCTCCTGTTGAAGCGCTGGTGCTCACACCCCCTACCTTCAGGGCTCTGCAAGCACAGTTCCAAGGTCTGCAGCGCGGGTACAGTGCATGCCCTGCTGAGTGTGCGTCAGAGCAGTTGTCTCCCTGTGACACTTATTCTAAGACCCTTTTTGCTACTCATAAGTGGTAGAGTACCACACTCACTCATGAACCAGTGATAATCCAGGGTACTAACGGGGGCCCCGGAGTTTATTTGGCACCGAAGATTAAGCTACTTGGCAGCTGAATTTTTATCTAGATTGGGGTTAGGTTTGTATTAAAATTTTGCATTCCAGCAAGCCCTAAACCGTGCTTGTTCATTGTGGGATAATGCGTTCAACTGATGAGTTGCCAGGCCAGGATTGATGGGGGATTATGTGTATTCTGCTAGTTTGTCAGCACCTGATGTCACTGTGCTGGGGGGTGGGGGAGGCATGTTTGGAGTTAGGATGAGCAGACACTTGTAGATTTTAATCACACTCTACTTTGGGGCTCCCTGCTCTCCTATGGTAGCAGGGGGTTTCTGTGTCGTTCTTATGTCCTCATGTAAAGCTGCACATCTGTGAATGTCAGGTAGCTCTTGTGCTTTTCCCCTTAGATTGAGTTTCTAATCTGGGAATGACAGAGGGTGGCTGTATATGGAGACAGCAGCATGGGCTTAGGGGCTCTTTTGGTGCCAGTTACCCTACGGAAAAAAGGTTTCTTCAAATCACTTTCTACAAAGACTAAAAAATGGTTGGAATCTAGTGGTGCAGATTGTAATATGACTTCAGGTAATCAATACGGTTTGACAGGTGGAACATTTCTTAGATGCTGATGAGCAGGGCGCAAGTCTCAAGATTTTTAAATCATCTGAAAAGCACAGTAAATCCTTTAAAGAGCCCTACCTTGGCCATGTTGTTTCAAGTAAAATTGAATTTCAGAGGCAAAGCTTCACATCGGAGGCATGACGAACTAAAGAAATCCTTCCCAGAGACCTCCACTCTCTTCCTGTTGCCACCCTCCTCTGCCAGCAGCAGGGCAGGAAAGATGACTTCTTGGGGCTGTGTGCCTTTACCTTAAGAAGCAAGTGCACCCTGAATGCTTCTAATCCCGCAGCTGGGTTGTCTGGGTATTTGGATCTTTTTGGTGCTTGAGGTACTACCCAAGTTGGCAGGAAGCCAGGAGCCTGGGGGTGGAGGTGTCTTAGCCCCACCTGTGGCATGAGACAAGAGGTCTTCTCCAGCAAGGGATGGGTCTCTGACCCTTGGCTAAGAAAACTCAGGATTGTTAAATACGTACTGCATGGATAAGGTTGCTGTGACCCTGAAAAAAGGAAGAAGGCTTTTGGGTGGTGCGTGGTTCTCCTCTTGGAAGTCTTCCCAGATTTCGCCTCAGTACTCTCTTGCCCTAGCTTAAATCTTTCCTTGCTCTGTGTCCCCTTAGGCAAGTGAGGTCTCCTCTCAGGTAGGCATGATATTAAGTGCATGTCTAGAGGACAGTTCCTTCTACCTGCCCAGGTGCACTGGCTGAACTCACCTATGCCCACATCTGTGCATTGGCAGGTGATATAGATATACACCTGAGCTGTCCCCCTGAGCTGCAGACCTAACACTAGGTGTGGGCTCCGAGCTGTTCCACATCAAAACAGAGCCGAGGACACATCTCCCTCACTGAAGCTGTGTCTCCTACCTATTATGGTCAACACGTCTCATCTACTCATTTGTTAAAGCTAGAAATCTCTGGAGAGTTTTGGAGCTCTTTCTCTGTCTTCACTTGAAATCTCTGGAGAGTTTTGGAGCTCTTTGTCTGTCTTCACTTTGCCATCTAATTGGGTCAGCCCTCTCTGAGGGCTCACACCCACTCTTCCGGCACAGCGGAGCCTTATCTGCCCTTGGCCCAGAGAATGCTTCCAGTTCCTTCACTCCAGCCACACCGGCAGCACTTCCCAGTTTAAAACGCAGATTTCATCATCCCACTGTCTTCTGCCTCCCCAACCCCACCAAACCTTGGTTTGTTCTCTTAACGCAGTAAGTGCTTCTGATACCTACTGTGTGCCTTGGACCAAGCTGGAGTCTGAGAAGGTTGGGCCCAGGCATCCTCCCTACCTGTGCAGAGTTTAAGGTCTTGGGCTGGGGGTTGTATGTGGGGTACCTATCAAATAAGACCAGGGAGCGTGAAGTGCTATGGAGGGGAGCTCCTACCCCAGTATAGGGGGCTCCCTGGAGAAGCACCCTCTAAGCTGATACCTGGGAGAGTTGGGGGTGCAGGGGAGGGGTTGGAGTTGGGGCTGGATTGTTCGATGCCTTTCTTCTGTCTCACCCAGACTTCCTTATCTGCTAAACTCCTACTCATTTTTGTTTTAATTAATACCAAGATAGAATTTATCTCTCATAAAGCATGCCCATTCTAAGTGTACAGTTTAATGATTTTCAGTAAATTAATAGAGTTCATAGCCATTACCACAATCCAGTTTTGGAACATATCCATCACCCCAGAAAGATCCCTCTTTTGTACAAACTCCCTGTCCCCGTCCTCAAGCCGCCAGTCCCCCACAGATTTGCTTTCTGTCTCTAGATTTGCCTTTTCTTTCTATGTTTCTTAGTGTGTTTTCATAGGTTCGGCCCAAGAGCTGTTTCATTTGGGCCTTCCTAGAGTCTTCTAGTTAGAATCAATTTATCCCCCAGCACCGACGAAGTGAGCTGGGTGCTTGGCCATCCCGCTGCTAGATGGCGAGCTCTCTTACCTGCCTCTCCTGCCTGCACCTGGCTCAGCACTGGCACCTACAGAATACCCAAGGTGTGTTGGCTGGACCAGCTGAAGTTGTGTTCCTCACATTTCTTTTGTATAACTCCTGAGTATCTAGCAGAGTGTGGGGATTTAAAATACAGCGCATGTATTGATGTGTCAGGTGATGTGAGCCCTGCTACATACATACCTTAACTTGTTTCATCAAGAACTTGTGAGGCAAATGGCAAATCAAAAACAAAAACAAACAAAACAAAACAAAACAAATCTATTTTCTAAGCCAGGCACAGTGGCTCTTGTCTGTAGTTCCAGCTACTAGGGGGTGCTGAGGTGGGAGGATTGCTTGAAATCAGGGATTTGAGCCTGGGCAATATTGTGAGACCCTGCTTCTTAACAAACTTTTTTTTTTTGAGATAGGGTCTTGCTCTGTTGCCCAGGCTGGAGTGCAGTGATGTGATCCCAGCTCACTGCAGCCTTGAACTCCTGGGCCCAAGCAATCCCCCTGCCATAGTCTCCTGAGTAGCTAGGACTACAGGTACACACCACCATGCCTGCTGATTTTTAAATTTTTTGTGGAGACGAGGTCTTGCTATGTTGCCCAGACTGGTCTTGAGCTCCCGGGCTCAAATAATCCTCCAGCCTTGGCCTCTCAAAGTGCTGGAATTATAAGTGTGAACTACTGTGCCTCAGCCCAAGCCATTTTTCTAAATGAAAAAACTGAGGAGGCCCAGAGCAAATAAGTAGCCCAAGGGCATCAGCAGAAAGTAGAAGGATCAAGAATTAAACGAGGTCACTTTCTCTTCCGCCCTTGTTTTGGTAGTAATGATATGCCCTTTTATGGCCTTGCCTGGGCTGGTGTTCAGATTTTCCTGTACGAGTCTTGTCATCCCTTCCTAAGCCATGGAAGCTCCTTCTAGGGCATGAGTGCTGTGTGACACATGTTCACACAGTGTTGCCCCAGTACCTACCTAGTCCACAACTGAACAGGTAGAGATGGTTCAAGCAATGTGTGTGTGTAGAGAGGTCTCCTGGTAAATAGAAGGGGCTGGGGGAGGGCGTTGAATGCAGTGGTGCTGTGGCCTTGGGTGGCTTGGTGCATTTCTGATGCATTTCTCACCTTGGATCATTTTCACTCTTTGAGGAAGAGAGCAGAGGATGAGATGCCATTTGACAGATGCACAAACCAAGACACAGAAATTGTATACCCATTGTACGCCAGGTAGATCACAAATGACCGTTCTCTCCCATGGTTGTAGAGAACTCTCATGGTGGACAGAAACCATGAAAGAAATCATGGTGGAAAGAACCAAGACATTCTTGAATCGGAGTATTAGAACCTCATTTGCAAAATACCTTGGAAAGATCAGGGACACTGGGGTTTGAATTGTAGTCTTTGCTCTGTTGTTTATTGGCTGGTGATGGTCTCTGAATCTGTTTGCTCAGGTGCAGAAAGGGGTTTTAGGCTGAGCTCAGATATTGACAGGAACTACAATTCAAACCCAGGTCTGCAGATGTGGCAGACTGGGTTTGAACTGTAGTCTTTGCTCTGTTTACTGGCTGGTGATGTTCTCTGAGTCTGTTTGGTCATGTGCAGAAAGGGGTTCTAGGCGCAGCTCAGACGTAGATGGGGACGCAGATGTGAGTACCTAGGTGAGTCTGGCTGGTCACGTGTGGAATAAGTGGTGGTGGCTGCCATTACTCTTTAAGCATTCTTGGATCTAGTGCCTCCTCTGCCACTGAGTACAGAATTCCTTTTCAAATTCGGGCTTATGAGGCATGTTTTGATCCAGGCTGTCGTAGCAAGGGATTTGATGCTGGAGTCTGTGACTGCTGTGCGTGTGGAGGCTTCCGGAAGGCAGCCAGTGCTGGTTACTGCTTGGAGTTTGGGGAGCTGCCATTTTGGATTGTCCTAGCCTCATGCCTTCTGAGAAGCATCTGTCAGGGTCCCTGATGCACCTACAGAGACCCTGAGCTTGGTGGTGGGGGTTGCACAGAGAGAGCTGCAGGTTGTTCCTCAGGCATAACGAGGCCCGGAGCTGGTGGTCCCCTCCCTCTGTGAGTGTGTGCAGAGCATGGATCGGGTCTGGGAGTGTTCGTGCTGGCAGGCCGGAGGAGGACTGCTGGGCACACTTGCAGAATTGCGGTTCTGTACAGCAGTGTGTATCGACTGCAGCGCTCTTTTTCTCTAGCAGCAAAATGCTCAGCTCTCTGCCTTCTTTCTGTGCATTTAACAGACGTTTCCAGAAAGCAGAATTGATGACAGCCCCAACTCCTCCCTTTCACTCCCATCTTTTCTATTTGCTGCCCTGTAATCAATTTTTGGAGAGAAGTGAGAACCTCTCGAAATCGATCACCTATGTTGAAAAAAAATCATTTTTAACATCATGCAGTTTTCCGTATTTACTGTGTGTGGCTGGAGACACTCCTGGCAGAATGAGTGTGGGATGTAGGAGGTCCAGAAAAGCCCCCAGCTTCAGGGGCTGAGATAGGGCCATGGGTGGCAGAACTGGTTGTCCCCCCGCCCCCCAATCCCTCAGCAGTGGTTGAGGTGTGCTTTATTAGAAACTCTTCAGTCATGCAGTTTGGAGCCCGTGCTGGTGATGCAGCCTGGATGCCTGGCAGGGGCTTAGCCTCCAGGGGTGGGACATGAGATGTGGCTGCCGTGGCTTCTCTGTGTCTTTCTTCCCAGCGAGTAAAGGTAGACGCAGGGCTCTGGCAGGTGCTAAGGCCCTGCTTGCCTTCATGCTGGAATGCTGGCAGGTACAATTTATTCTTATTTCTTAGGAGGTGCTTTCCCCTCTTCTTTCTGAAGACATCCAGGGATAAAGAATTGCTGCTTTTATGAGCACATGTTCTTGGTGATATGCTGTTACCTTATCTAAAAACAATACGGCCTGGCTGATTATTCTCAGAGCTCATTGTAAGGTGAAAGGTTATGCATTTGAGAATTATTTTCACAGTGTGGATGGGAGTGGGGGGAGAAGATGTAGAGCACAGGTAAGGAATTCCAGGTTTTGGGGCCAGGGATCGCCAAGCAGTGTAAAGGGCTCACTGTGGCCTGTAGCTCCTTCCCCCTGTGGTTTGTGCTGGGCCAGTTGCTGGCTCCCCAAAACCATTATCACCATTATCATTATCACTATCATATCCATCACCTCACCATCATTATCACTGACATCATCACTTTTCTCCATCACCATCATCATCATCATCACTATCATCCCCATCCCCATCATCATCATTACCATCATCATTGCTGTCGCTATCATCATCATCATTCCATTCATCACCATTCATCATCACTGTCATCATCACCATCATCATCACTGTCATCACCATCACCACCACCATCATCACCATCGCCATCATCACTGTTATCGTCACCATTCATCATCACTGTCATCATCATCGTCATCACTATCATCCCCACCATCACCACCATCATTATCACCATTCTCCATCACCATCATCACTATCATCCTCACCATCATCACCATTCTCCATCACCATCATCATCATCACTATCATCCCCACCATCATCACCATCACCATCATCATCACTGTCATCATCAACATCCATCATCACTGTCATCACCATCATCATCACTATCATTACCATCACCATCACCACCATTATCACTGTCATCATCACCTTTCTCCATCACCATCATCATCATCATCATATCATCATCATCATCATCATATCATCCTCATCCCCATCATCATCACCATCACCACCGTCATTGCTGTCATCATCACCATTCACCATCAATGTCGTCATCACCATCATCATCACTATCATCATTATCACCATCATCACCATCACCATCATCATTACTGTCATCATCACCATTCACCGTCACTATCATCACTGTCATTATCACCATCATCATCACCACCACCATCACCATCATCACTGTCATCCCCATCCTCATCATCATCACCATCACTGTCATCATCATCACCATCACCACCATTGCCATCACCATCACCATCATTATCACTGTCATCATCACCTTTCTCCATCACCATCATCATCATCATCATCACTATCATCCCCATCCCCATCATCATCACCATCACCACCATCATTGCTGTCATCACCATTCACCATCACTGTCATCATCACCATCATCGTCATTATCATCATTGTCACCATCGTCACCATCACCGTCATCATCACCATTCATCATCACTGTCATCACTGTCATTATCACCATCATCATCACCACCACCACCATCACCATCACTATCATCGTCATCATCATCACTGTCACCACCATCACCATCACTGTCACCAACATCATGGTGCTTCTCAACCTTTGGGCTGCTTTGGGTCGTGCTTGACATGGCACATTCCTGGTGAGTTAGCTGTTCTTTGGGGGTTTTCTACTGTTGGTGTGGTGATTAGGGTAGTCAGGACAGGATGAGTATAGGCATAGAGAACCCAAGTGGATGATGGTGGAGTGTGATTCTTCTGAAAGGGTCTTCATGAGAACCACTGATCTAGAAGATTCTGGGAGAATCTCACGTATTCTTTCAGGCCCAGGAGTAAGCCAGTGTTACCTGCTCTGTGGAGCTCTCCTTTGTCCCTCCAGGGAGGACAAATTCTGGCTGGAGCCTGACCTTACTGCTTGTCCATCTCTCCCAGGGTGGTAGGCCACTTTAGGTAGGACCCTGTGGATTTCTCCTTGGTGACCCCCGCATTCTGGGCACAGAGCCTGGAACACAATGTCTGCCCAGATGTGTGACTGAACCACCCCCCAATTCCTTAACTGTAGGATGGCGGCTGCCTTCATTAGAATCTTAACACCTTGCCTGAGGGCTGGCTTTGCAGGTCTGAGTGGCTAGGTCAGGGCACTGCTAGTGTTTTCTATGTTTGTAGTCAATTGGTGAGAGTTTGTTTTACGCATTTGTTAAAACTGTGGGACAGTGGTCTGGAAGCCAACAAGGCTTTAGGGTTGGCAGAGTGACTCCCATCCCATCATTGATGTCTGGCTTTGACTTGGCATGGGAGACATTGCCTCTCCAGATCTCAGTTCTCTCGTTTGACAAATGGGGCTTAGGGTTGAACAGCCTCTAAGTCCTCTGTCAGCTCTGCAATTCAGGAAAGATGTTTAAAAATGCATACTTGCATTGTAGGTACATCCAACATAGAGCAAAGAGAGAATTTTCCTAGCTAAATTGACTGCAAAAAAATGAAACCTCTTGGGCCGGGCGTGGTGGCTCATGCCTGTAATCCCAGCACTTTGGGAGGCTGAGGCGGGCAAATTACGAAGTCAGGAGTTCAAGACCAGCCTGGCCAACATGGTGAAACCCCGTCTCTACTAAAAGTATAAAAATTAGCTGGGCTTGGTGGCGGGCGCCTGTAATCCCAGCTACTCGGGAGGCTGAGGCAGGAGAATTGCTTCAACCCAGGAGGCAGAGGTTGCAATGAGCTGAGAGATCTGAGCCACTACACTCCAGCCTGGGTGACAGAGCAAGACTCCGTCTCAGGGAAAAAAAAAAAAAAAGAATCCTCTTATAATATGCAGGCATCTTAGCAACTGCCATCTTAGCAACTGCCATCTTAAGAGGCAGCATTATGATTCAGAAGAAACTGATAACATTGAGGAATACATTTGTGGAGCACAGATTAGGAGAGATTGGTGCAGGGGTGGGGGGTGGCAGGAAGATATTAAGGTTGGAATTTAGGGAGGTGAGCTCTGTGGGTTGGTTTCATGCATCCAGCTCACCATTCAACCTTTCCTGTTAACTTCCTATATTAAGGAGGCTGAGATTAAGAAGACAGGGACTCGTGGCGTAAGGGCGAGACAGACATAGAGGTGAGTGACTGCAGTGGGATATTCACTGTGGGAGCATTGAAGGTTGGCAGTCAGCTAGATTCTTAGGCTGTAGATCGGGGGCCTTATTTAGAAGCTGTTTACTGTTCCCTTAAGAGGATCCTCTAGCAGGAAAAACCACTGCTAGGGTTGTTGCTTTCCTCATTATAATGATGTCTTTATGTTCGTCTTAGGAGGTGATAGTACTGATTATTTAAGAAACTGGTCAGCCAAACTTCTTAACTAATTGTGAATTAGAGAAAAGTCAGAAGTAGGGAGTATTATAGAGATAAGTAATTGTATTATTTTCAGACAAAAGTATATGTAGTAATGTAAACTACTGACCAGATTTTGTTTCAAATTGTTTTTTTTAAATGAATTGCTAAGAATTATTTGAAATTAGCACATTAGCGGTAATAAGATAGTAGATATTAGATAGATTAGATTAGGATAGTAGGTAGTAGATGTAGGTATAAAGAGACTGAAAATCAGCTGTTTAAACATTTTTCCCAAATGTGGGGCTAGGAAGCAAGATAAAGAATTATGCAGGCCAGGCGCGGTGGCTCACGCCTGTAATCCCAGCACTTTGGGAGGCCGAGGCGGGCGGATCATGAAGTCAGGAGATCGAGACCATCCTGGCCAACACGGTGAAACCCCGTCTCTACTAAAAATACAAAAAAAATTAGCCGGGCGTGGTGGCGGGTGCCTGTAGTCCCAGCTACACGGGAGGCTGAGGCAGGAGAATAGGGTGAACCCAGGAGGTGGAGCTTGCAGTGAGCCGAGATCGCGCCACTGCACTCCAGCCTGGGCAACAGAGCGAGACTCCGTCTCAAAAAAAAAAAAAAGAATTATGCAGACAGTTTCATTTCATTTATGTTTGGACGGGGAAGAAAGTCAGAAAATAGATGGGAAGGAAACATATCTAAATGTTAACGGTGGTTGTATTCCATGGGATCATGGGTCTTTCTTGATTTTTCATGTTTTGCCACATTCTAAATTTTCACCAGTGGGCATTTATTATTTTTGCAATTAGACAGGAAAGAGCCTCCAGGAGGAACTCCAAATACCCATCCTTTATTTACCCTCTTAATTTGCTTACCAAACTTTCTTGTTATGGTTAGACTGGCTGGCATCCATAATTTCCATACTTGTGATTATTTAAATTAATGGAAATTTATCATAATCCCTTATTAAAATTTCTTCGCTGCACTGAAATTCAACACTGAGCAAATCTGTTACCTAGGACATAAAGAAAAACATTCAGTCCACGTGCGGTGGCTCATGCCTGTAATCCCAGCACTTTGGGAGGCTGAGGCAGGCGGATCACTTGAGGTCAGGAGGTCGAGACCAGCCTGGCCAACATGGTGAAACCCCATCTCTACTAAAAATACAAATATTAGCTGGGCATGGTGGCTCACGCCTGTAGTGCCAGCTACTCGGGAGGCTGACACATGAGAATTTCTTGAACCCAGGAGGTGGAGGTTGCACTGACCCGAGATCAGGCCACTGCACTCCAGCCTGGGCAACAGAGTGAGACTTGCTCTCAAAAAAAAACAACATCCAGAGTCTTCCAGGAAATTTACCGTTTCAGTGTGGCATAGTGTAGAGTTTGTTTATTATCTAGAATATGGTTTTTCTTTTTTGTGTTCTTGAACTTGGGCGTTCACTTCGTTTGTTGACCTGGAAGGAGCCATCTCGGCGCCTGCTGTTTGAACCTTGGGTATTTTAATGAAGTGGTTTGATGTCCTGATACCACCAGCCCCTGCTGTTGCTTTTCACGGCCCTGGCTTTTCCAGGAATAATCTCCTTACTGTTTGTCATTCTAATATGTTTCAGCTCCCTTTTTGAAAATAACTTTTTCTGCTCCCCTTCCCTGCCCATTCTTCATGACCCCCAGAGAATGGGCCTGCTGGTCTCTAGCCCCTGTGAATTGGAAGACTCCTGGCGATGATCCTTCTTTTTCTCTCTGTGACTCAGGCGGTTGATGTTGGGTTGACCGTATTTCTTTGCTGGCTGGTAAGCAGGGCCACCTCAGCCCTTGTGAGGGCCATGCCTGACTTTCAATGGCTTCCCTCCAAAGGCTTCTTAGGCCGTTCCTCCCCATCGTTTTTCAGAGGTTTAATCTGTTTGAGTCCAGGATATTGAGTCAGCAGTGGAAAGTTATGAAGATGAGGCCAGCCATCAGAAAAATTGGCTAATATGAAAGATTAATTCCAGGGTGAACAAAGGAGAGGGATGCTGGGGCCGGGCTGCCTCCCCAGGCAAATCACATCACTGTAAAATCCGAGAAACCA